>NC_000015.10:19775254-20375254 GCF_000001405.40 Homo sapiens
CAAACCTGCTCTATGAACGGGAATGTTCAGCTCTGTGAGTTGAATGCAAACATCACAAAGCAGGTTCTGAGAATGCTTCCGTCTAGATTTTAAATGAGGATATTCCCGTTTCCAACGAAATCCTCGAAGCTATCCAAATATCCATTTGCAGATTCCACAAAAAGAGTGTTTCAAAACTGCTCTGTCAAAAGATAGGTTCAACTCTGTTAGTTGAGTACACACATGGCAAACAAGATTCCGAGAATGCTTTCGTCTAGTTTTTTTGGGAAGATATTTCCTTCTTCACCATAGGCCTCAAAGCGCTCCAAATATCCATTTCCACATGCTATACAAAGAGTGTCTCAAACCTGCTGTATGAATGGGAATGTTCAACTCTATGAGTTGAATGCAAACATCACAAAGAAGTTTCTGAGAATGCTGCTGTCTAGATTTTATATGAAGGTTTTCCCGCTTCCAACGAAATTTTCAATGCACTCAAAATATCCTCTTGTAGATTCTACAAAAAGAGTGTTTCCAAACTGCTGTATCAAAACAAAGGTTCATCTCTGTTAGTTGAGGACACACATCACAAATAAGTTTCTGAGAATGCTTCTGTCTAGTTCTTATTTGAAGACATTTCCTTTCTCACCTTAGGCCTGAAAGCGCTCGAAATACCCACTTCCAGATACTACAGAAACAGTGATTCAAACCTGCTCTATGAAAGGGAATGTTCAACTATGTGACTTGAATGCAAACATCACAAAGCAGTTTCTGAGAATGCTGCTGTCTACTTTCTATTTGTAATCCCGTTTCCAACGAAATCCTCAGAACTATCGAAATTTCCAATTGCAGATTCCACAGAAACAGGGTTTCAAAGCTGCTCTGTAAAAAGAAAGGTTCAACTCTGTTAGTTGAATACACACGTCACAAACAAGTTTCTGAGAATGCTTCTGTCTAGTTTTTATGGGAAGATATTTCCTTTTTCACCGTAGGCCTCAAAGCGCTCCAAATGTCCACTTCCACATACTACAAAAAGAGTGTTTCAAACCTGCTGTATGAAAGGGAATGTTCAACTCTATGAGTTGAATGCAAACATTACAAAGAAGTTTCTGAGAATGCTTCTGTCTAGATTTTATATGAAGGTTTTCCCGCTTCCAACGAAATTTAAAATGCTCTCAAAATATCCACTTGTAGATTCTACAAAAAGAGTGTTTCCAAACTGCTGTGTCAAAACAAAGGTTCAACTCTGTTAGTTGAGGACACACATCACAAATAAGTTTCTGAGAATGCTTCTGTCTAGTTCTTATTTGAAGATATTTCCTTTCTCACCTTAGGCCTGAAAGCGCTCGAAATATCCACTTCCAGATACTACAGAAATAGTGATTCAAACCTGCCCTATGAAAGGGAATGTTCAACTATGTGACTTGAATGCAAACATCACAAAGCAGTTTCTGAGAATGCTGCTGTCTACTTTCTATTTGTAATCCCGTTTCCAAAGAAATTCTCAGAACTATCGAAATTTCCAATTGCAGATTCCACAAAAGTGTGTTTCAAAGCTGCTCTGTAAAAAGAAAGGTTCAACTCTTTTAGTTGAATACACGTCAGAAGCAAGTTTCTGAGAATGCTTCTGTCTAGTTTTTATCGGAAGATATTTCCTTTTTCACCGTAGGCCTCAAAGCGCTCCAAATGTCCACTTCCACATACTACAAAAAGAGTGTTTCAAACCTGCTCTATGATAGGGAATGTTGAAACCTATGAGTTGAATGCAAACATTACAAAGAGGTTTCTGAGAATGCTTCTGTCTAGGTTTTATATGTAGATATTCCCGTTTCCAACGAAATCCTCAAAGCTATCCAAATATCAACTTGCAGATACTACAAAAGGAATGTTTCCAAAATGCTGTATCCAAACAAAGGTTCAACTCTGTGAATTGAGGGCATACATCACAAAGAAGATTCTGAGAATGCTTCTGTGTAGATTTTATATGAAAATATTCCCGTTTCCAATGAAATCCTCAAAGCTATCCAAATATCTACTTGCAAATGCCACAAAAAGAGTGTTTCCAAACTGCTCTGTGAAAAGGAAGGTTCAACTCTGTTAGTTGAGTACACACATCACAAAGAGGTTTCTGAGAATGCTGCTGACTAGTTTTTATTTGAAGATATTTCCCTTTTCACCTTAGGCCTAAGAGTGCTCAAAATGTCCATTTCCACATACTCCACAAAGTGTGTTTCAAACGTGCTGTATGAAAGGGAATGTTCAACTCTATGAGTTGAATGCAAACATCACAAAGAAGATTCTGAGAATGCTTTTGTCTAGATTTTATATGAAGATATTCCCGTGTCCAACGAAATTTTCAAAGGTCTCCAAATATCCATTTGTAGATTCTACAAAAAGAGTGTTTCCAAACTGCTGTATCAAAACAAAGGTTGAACTCTGTGAGTTGAGGACACACATCACAAATAAGTTTCTGAGAATGCTTCTGTCTAGTTTTTATTTGAAGATGTTTCCTTTTTCACCATAGGCCTGAAAGCGCTCGAAATGTCCACTTCCAGATAGTACAGAAAGAGTGTTTCAAACCTGCTCTATGAACGGGAATGTTCAGCTCTGTGAGTTGAATGCAAACATCACAAAGCAGGTTCTGAGAATGCTTCCGTCTAGATTTTAAATGAGGATATTCCCGTTTCCAACGAAATCCTCGTAGCTATCCAAATATCCACTTGCAGATTCCACAAAAAGAGTGTTTCAAAACTGCTCTTTAAAAAGATAGGTTCAACTCTGTTAGTTGAGTACACACATGGCAAACAAGATTCCGAGAATGCTTTCGTCTAGTTTTTTTGGGAAGATATTTCCTTCTTCACCATAGGCCTCAAAGCGCTCCAAATATCCATTTCCACATGCTATACAAAGAGTGTCTCAAACCTGCTGTATGAATGGGAATGTTCAACTCTATGAGTTGAATGCAAACATCACAAAGAAGTTTCTGAGAATGCTGCTGTCTAGATTTTATATGAAGGTTTTCCCGCTTCCAACGAAATTTTCAATGCTCTCAAAATATCCTCTTGTAGATTCTACAAAAAGAGTGTTTCCAAACTGCTGTATCAAAACAAAGGTTCATCTCTGTTAGTTGAGGACACACATCACAAATAAGTTTCTGAGAATGCTTCTGTCTAGTTCTTATTTGAAGACATTTCCTTTCTCACCTTAGGCCTGAAAGCGCTCGAAATACCCACTTCCAGATACTACAGAAACAGTGATTCAAACCTGCTCTATGAAAGGGAATGTTCAACTAGGTGACTTGAATGCAAACATCACAAAGCAGTTTCTGAGAATGCTGCTGTCTACTTTCTATTTGTAATCCCGTTTCCAACGAAATCCTCAGAACTATCGAAATTTCCAATTGCAGATTCCACAGAAACAGGGTTTCAAAGCTGCTCTGTAAAAAGAAAGGTTCAACTCTGTTAGTTGAATACACACGTCACAAACAAGTTTCTGAGAATGCTTCTGTCTAGTTTTTATGGGAAGATATTTCCTTTTTCACCGTAGGCCTCAAAGCGCTCCAAATGTCCACTTCCACATACTACAAAAAGAGTGTTTCAAACCTGCTGTATGAAAGGGAATGTTCAACTCTATGAGTTGAATGCAAACATTACAAAGAGGTTTCTGAGAATGCTTCTGTCTAGATTTTATATGTAGATATTCCCGTTTCCAACGAAATCCTCAAAGCTATCCAAATATCAACTTGCAGATTCTACAAAAGGAATGTTTCCAAAATGCTGTATCCAAACAAAGGTTCAACTCTGTGAATTGAGGGCATACATCACAAAGAAGATTGTGAGAATGCTTCTGTCTAGATTTTATATGAAAATATTCCCGCTTCCAACGAAATCCTCAAAGCTATCCAAATATCCACTTGCAAATGCCACAAAAAGAGTGTTTCCAAACTGCTCTGTGAAAAGGAAGGTTCAACTCTGTTAGTTGAGTACACACATCACAAAGAGGTTTCTGAGAATGCTGCTGACTAGTTTTTATTTGAAGATATTTCCCTTTTCACCTTAGGCCTAAGAGTGCTCGAAATGTCCATTTCCACATACTCCACAAAGTGTGTTTCAAACGTGCTGTATGAAAGGGAATGTTCAACTCTATGAGTTGAATGCAAACATCACAAAGAAGATTCTGAGAATGCTTTTGTCTAGATTTTATATGAAGATATTCCCGTGTCCAACGAAATTTTCAAAGGTCTCCAAATATCCATTTGTAGTTTCTACAAAAAGAGTGTTTCCAAACTGCTGTATCAAAACAAAGGTTGAACTCTGTGAGTTGAGGACACACATCACAAATAAGTTTCTGAGAATGCTTCTGTCTAGTTTTTATTTGAAGATATTTCCTTTTTCACCATAGGCCTGAAAGCGCTCGAAATGTCCACTTCCAGATAGTACAGAAAGAGTGTTTCAAACCTGCTCTATGAACGGGAATGTTCAGCTCTGTGAGTTGAATGCAAACATCACAAAGCAGGTTCTGAGAATGCTTCCGTCTAGATTTTAAATGAGGATATTCCCGTTTCCAACGAAATCCTCGAAGCTATCCAAATATCCACTTGCAGATTCCACAAAAAGAGTGTTTCAAAACTGCTCTGTCAAAAGATAGGTTCTACTCTGTTAGTTGAGTACACACATGGCAAACAAGATTCCGAGAATGCTTTCGTCTAGTTTTTTTGGGAAGATATTTCCTTCTTCACCATAGGCCTCAAAGCGCTCCAAATATCCATTTCCACATGCTATACAAAGAGTGTCTCAAACCTGCTGTATGAATGGGAATGTTCAACTCTATGAGTTGAATGCAAACATCACAAAGAAGTTTCTGAGAATGCTGCTGTCTAGATTTTATATGAAGGTTTTCCCGCTTCCAACGAAATTTTCAATGCTCTGAAAATATCCTCTTGTAGATTCTACAAAAAGAGTGTTTCCAAACTGCTGTGTCAAAACAAAGGTTCATCTCTGTTAGTTGAGGACACACATCACAAATAAGTTTCTGAGAATGCTTCTGTCTAGTTCTTATTTGAAGACATTTCCTTTCTCACCTTAGGCCTGAAAGCACTCGAAATACCCACTTCCAGATACTACAGAAACAGTGATTCAAACCTGCTCTATGAAAGGGAATGTTCAACTAGGTGACTTGAATGCAAACATCACAAAGCAGTTTCTGAGAATGCTGCTGTCTTCTTTCTATTTGTAATCCCGTTTCCAACGAAATCCTCAGAACTATCGAAATTTCCAATTGCAGATTCCACAAAAACAGGGTTTCAAAGCTGCTCTGTGAAAAGAAAGGTTCAACTCTGTTAGTTGAATACACACATCACAAAGAGGTTTCTGAGAATGCTTCTGACTAGTTTTTATTTGAAGATATTTCCTTTTTCACCTTAGGCCTAAAAGTGCTCGAAATGTCCATTTCCACATACTACAAAAAGTGTGTTTCAAACGTGCTGTATGAAAGGGAATGTTCAACTCTATGAGTTGAATGCAAACATCACAAAGAAGATTCTGAGAATGCTTTTGTCTAGATTTTATATGAAGATATTCCCGTGTCCAACGAAATTTTCAAAGGTCTCCAAATATCCATTTGTAGATTCTACAAAAAGAGTGTTTCCAAACTGCTGTATCAAAACAAAGGTTGAACTCTGTGAGTTGAGGACACACATCACAAATAAGTTTCTGAGAATGCTTCTGTCTAGTTTTTATTTGAAGATATTTCCTTTTTCACCATAGGCCTGAAAGCGCTCGAAATATCCACTTCCAGGAAGTCCAGAAAGAGTGTTTCAAACCTGCTCTATGAACGGGAATGTTCAGCTCTGTGAGTTGAATGCAAACATCACAAAGCAGGTTCTGAGAATGCTTCCGTCTAGATTTTATATGAGGATATTCCCGTTTCCAACGAAATCCTCGAAGCTATCCAAATATCCATTTGCAGATTCCACAAAAAGAGTGTTTCAAAACTGCTCTGTCAAAAGATAGGGTCAACTCTGTTAGTTGAGTACACACATGGCAAAGAAGATTCCGAGAATGCTTTCGTCTAGTTTTTTTGGGAAGATATTTCCTTCTTCACCATAGGCCTCAAAGAACTCGAAATATCCATTTCCACATACTATAGAGAGCGTTTCAAACCTGCTGAATGAAGGGGAATGTTCAACTCTATGAGTTAAATGCAAACGTCACAGAGACGTTTCTGACAATGCTTCTGTCTAGTTTTATATGAAGGTATTCCGCTTCCAACGAAATTTTCAAAGCTCTCCAAATATCCACTTGTACATTGTACGAAAAGTGTGTTTCTAAACTGCTGTATCAAAACAAAGGTTTAACTCTGTTGGTTGAGGACACACATCACAAATAACTTTTTGAGAATACTTCTGTCTAGTTTTTATTTGAAGACATTTCTTTTCTCACCTTAGACCTGAAAGCGTTCGAAATATCCACTTCCAGATACTACAGAAACAGCAATTCAAACCTGCTCTATGAAAGGGAATGTTCAACTATGTGACTTGAATGGAAACATCACAAAGCAGTTTCTGAGAATGCTGCTGTCTACTTTCTATTTGTAATCCCGTTTCCAAAGAAATTCTCAGAACTATCGAAATTTCCAATTGCAGATTCCACAAAAGTGTGTTTCAAAGCTGCTCTGTAAAAAGAAAGGTTCAACTCTTTTAGTTGAATACACGTCAGAAGCAAGTTTCTGAGAATGCTTCTGTCTAGTTTTTATCGGAAGATATTTCCTTTTTCACCGTAGGCCTCAAAGCGCTCCAAATGTCCACTTCCACATACTACAAAAAGAGTGTTTCAAACCTGCTCTATGATAGGGAATGTTGAAACCTATGAGTTGAATGCAAACATTACAAAGAGGTTTCTGAGAATGCTTCTGTCTAGGTTTTATATGTAGATATTCCCGTTTGCAATGAAATCCTCAAAGCTATCCAAATATCAACGTGCAGATACTACAAAAGGAATGTTTCCAAAATGCTGTATCGAAACAAAGGTTCAACTCTGTGAATTGAGGGCATACATCACAAAGAAGATTCTGAGAATGCTTCTGTCTAGATTTTATATGAAAATATTCCCGTTTCCAACGAAATCCTCAAAGCTATCCAAATATCCACTTGCAAATGCCACAAAAAGAGTGTTTCCAAACTGCTCTGTGAAAAGGAAGGTTCAACTCTGTTAGTTGAGTACACACATCACAAAGAGGTTTCTGAGAATGCTGCTGACTAGTTTTTATTTGAAGATATTTCCCTTTTCACCTTAGGCCTAAGAGTGCTCGAAATGTCCATTTCCACATACTCCACAAAGTGTGTTTCAAACGTGCTGTGTGAAAGGGAATGTTTAACTCTATGAGTTGAATGCAAACATCACAAAGAAGATTCTGAGAATGCTTTTGTCTAGATTTTATATGAAGATATTCCCGTGTCCAACGAAATTTTCAAAGGTCTCCAAATATCCATTTGTAGATTCTACAAAAAGAGTGTTTCCAAACTGCTGTATCAAAACGAAGGTTGAACTCCGTGAGTTGAGGACACACATCACAAATAACTTTCAGAGAATGCTTCTGTCTAGTTTTTATTTGAAGATATTTCCTTTTTCACCATAGGCCTGAAAGCGCTCAAAATGTCCACTTCTAGATAGTACAGAAAGAGTGTTTCAAACCTGCTCTATGAACGGGAATGTTCAGCTCTGTGAGTTGAATGCAAACATCACAAAGCAGGTTCTGAGAATGCTTCCGTCTAGATTTTAAATGAGGATATTCCCGTTTCCAACGAAATCCTCGAAGCTATCCAAATATCCATTTGCAGATTCCACAAAAAGAGTGTTTCAAAACTGCTCTGTCAAAAGATAGGTTCAACTCTGTTAGTTGAGTACACACATGGCAAACAAGATTCCGAGAATGCTTTCGTCTAGTTTTTTTGGGAAGATATTTCCTTCTTCACCATAGGCCTCAAAGCGCTCCAAATATCCATTTGCACATGCTATACAAAGAGTGTCTCAAACCTGCTGTATGAATGGGAATGTTCAACTCTATGAGTTGAATGCAAACATCACAAAGAAGTTTCTGAGAATGCTGCTGTCTAGATTTTATATGAAGGTTTTCCCGCTTCCAACGAAATTTTCAATGCTCTCAAAATATCCTCTTGTAGATTCTACAAAAAGAGTGTTTCCAAACTGCTGTATCAAAACAAAGGTTCATCTCTGTTAGTTGAGGACACACATCAGAAATAAGTTTCTGAGAATGCTTCTGTCTAGTTCTTATTTGAAGACATTTCCTTTCTCACCTTAGGCCTGAAAGCGCTCGTAATACCCACTTCCAGATACTACAGAAACAGTGATTCAAACCTGATCTATGAAAGGGAATGTTCAACTATGTGACTTGAATGCAAACATCACAAAGCAGTTTCTGAGAATGCTGCTGTCTACTTTCTATTTGTAATCCCGTTTCCAACGAAATCCTCAGAACTATCGAAATTTCCAATTGCAGATTCCACAAAAACAGGGTTTCAAAGCTGCTCTGTAAAAAGAAAGGTTCAACTCTGTTTGTTGAATACACACGTCACAAACAAGTTTCTGAGAATGCTTCTGTCTAGTTTTTATGGGAAGATATTTCCTTTTTCACCGTAGGCCTCAAAGCGCTCCAAATGTCCACTTCCACATACTACAAAAAGAGTGTTTCAAACCTGCTGTATGAAAGGGAATGTTCAACTCTATGAGTTGAATGCAAACATTACAAAGAGGTTTCTGAGAATGCTTCTGTCTAGATTTTATATGAAGGTTTTCCTGCTTCGAACGAAATTTTCAATGCTCTCCAAATATCCACTTGTAGATTCTACAAAAATAGTGTTTCCAAACTGCTGTATCAAAGCAAAGGTTCAACTCTGTTAGATGAGGACACACATCACAAATATGTTTCTGAGAATGCTTCTGTCTAGATTTTATTTGAAGGTATTTCCTTTCTCAACATAGGCCTGAAAGCTCTCGAAATGTCCACTTCCATATATCACAAAAAGAGTGTTTCAAACCTGCTCTATGACAGGGAATGTTCAATTCTGTGACTTGAATGCAAACATCACAAACAAGTTCCTGAGAATGCTACTGTCTAGTTTTTTACGTAATCCCGTTTCCAACGAAATCCTCCAAGCTATCCAAATATCCACTTGCAGATTCCACAAAAGGAATGTTTCCAAAATGCTGTATCCAAACAAATGTTCAACTCTGTTAATTGAGGACATACATCACAAAGGAGATTCTGAGAATGCTTCTGTCTATATTTTATAGGAAGATATTCCCGTTTCCAACGAAATTCTCAAAGCTATCCAAATATCCACTTGCAAATTCTACAAAAAGAGTGTTTCAAAACTGCTCTCTCAAAAGGAATGTTCAACTCTGTTAGTTGAGTACACACATCACAAAGGGGTTTGTGAGAATGCTCCTCACTAGTTTTTACTTGAATATATTTCCCTTTTCACCTTAGGCCTAAGAGCGCTCAAAATGTCCATTTCCACATACTACACAAAGTGAGTTTAAAACGTGCTGTATGAAAGGGAATGTTCAACTCTATGAGTTGAGTGAAAACATCACAAAGAAGATTCTGAGAATGCTTTTGTCTAGATTTTATATGAAGATTTTCCCGTGTCCAACGAAATTTTCAAAGGTTTCCAAATATCCATTTGTAGATTCTACGAAAATAGTGTTTCCAAACTGCTGTATCAAAACAAAGGTTCAACTCTGTTAGTTGAGGTCACATCACAAACAAGTTTCTGAGAATGCTTCTGTCTAGTTTTTATTTGAAGATATTTCCTTTTTCACCATAGGCCTGAAAGCGCTCGAAATGTCCACTTCCAGATAGTACAGACAGAGTGTTTCAAACCTGCTCTATGAAAGGGAATGTTCAGCTCTGTGAGTTGAATGCAAACATCACAAAGTAGGTTCTGAGAATGCTTCCGTCCAGATTTTTTGTGAAGATATTCCCGTTTCTGACGAAATCCTCCAACGTATCCAAATATCCACTTGCAGATTCTACAAAAAGAGTGTATCAAAACTGCTCTATCAAAAGATAGTTTCAACTCTGTTTGTTGAGTACACACATCACAAACAAGATTCAAAGAATGCTTTCGTCTAGTTTTTTTGGGAAGATATTTCCTTCTTCGCCATAGGCCTCAAAGAACTCGAAATATCCATTTCCACATACTATAGAGAGCGTTTCAAACATGCTGAATGAAGGGGAATGTTCAACTCTATGAGTTAAATGCAAAAGTCACAGAGACGTTTCTGACAATGCTTCTGTCTAGTTTTATATGAAGGTATTCCGCTTCCAACGAAATTTTCAAACCTCTCCAAATATCCACTTGTACATTGTACAAAAAGTGTGTTTCTAAACTGCTGTATGAAAACAAAGGTTTAACTCTGTTGGTTGAGGACACACATCACAAATAACTTTTTGAGAATACTTCTGTCTAGTTTTTATTTGAAGACATTTCTTTTCTCACCTTAGACCTGAAAGCGTTCGAAATATCCACTTCCAGATACTACAGAAACAGCAATTCAAACCTGCTGTATGAAAGGGAATGTTCAACTATCTGAGTTGAATGGAAACATCACAAAGAAGTTTCTGAGAATGCTGCTGTCTACTTTTTATATGTAATCCCGTTTCCAATGAAATCCTCAGAACTATCGAAATTTCCACTGGCAGATTTCATAAAACGATTGTTTCAAAACTGCTCTGTAAAAAGAAAGGTTCAACTCTGTTAGTTGAATACACACATCACAAACAAGTTTCTGAGAATGCTTCTGTCTAGTTTTTATGGAAGATATTTACTTTTTCACCGTGGGCCTCAAATCCCTCCAAATATCCACTTCCACATACTTCAAAAAGAGTGTTTCCACCCTGCTCTATGAAAGGGAATGTTCAAACCTATGAGTTGAATGCAAACATCACAAAGAAGTTACTGAGAATGCTTCTGTCTAGATTTTATATGTAGATATTCCCGTTTCCAACGAAATCCTCAAAGCTATCCAAATATTAGCTTGCAGATTCTACAAAAGGAATGTTTCCAAAATGCTGTATCCCAACAAAGGTTCAACTCTGTTAATTGAGGACATACATCACAAAGAAGATTCTGAGAATGCTTCTGTGTTGATTTTATATGAAGATATTCCCGTTTCCAACGAAATCCTCAAATCTATCCAAATATCCACTTGCAAATTCCACAAAAAGAGTGTTTCAAAACTGCTCTGTCAAAAGGAAGGTTCAACTCCGTTAGTTGAGTACACACATCACAAAGAGGTTTCTGAGAATGCTGCTGACTAGTTTTTATTTGAAGATATTTCCCTTTTCACCTTAGGCCTAAGAGCACTCTAAATGTCCATTTCCACATACTACACAAAGTGTGTTTCAAACCTGTTGTATGAAAGGGAATATTCAACTCTATGAGTTGAATGCAAACATCACAAAGCAGATTCTGAGAATGCTTCTCTCTAAATTTTACATGAAGATATTCCCGTGTCCTACGAAATTTTCCAAGGTCTCCAAACATCCATTTGGAGATTCTACAAAAATAGTGTTTCCAAACTGCTGTATCAAAACATAGGTTCAACTCTGTTAGTTCAATACACACGTCACAAACAAGTTTCTGAGAATGCTTCTGTCTAGTTTTTATGGGAAGATATTTCCTTTTTCACCGTAGGCCTCAAAGCGCTCCAAATGTCCACTTCCACACACTACAAAAAGAGTGTTTCCAACCTGTTCTATGAAAGGGAATGTTCAAACCTATGAGTTGAATGCAAACATCACAAAGAAGTTACTGAGGATGCTTCTGTCTAGATTTTATATGAGGATATTCCCGTTTCCAACGAAATCCTCGAAGCTATCCAAATATCCATTTGCAGATTCCACAAAAGAGTGGTTGAAAACTGCTCTGTCAAAAGATAGGTTCAACTCTTTTTTTGTTGAGTACACACATGGCAAACAAGATTCCGAGAATGCTTTCGTCTAGTTTTTTAGGGATGATATTTCCTTCTTCACCATAGGCCTCAATCGCTCCAAATATCCATTTCCACATATTATACAAAGAGTGTGTCAAACCTGCTGTGTGAAAGGGTATGTTCAACTCTATGAGTTGAATGCAAACATCACAAAGAAGTTTCTGAGATTTCTTCTGTCTAGATTTTATATGTAGATATTCCCGTTTCCAACGAAATCCTCAAAGCTATCCAAATATCAAATTGCAGACTCTACGAAAGGAATGTTTCAAAATGCTGTATCCAAACAAAGGTTCAACTCTGTTAATTGAGGACATTCATCACAAACAAGATTCTGAGAATGCTTCTGTCTAGATTTTATATGAAGTTATTCCCGTTTCCAACGAAATCCTCAAAGCTATCCAAATATCCATTTGCAGATTCCACAAAAGAGTTTTTCAAAACTGCTCTGTCAAAAGATAGGTTCAACTCTGTTAGTTGAGTACACACATGACAAACAAGATTCCGAGAATGCTTTCGTCTATTTTTTTTGGGAAGATATTTCCATCTTCACCTTAGGCCTCAAAGCACTCCAAATATCCATTTCCACATACTACAAAGAGAGTGTTTCAAACCTGCTGTATGAAAGGGAATGTTCAACTCTATGAGTTGAATGCAAACATCACAAAGAAGTTTCTGGGAATGCTTCTGTCTAGATTTCATATGAATATTTTCCCGCTTCCAATGAAATTTTCAATGCTCTCCAATTATCCACTTGTTGATTCTACAAAAATAGTGTTTCCAAACTGCTGTATCAAAACAAAGGTTCAACTCAGTTGAGGACACACATCACAAATAAGTTTCTGAGAATGCTTCTGTCTAGTTTTTATTTGAAGGTATTTCCTTTCTCATCATATGCCTGAAAGCACTCGAAATGTCCACTTCCAGATACTACAGAAACAGTGTTTCAAACATGCTCTATGATGGGGAATGTTCAACTCTGAGACTTGAATGCAAACATCACAAAGCAGTGTCTGAGAATGCTGTCGTCTACTTTTTATAGGTAATCCCGTTTCCAACGAAATCCGCAAAGCTATCCTAATATTCACTTGCAGATTCCACAAAAAGAGTGTTTGAAACTGCTCTGTAAAAAGAAAGGTTCAAGTCTGTTAGTTGAATACACACATCACAAAATGTTTCTGAGAATGCTTCTGTCTAGTTTCAATGGGAAGATATTTCCATTTTCACAATAGGCCTCAAAGCGCTCCAATTGTCCAATTCCACATACTACAAAAAAAGATTTTCAAACCTGGGCTATGATATGGAATGTTCAAATCTATGAGTTGAATGCAAAGATCACAAACAAGTTACTGAAACTGCTTCTGTCTTGAATTTATATGAAGATATTCCCGTTTCCAACGAAATCTTCCAATCTATCCATATATCCACTTGCAGATTCTACAAAAAGAATTTTTCAAGACTTCTGTATCAAACCAACAGTTCAACTTTGTTATTGGAGGACACACATCACATATAAGTTTCTGAGAATGCTTCTGTCTAGTGTTTATTTGAAGATATTTCCTTTCTCACCTTAGGCCTGAAAGCACTCGAAATGTCCACTTCCAGATACTACAGAAAGAGTGTTTCAAACCTGCTCTATGAAAGGGAATGTTCAAACCTGTGACTTCAATGCAAACATCACAAAGAAGTTTCTGAGAATGCAGCTGTCTAGTTTTTATATATAATCCCGTTTCCAAGGAAATCCTCAGACCTATCCAAATATCCACCTGCAGATTCTACAAAAAGAGTGTTTCAAAACTGCTCGTTCAAAGGGAAGGTTCAAATCTGTCAGTTGAGTATAGACATAACAAACAAGTTTCTGACAATGCTTCTGTCTAGTTTTTATGGGAAGATATTTCCTTTTTCACCGTAGGCCTCAAATCGGTCCAAATGTCCACTTCCACATACTACAAAAAGAGTGTTTCAAGCCTGCTGTATGAAAGGGAATGTTCAACTCTATGAGTTGAATGCAAACATTACAAAGAAGTTTCTGAGAATGCTTCTGTCTAGATTTCATATGAAGGTTTTCCCGCTTCCAACGAAATTTTCAATGCTCTCCAATTATCCACTTGTAGATTCTACAAAAATAGTGTTTCCAAACTGCTGTATCAAAACAAAGGTTCAACTCAGTTGAGGACACACATCACAAATAAGTTTCTGAGAATGCGTCTGTCTAGTTCTTATTTGAAAACATTTCCTTTCTCACCTTAGGCCTGAAAGCGCACGAAATATCCACTTCCAGATACTACAGAAACAGTGATTCAAACCTGCTCTATGAAAGGGAATGTTCAACTATGTGACTTGAATGCAAACACCACAAAGCAGTTTCTGAGAATGCTGCTGTGTACTTTTTATATGTAATCCCGTTTCCAACGAAATCCTCAGAACTATCGAAATTTCCACTTGCAGATTCCACAAAAAGGGTGTTTCAAAGCTGCTCTGTAAAAAGAAAGGTTCAACTCTGTTAGTTGAATACACACGTCAGAAACAAGTTTCTGAGAATGCTTCTGTCTAGTTTTTATGGGAAGATATTTCCTTTTTCACCGTAGGCCTCAAAGCGCTCCAAATGTCCACTTCCACATACTACAAAAGGAGAGTTTCAAACCTGCGCTATGATAGGGAATGTTGAAATCTATGAGTTGAATGCAAACATCACAAAGAAGTTACTGAGAATCCTTCTGTCTTGATTTTATACGAAGATATTCCCGTTTCCAATGAAATCCTCGGAGCTATCCATATATCCACTTGCAGGTTCTACAAAAAGAGTTCTTCTAAACTTCTGTATCAAACCAACGGTTCTACTCTGTTATTGGAGGACACACATCACAAATAAGTTTCTGAGAATGCTTCTGTCTAGTTTTTATTTGAAGATATTTCCTTTCTCAACTTAGGCCTGAAAGCGCTCGAAATGTCCACTTCCAGATACTACAGAAAGAGTGTTTCAATCCTGCTCTATGAAAGGAAATGTTCAAACCCGTGACTTGAATGCAAACATCACAAAGAATTTTCTGAGAATGCAGCTGTCTAGTTTTTATATATAATCCCTTTCCAACAAAATCCTCAGACCTATCCAAACATCCACCTGCAGATTCAACAAAAAGAGTGTTTCAAAACTGCTCTGTAAAAAGAAAGGTTCAACTCTGTCAGTTGAGTACACACATCACAAATAAGTTTCTGACAATGCTTCTGTCAAGTTTTTAAGGGAAGATATTTCCTTTTTCACCATAGGCGTCAAATCGCTCAAATGTCCATTTCCACATATTACAAAAAGAGTGATTCAAACCTGTTCTATCAAAAAGAAAGGTTCAACTCTGTGAGTTCAATGCACAAAGCACAAGAAGTTTCTGAGAATGCTTCTGTCTAGTGTTTATGTGAAGATATTCCCGTTTCCAATGAAGGCCTTAAAGCTCTCCAAATGTCCACTTGCAGATTCTACAAAAAGAATGTTTCAAAACTGAACTACCAAAAGAAATGTTCAACTGTGTGAGTTAAAGGTACACATCACAAAGAAGTTTCTGAGAATGCCTCTGTCTACTATTTATGTGAAGATATTCCCATTTCCAACGAAGGCCCCAAAGCGTTCCTAGTCTCCACTTGCAGATTCTACTAAAAGAGTGTTTCCAACTTGCTCTATGATAAGGTAAGTTCAACTCCGTGAGTTGAAGGCAAATATCACAAAGAAGTTTCTGAGAATGCTTCTGTCTAGTTTTCATGTGAAGATATTTTCTTTTCCACCATAGGCCTTAAATCGCTCCAAATGTCCAATTGCAGATTCTACAAAAAGAGTGTTTCAAACCTCCTCTATCAAAAAAAGTTTCAACTCTCTGAGTTTAATGCACACAGCACAAAGAAGTTTCTGAGAAACTTCTGACTATTGATTATGTGAAGTTATTACCGTTTCCAAAGAAGGCCTCAAAAGGTTCCAAATAACCTCTTGCAGATTCTACTAAAAGAGTGTTTCAAACCTGGTCTATCAAAAGAAACAAAGGAGTTTCGGAGAATGCTTTGTCTAGATTTTATGTGAAGATATTTCCTTTTCCACCATAGGCTTCAAACCTCTCCAAATGTCCACATACAGATTCTACAAAAAGAGTGTTTCAAAACTGCTCTATCAAAAGAAAGGTTCAACTCTGTGAGTTGAATGCACACATCAGAAAGAAGTTTCTGGGAATGCTTCTGTCTAGTTTTTATGTGAAGATATTCCCATATCCAACGAAGGCCTCAAAGCAGTCCACATATCCACTTGCAGATCCTGCAAAAAGAGTGTTTCAAAACTGCTCTTTCAAAGGAAATGTTCAATTCTGTGAGTTGAATGCTCACATCACAAGGATGTTTCTGAGAATGCTGCTGTCTAGTATTTATGTGAAAATACTCCTGTTTCCAACGAAGGCCTCTAAGCGTTCCAAATATCCACTTGCAGATTCTCCTGAAAGAGTGTTTCAAAAATGCCCTATGATAAAGTATGTCCAACTCTGTGAGTTGAATGCAAACATCACAAAGTAGTTTCTGAGAATGCTTCTGTCTAGTTTTTATGTGAAGATATTTCCTTTTCCACCATAGGCCTCAAAGCTCTCCAAATGTCCACATGCAGATTCTGTGAAAAGAGTGTTGCTAACCTGCTCTATCCAAAGAAAGGTTCAGCTCTGTGAGTTGAATGCACACATCACAAAGAAGTTTCTGAGAATGCTTCTCTCCAGTTTTTTGTGAAGATATTTCCTTTTCCACCATAGACTTCAAAGCTCTCCAAATGTCCACTTGTGGATTCTACAACAAGAGTGTTTCAAATCTGCTCTATCAAAAGAAAGGTTCAACTCTGTGAGTTGAATGCGCACATCACAAAGAAGTTTCTGAGAATGATTCTGTCTAGTGTTTATGTGAAGATATTCCCATTTCCAACGAAGTCCTCAAAGCGGTCTAAATATCCACTTGCAGATTCTACAAAAAGATTGTTTCAAAACTGCTCTATCAAAAGAAAGGTTCAACCCTGTGGTTGAATGTACTCATGAAAAACAAGTTTCTGAGAATTCTGCTGTCTCATTTTTATGTGGATATATTAACGTTTCCAAGAGGGCCTCAAAGCATTCCAATTATCCTCTTGCAGATTCTACTAAAAGAGTGTTTGAAAACTGCTCTAGGATAAGGTATGTTCAGCTCTGTGAGTTGAAAGCATAATTCCCAGAGAAGTTTCTGAGAATGCTTCTGTCCAGTGTTAATGCGAAGATAATCCCGTTTCCAACAAAGGCCACAAAGCAGTCCAAATATCCACTTGCAGATACTACAAAGAGAGTGTTTCAAATCTGCTCTATCATATGATATGTTCAGCTCTGTGAGTTGAAGGCAAACATCACAAAGGTGTTTTTGAGAACTCTTCTGTCTTGTTTTTATATAAAGATATTTCCTTTTCCACCATAGGCCTCAAAGCTTTCCAAATGTCCACTTGCAGATTCTACAAAAAGAGTGTTTCAAACTGCTCTATCAAAAGAAAGGTTAACCTCTGTGGTTGAAAGTACACATCACAATTAAGTTTCTCAGAATGCTGCTGTTTAGTTTTTATAGGAAGATATTCCCGTTTCCAACGAAGGCCTTAAAGTGTTTGAAATATCCACTTTCAGATTCTACTAAAAGAGTGTTTCAAAACTGCTCTATGATAAGGTATGTTCAACTCTGTGAGATGAATGCACACATCACAAAGAATTTTCTGAGAATTCTTCTGTGCAGTGTTTATGTGAACATACTTCCGTTTCCAAAGAAGGCTTCAAAACAGTTGAAATATCCACTTGAGATTCTATGAAAAGAGCGTTTCAAAACTGCTCTATGAAAACGAAGGTTCAACTCTTTGAATTGAATGCAAACATCACCTAGAAGTTTCTCAGAATGCTTCCGTCTAGTTTTTATGGAAGACATTTCCTTTTCCACCTTAGGCCTCAAAGCGCTCCAAATATCCACTTGCAGACTCTACAACAGGAGTGTTTCAAACCTCCTTTATCAAAAGAAAGGTGCAACTCTGTGAGTTGAATGCACACAACACAAAGAAGTTTCTGAGGAAGCTTCTGTCTAGTGATTATGTGAAGATATTCCCGTTTCCAACTGTTGCCTCAAAGCGGTCAAAATATCCACTTGCAGATTCTTCTAAAACAGTGAAGCGCTCCAAATATCCACTTGCAGATTCTACGAAATGTGTGTTTCAAATCTGCTCTGTGAAAAGGAAGGTGAACTCTGTGAGTTGAATGCAAACATCACAAAGAAGTTTCTGAGAATGCTTCTGTCCAGTTTTTATGTTAAGAAATTTCATTTCCCAACATAGGCCTCAGAGTGCTCCAAATGTAAGCTTGCAGATTCTACAAAATGAGTGTTTCAAACCTGCTCTATCAAAAGAAAGCTTCAACTCTGTGCGTTTAATGCACACATCAAAAAGAAGTTTCTGAGAAAGCTTCTGCCCGTTTTTATGGGAAGAAATTCCCGTTTACAACGAAGGCCTCAAAGCCTTCCAATTATCCAATTGCAGATACTACCAAAAGAGTGTTTCAAAACTGCTCTATGTTAAGGTATGGTCAACTCTGTGAGTTGAATGCACACATCAAAAAGCAGTTTCTGAGAATGCTTCTGTCTGGTGTTTATGTGAAGATATTCCCGTTTCCAATGATTGCCTCAAAGTTGTCCAAATATCCCCTTGCAGATTCCTCTATAAGAGTGCTTCAGAACTACTCTATGATAAGGTATGTTCAAATCTGTGAGTTGAATGCACACATCACAAAGTAGTTTCTGAGAATGCTTCTGTCTAGTATTTACCTGAAGCTATTCCCTTTTCCAACGAAGGCCTCAAAGAGGTCCAAATTTCCACTTGCAGATTCTACTAAAAGAGTATTTCAAAACTGCTCTATGATAAAGTCTGTTCAACTCCGTGAGTTGAATGTACACATCCCAAAGCAGTTTCTCAGAATGCTTCTGTCTAATTTTTATGTTAAAGTATTTTCTTTTCAACTTAGGCCTCAAAGCGATCCAAATGTCCACTTGTAGTTTCTGCAAAAGAGTGTTTCAAACCTGCTCTATCAAAATAAAGGTTAAACTCTGTGAGTTTAATGCACACATCACAAAGAAGTTTCCGAGAATGCTTTGGTCTAGTTTTTAAGTGAAGATACTAGCCTTTCAAACAAAGGCCTGAAAGCGGTTCAATTACCCACATGCAGATACTACTAAAAGAGTGTTTCAAAACTGCTCTGTGATAAAGTTTGTTCAACTCTGAGAGTTGAATGCAAACGTCACAAAGAAGTTTCTGAGAATGCTTCTATGTAGTTTTTATGAGAAGACATTTCGTTTTCCACCATTGGAATAGAAGCGCTCCAAATGTCCACCTGCAGATACTGCAAAAAGTGTGTTTCAAACCTGCTCTATGAAAAGGAAGGTTCCACTCGGTGAGTTAAATGCACACATCACAAAGAAGTTTCTGTGAATGCTTCTGTCTAATTTTTGTGTGAAGATATTCCCTTTTCCACCAAACGCCTCAAAGCTCTCCAAATTCACACATGCAGATTCTGCAAAAAGAGTGTTTCAAAACGTGCTCTCTCAAAACGAAAGTTCAACTCTGTGAGTTGAATGCACACATCACAAAGCAGTTTCAGAGAATGCTCCTGTCTAGTTTTAATGTGAAGGTATTCCTGTTTCTAACGAAGGCCTCAAATTGGTCCAAATATCCACTTGCAGATTCTACGAAAAGAGTGTTTCAAAACTGCTCTATGATAAGGAATGTTCAACTCTGTGAGTTGAATGCAAACATCACAAAGAAGTTTCATAGAATGCTTCTGTCTAGTTTTTATGAGAAGATATTTCATTTTCCACCATAGGCCTCAAAGCACCCCAAATGTCCAGTTTCAGATTCTACAAAAAGAGTGTTTCAAACCTGCTCTATCGAAAGAAAGGTTCAACTCTGTGAGTTGAATGCACACATCACAAATAATTTTCTGAGAATTCTTCTGTCTAGTGTTTATGTGAAGATATTCCCGTTTCCAATGAAGGTCTCAAAGCGGTTCAAATATCCACTTGTAGATTTTACAAAAAGAGTGTTTCTAAACTGCTCCATGAAAAGATATGTTCAACTCTGTGAGTTGAATGCACACAACCCATAGAAGTTTCTGAGAATGCTTCTGTCTAGTTTTTGTGTGGAGATATTTCCTTTTCTGCCATAGGCCTCAAAGCTCTCCAAAGGTCCACTTGCAGATTCCACAAAAAGAGTGTTTCAAACCTGCTTTATCAAAAGAAAAGTTCAACTCTGTGAGTTGAATGCATATATTACAAAGAAGTTTCTGTGAATGCTTCTGTCTATTTTTTATGTGGAGATATTTCCTTTTCTGCCGTAGGCCTCAAAACACTCCAAATGTCCACTTGCAGATTGTACAAAAAGAGTGTTTCAAAATTGCTCTATCAAAAGAACGGTTCAAATCCATGAGTTGAATGCACACATCACAAAGAAGTTTCTGAGAATGCTTCTGTCTAGTTTTTATGTGAAGATATTTCCTTTTGCACCATAGGCCTCAAAGCGCTCAAAATGTCAACTTGCAGATTCTACAAAAAGAGTGTTTCAAACCTGCTCTATCAAAAGAAATTTCAAATCTTTGAGTTGAATGCACACAGCAGAAGGAAGTTTCTGAGAAAACTTCTGTGTCGTGATTATGTGTAGGTACTCCCGTTTCCAATGATGTCCTCAAAGCGGTCCAAATATCCACTTGGAGATACTACTAAAAGAGTGTTTCAAAACTGCTCTAGGATAAAGTATGTTCAACTCTGAGAATTGAAGGCAAACATCACAAAGAAGTTTCTGAGAATGCTGCTGTTTAGTTTTTATGTGAAGATATTTCCTTTTCCACCATAGGCCTCAAATCGCTCATAATGTCCACGTGTAGATTCTGCAAAAAGAGTGTTAAATCTGCTCTATCAAAAGAAAGGGTCAACTCTCTGAGTTGAATGCACACATCAAAAAGAAGTTTCCTAGAATGCTTCTGTCTAGTTTTTATGTGAAGAAACTCCCGTTTCCAGGGAAGGCCTCAAAGCTGTCCAAATATCCACTTTCAAATTCTACAAAAAGAGTGTTTCAAATCTGCTATATCGAAAGAAAATTTCAACTCTGTGAGTTGAATGCACACAGCACAAAGAAGTTTTTGAGAAAGCTTCATTGTGTGAAGATACTCCCGTTTCCAACGAAGGCCTCAAAGTGGTCCAATTATCCACTTGCAGATACTATTAAAAGAGTGTTTCAAAACTGATCTATGATAAAGTATGTTAAGCTCTGAAAGTTGAATGCAAACGTCACAAATAAGTTTATGAGAATGCTTCTGTCTAGTTTTTATGTGAAGATATTTCCTTTTCCTCCATAGGCCACAAAGTGCTCCTAATGTCCACTTGTAGATTCTGCAAAAGAGTGTTTCAAACCTGCTCTATCAAAAGAAAGGTTCAACTCTGTGAGTTGAATACACACAGCACAAAGAAGTTTCTGAGAAAGCTTCATTATGTGAAGATACTCCCGTTTTCAACGAAGGCCTCAAAGCCCTCCAATTATCCACTTGCAGATACTACTAAAAGAGTGTTTCAAAACTAATCTATGATAAAGTATGTTAGACTCTGAGAGTTGAATGCAAACGTCACACATAAGTTTATGAGAATGCTTCTGTGTAGCTTTTATGTGAAGATATATCCTTTTCCACCATAGGCCTCAAAGAGCTCCAAATGTCCACTTGCAGATCCTGCAAAAAGAGTGTTTCAACCCTGCTCTACGAAAAGGAAGGTTCAACTCTGTGAGTTGAATGCACACATCACAAAGTAGTTTCTGAGAATGCTTCTGTCTAGTTTTTATGCGAAGATATTCCCGTTTCCAACGAAGACCTCAAAGCGGTCCAAATATCCACTTGCAGATTCCACGAAAATAGTGTTTCAAAACTGCTCTATGAAAAGGGAGGTTCAACTCTGTGAGTTGAATGCAAACATCACAAAGAAGTTTCTGACAATGCTTCTGTCTAGTTTTTATTCATAGATATTTCCTTTTCCACCATAGGCCTCCAAGCTCTCCAAATGTCTGCTTGCAGATTCTACAAAAAAAGTGTTTCAAACCTGCTCTATCAAAAGAAAGGTTCAATTCTGTGAGTGGAATGCACACATCACAAAGAAGTTTCTGAGAATGATTCTGTCTAGTGTTTATGTGAAGATATCCACTTTTCCAAGGAAGGCGTCAAAGCGGTTCAAATATCCACTTGCAGATTCTACAAAAAGAGTGTATCAAACCTGCTTTATTAAAGGAAAGCTTCAACTCTGTGAGTTGAATGGACACATCACAAAGAAGTTTCTGAGAATGCTTCTATCTAGTGTTTATTTGAAGATATTCCCATTTCCAACGAAGGCTTCAAAGTGCTCCAAATATCCACTGGCAGATTCTGCAAAAAGAGTGCTTCAAAACTGCTCTATGAAGAGGTATGTACAATCCTGTGATTTGAAAGCAAACATCACAAAGTAGTTCCTTAGAATTATTCTGTCTGGCTTTTATTTAAAGATATTTCCTTTTCCACCATAGGCCTCATAGGTCTAAAAATGTCCAGTGCCGATTCTACAAAAAGAGTGTTTCAAACCTGCTCTATCAAAAGAAAGATTCAACTCTGTGAGTTCAATGCACACAGCACAAAGAAGTTTTGGAGAATGCTTCTTTCTAGTGTTTATGTGAAGATATTCCTGTTTCCAACAAAGGCCTCCAAGCGGTCCAAATATACACTTCCAGATTCTACAAAAAGGGTGTTTCAAAACTGCTCTATCAAAAGAAAGGTTCACCTCTGTGAGTAGAATGCACACATCACAAAGAAGTTTCTGAGAATGCTTCTCTCTAGTTTTTATGTGACGATATTTACTTTTCCACCATAGGCCTCAATGCTCTCCAAATGTCCACTTGCAGATTCTACAAAAAGAGTGTTTCAAACATGCTATATCAAAAGAAAGTTTCAACTCTTTGAGGTGAATGCAAACATCACAAAGAAGTTTCTCAGAATGCTTCTGCCTGTTTTTGTGTGAACATATTCCCGTTTCCAACGAAGGCCTCAAAGTGTTCCAAATATCCACTTGCATAATCTACCAAAACAGTGTTTCAAAACTGCTCTATGAAAAGGCATCTTCAACTCTGAGTTGAATGCAAACATTGCAAAGAATTTTCTGAGAATTCTTCTCTCTAATTTTTATATGATGATATAACATTTCCACCATAGGCCTCAAAGCTCTCCAAATGTCAACTTGCAGATTCTACAAAAAGAGTGTTTCAAAGCTGCTCTATCAAAAGAAAGGTTCAACTCTTTGAGTTTAATGCACGCGTGACAAAGAAGTTTTTGAGAATGCTTCTGTCAAGTGTTTATGTGAAGATATTCCCGTTTCCAACGAAGGCCTCATAGTGGTCCAAATATCCACCTGCAGATTCTACAAAAAGAGTGTCTGAAAACTGCTCCATGGAAAGGTATCTTCAACTCTGTGAGTTGAATGCAAACATCACAAAGACGTTTCTGAGAATGCTTCTGTCTGTTTTTTGTGTGAAGATATTTCCTTTTCCACCATAGGCCTCAAAGCTCTCCAAATGTCTACTTGCAGATTCTACAAAAAGAGTGTTTCAAGCCTGCTCAATGAAAAGAGAGGTTCAATTCTGTGAGTTGAATGCACACATCACAAAGAAGTTTCTGAGAACGCTTCTCTCTAGTTTTTATGTGAAGATACTTCCTTTTCCACCATAGGCCTCGAAGCTCTCCAAATGTACACTTCAGATCCTACAAAATGAATGTTTCAAACCTGCTCTACCAAAAGAAAGGTTCAACTCTGTGAGTTGAATGCACACATCACAAAGAAGTTTCTTAGAATGCTTCTCTCCAGTTTTTATGTGAAGATATTCCCGTTTCCAAAGAAGGCCTCAAAGCCTTACAGATATCTTCTTGCAGATTCTACTAAAAGAGTGTTTCAAAACTGATCTATGTTAAGGTATGTTCAGCTCTGTTAGTTGAATGCAAACATCACAAAGAAGTTTCTGAGAATGCTTCTGTCTACTTTTTATGTGAAGATATTTCCCTTTCCACCATAGCCCTCAAAGCGCTCCAATTATCCACCTGCATATTCTTCAAAAAGAGTGTTTCAAAACTGCTCTATCAAAACGAAGTTTCAACTCTGTGACATGAATGCACACATCATAAAGAAGTTTCTGAGAATGCTTCTGTCTAGTTTTTATCTGAAGATATTCCCTTTTCCACCACAGGACCCAAAGCACTCCAAATGTCCACTTGCAGATTGTACAGAAAGAGGGTTTCAAAACTGCTATATCAAAAGAAAGGCTTAACTCTTGGATTTGAATGCACACATCACAAACAAGTTTCTGAGAATGATTCTGTCTAGTTTTTATGTGAAGATATTCCCATTTCCATCGAAAACCTCAAAGCGCTCCCAATATCCACTTGCAGATTCTACAAAAAGAGTGTTTCAAAACTTCTCTATCAAAAGGAATTTTCAACTCTGTGAGTTGAATGCACACATCACAAAGTATTTTCTGAGAATACTTCTGTGTAGTTTTTATATGAAGATATTTCTGTTTCTACCATAGGCCTCAAAGCATTCCAAATATCCACTTGCAAATTCCACAAAAAGAGTGTTTCAAAACTGCTCTATCAAAAGGAAGACTCAACTCTGTGAGTTGAATGCACACATCACAAAGAAGTTTCTGGGAATGCTTCTGTCTAGTTTTTATGTAAAGATATCTCGTTTACACCGTAGGCCTCAGAGCGATCAAAATGTCCACTTGCAGATTCTACAAAAACAGTGTCTCAAAACTGCTCTATCAAAAGGAAGGTTCAACTCTGTGAGTTGAATGCACACATCACAACGAAGTTTCTGAGAATGCTTCTGTCTAGTTTTTATGTGAAGGTATTCCCGTTTCCACCGAAGGCCTCAAAGCGCTCCAAATATCCACCTGCAGATTCTGCAAAAAGAGAGGTTCAAAACTGCTCAATGAAAAGATACGTTCAACTCTGTGAGTTGAATGCATACATCACAAAGAAGTTTGTCTGAATGCTTCTGTGTAGTTTTTATTTCAAGATATTTCCTTTTCCACCATAGGGCTCAAAGGGCTCCAAATATCCACTTGCAGATTCTACAAATAGAGAGATTCAAAACTGCTCAATGAGAAGATAAGATCAACTCTGTGAGCTGAATGCACACCTCACAAAGAAGTTTCTCAGAATGCTTCTGTGTAGTTTTTATGTGAAGATATTTTCTTTTCCACAGTAGGCCTCAAAGGGCTCCAAATATCCACCTGAAGATTCTGCCAAAAGAGAGATTCAAAACTGCTGATTCAAAAGATATGTTCAACTCTGTGAGTTGAATGCATACATCACAAAGCAGTTTCTCTGAATGCTTCTGTGTAGTTTTTATTTGAAGATATTTCCTTTTCCACCATAGGGTGCAAAGGGCTCCAAATATCCACTTGGAGATTCTACCAAAAGAGATATTCAAAACTGCTCAATGAGAATATAAGTTCAACTTTGTGAGTTGAATGCACACATCACAAAGAAGTTTATCACAATGCTTCCGTGTAGTTTTTCTGTGAAGATATTTGCTTTTCCACTGTAGGCCTCAAAAGGCTCGAAATATCCACCTTCAGATTGTGCAAGAAGAGAGATTCAAAACTGCTCAATCTAAAGATAGGTTCAACTCTGTGAGTTGAGTGCACACATCACAAAGAAGTTTCTGTGAATGCTTCTGTGTAGTTTTTATTTCAAGATATTTCCTTTTCCACCATAGGATGCAAAGTTCTTCAAATATCGACATGCAGATTCTACAAAAAGAGAGATAGAAAACTCCTCAATGAGAAGATAATTTCAACTCTGTGAGTTGAATGCACACCTCACAAAGTAGTTTCTCAGAATGCTTCTGTGTAGTTTTTATGTAAAGATATTTCCTTTTCCACAATAGGCTTCAAAGCTTTCCAAACAACCACTTGCAGATTCTGCAAAAGGAGAGATTCAAAACTGCTCAATCAAAATGTAGTTTCCACTCTGTGAGTTGAATCCAAACATCACAATGGTGTTTCTTAGAATGCTTCTGAGTAGTTTTTATGTGAAGATATTTCCTTTTCCACAATAGGCCTCAAAGGGCTCCAAATATCCACTTGCAGATTCTACGAAGAGAGTGTTTCAAAACTGCTCAATCAAAAGAAAGTTTCAACTCTGTGAGATGAATGCACACATCACAAAGAAGTTTCTCAGATTGCTTCCTTCTAGATTTTATGTGAAGATATTTCCTTTTCTATCATAGGCCGCAAAGTGCTCCAAATGCCCACTTGCCAATTCTACAAAAAGGGTGTTTCCAAACTACACGTTCAAAAGAAAGGTTCAACGTTAGATGAACGTACATATCATAAAGAAGATTCTCAGAATTCTTCTATCTGTTTTTTTTGTGAAGATATTTCCTTTTCCAACTTAAGCCTCAAGGTGCTTGAAAAGTCCCTTTGCAGATTCTCCAAAAAGAGTATTTGAAAACTGGTTCTTCTAAAGAAAGGTGGAACTCTGGGAGATGAATGCAGACATCACAGAGAAGCTAATAAGAATGCTTCTATCTACTTTTTATGTGAAGATATTTCCTTCTCCACCACAGGCCTCAAACACTCCAAATGTCCACTTGCAGATTCTACGAAAAGAGAGTTTCCAATCTGCTCAATCAAAAGAAAAGTTTAACTCTGTGAGATTAATGCACACATCACAAAGAAGTTTCTCAGATTGCTTCTGTCTGGATTTTATGTGAAGATATTTCCTTTTCTACCATTGGCTGCAAAGAGTTCCAAATGTCCACTTGCAGATGCTACAAAAAGTGTGTTTCCAAACTGCTCAATCAAAAGAAAGGTTCAACTCCGTGAGATGAACGCACTCATCACAAAGAAGTTTCTCAGAATCCTTCTGTCTAATTTTTATGTGAAGATATTTCCTGTTCCACCATAGGCCTCAAGACTCTCTAAATGTCCGCTTGCAGATTCTACAAAAAGAGAGTTTCAAAACTGCTCAATCAAAAGAAAGGGTTATCTCTGTGAGATGAATGCATATATCCCAAACAAGTTTCTCAGATTGTTTCTGTGTAGATTTTATGTGAAGATATTTACTTTTCTACTATAGACCGCAAAGCGCTCCAAATGTCCACTTGCAGATTCTACAAGAAAGAGTGGTACCAAACTGCTCAATCAAAAGAACAGTTCCACTCTGTGAGAAGAATGCACACATCACAAAGAAGTTTGTCAGAATTCTTCTGTCTAGTTTTTATGTGAAGATATTTCCTTTCCCACCATAGGCCTCAAAGTGCTCCAACTGTCCACTTGCAGATTCTACAAAAAGAGAGTTTCAAAACTGCTCAACCAAAAGAAAGGTTTACCTCTTTGAGATGAGTACACACATAACAAAGAAGTTTCTCAGATTGCTTCTGTCTAGATTTTATGTGAAGATACTTCCTTTTCTACTATATGCCACAAAGCGCTCAACATGTCCACTTGAGATTCTACGAAAAAAATTTTTCCAAACTGCTCAATCAAAAGAAAGGTTCAACTCTGTGAGATGAATGAACACATTTCAAAGAAGTTTCTCAGAATTCTTCTGCATAGCTTTTATGTGAAGATATTTCATTTTCCACCCTAGGCCTCAAAGCACTCGAAATGTCCACATGCGGATTCCACAAAAAGAGTATTTCAAAACTGGTCCATCAAAGGAAAGGTTCAGCTCTGTTGAATGAATGCAAACATTACAAAGAATTTTCTCAGAATGTTTCTGTCTAGATGTTATGTGAATATAGTCCCTTTTCTACCATAGGCTGCAAAGCGTTCCAAGTGTCCACTTACAGATACTACAAAAAGAGTTTTTACAAGCTGCTCAAAGGAAAGGTTCAACTCTGTGAGATGAACCCACACATCACAAAGAAGTTTCTCAGAATTCTTCTGTCCAGTTGATACGTGAAGATGTTTTCTTTTCCCACATAGGCTTCAAGGCACTCGAAATCTCCACTTGCAGATTCCACAAAAAGAGTATTTCAAAACTGGTCCTTCAAAAGAAAGGTTCAATTCTGGGAGATAAATGCATACATCACAAAAAAGTTTATCAGAATTCTGTCTAGTTTTTATGTGAATATATTTCCTTTGCCACCATAGGCCTCAAGGCGCTCGAAATGTCCAGTTGCAGATTCTACAAAAAGAGTATTTCAAAACTGGTCTTTCAAAAGAAAGGTTCACCTCTGGGAGATGAAGGCACACATCACAGAGAAGTTTACCAAATGCTTCCATCTAGTTTTTACGTGAAGATATTTCCTTTTCCAACATAGGCCTCAAAGTGCTCCAAATACCCACTTGCAGATTCTACAAAAAGGGTGTTTCAAAACTGCTCCAATCAAAAGGAAGTTTTAATGCTGTGAGATGAATGCACACATCACAAATAAGTTTCTCAGATTGCTTCTGTCTAGATTTTATGTGAAGATATTTCCTTTTCTACCATAGGCTGCAAAGTTCTCCAAATGTCCACTTGCAGATTCTGCAAAAAGAGTGTTTCCAAACTCCTCAATCAAAAGAAAGGTTCAACTCTGTGAGATGAACGCACACATCCCAAAGAAGTTTCTCAGAACTCTTCTGTTTACTTTTTATGTGAAAATATTTTCTTTTCCACCATAGGCCTCAAAGCACTCCAAATATCCACTTGCAGATTCTACAAAAAGAGCGTTTCAAAACTGCTCCAATCAAAAGGAAGTTTTAACGCTGTGAGATGAGTGCACACATCACAAAGAAGTTTCTCAGAGAGCTTCTGTCTAGATTTTATGTGAAGATATTACCTTTTCTACCATAGACCATAAAGCAATAAAAATGTCCACCTGCAGAGTCTAAAAAAAGAATGTTTCCAAACTGCTCAATAAAAAGAAGAATTCAACTCTGTGAGATGAAAGCGTACATCACAAAGAAGTTTCTCAGAATTCTTCTGTCTAGTTTTTATGTGAAGATATTTCCTTTTCCACCACAGGCCTCAAAGCTCTCCAAATGTCCACTTGCAGATTCTATGAAAAGAGAGTTTGAAAACTGCTCAATCAAAAGAAAGTTTTAACTTTGTGAGATGAATGCACACATCACAAAGAAGTTTCACAGACTGCTTCTGTCTAGATTTTAAGTGAAGATATTTCCTATTCTAACATAGGCTGCAAAGTGCTCTAAATGTCCACTTGCAGATTCCTCAAAAACAGTATTTCCAAACTGCTCAATCTAAAGAAAGCTTGAACTCTGTGAGATTAATGCACGCATCACAAAGAAGTTTCTCAGAATTCTTCTGTCTGGTTTTTATGTGAAGATATTTCCTTTTACACCATATACCTCAAAACGCTCCAAATGTCCACTTGTAGATTATTCAGAAAGAGTTTCAAAACTGCTCAATCAAAAGGAAGGATTATCTCTGTAAGATGAATGCACACATCACAAGTTTCTCAGATTCCTTCCATCTAGATTTTATTTTTAATATTTCCTTTTCTACCAGAGGCCACAAAGCTCTAGAAATGTTCACTTGCAGATTCTACAAAGAGAGTGTTTCCAAACTGCTCAATCAAAAGATAGGTTTAACTCTGTGAGATGAATGCACACTAACAAAGAAGTATCTCAGATTGCTTCTGTCTAGAATTTATGTGAAGGTATTTCCTTTTCTACCACAGGCCGCAGAGCACTCCAGATGTCCACTTGCAGATTCTACAAGAAGAGTGCTTCCAAACTGCTCAATCAAAAGAAAGTTTCAACTCTGTGAGCTGACCGCACCCATCACAAAGAAGTTTCTCAGAATTCTTCTCTCTAGTTTTTATGTGTAGATATTTCCTTTTCCACCATAGGCCACAAAGCGCTCCAAATGTCCACTTGCAGATTCTACAAAAAGAGAGTTTCAAGACTGCTCAATCAAAAGGAAGGTTGCCCTCTGTGAAACGAATTCATACATCACAAAAATGTTTTGCAGATTGCTTCTGTCTAGATTTTATATGAAGATATTTCTTTTTCTACTGTAGGCTGCAAAGCGCTCTTAATGTCCACTTGCAGATTCTAAAAAAGAGTGTTTCCAACCTGTTCTATCAAAAGAAAGGTTCAACTCTGTGAGATGAATGCACGCATCACAAAGAAGTTTCTCAGAATTCTTCTGTCTAGTTTTTTTTTGTGAAGATATTTCCTTTTTCACCACAGGCTTCAAATCGCTCCAAATGTCCACTTGCAGATTGTACAAAAAGAGTGTTTCCCAACTGCTCAACGAAAAGAAAAGTTCAACTCTGTGAGATGAATGCACACATCACAAAGAAGTTTGTCGGAATTCTTCTGTCTAGTTTTTATATGAAAATGTTTCCTTTTCCACCACAGTACTCAAAGCGCTCCAAATGTCCAGTTGCAGATTCTACAAAAAGAGAGTTTCAAACTGCTCAATCAAAAGAAAATTTTAACTGTGTGGGATGAATGCACACATCACAAAGAAGTTTATCAGATTGCTTCAGTCTAGTTTTTATGTGAAGATATTTCCCTTTCTACCATAGACCACAAAGCGTTGCAAATGTCCACTAGCAGATTCTACAAAAAGAGTGTTTCCAAACTGCTCAATGAAAAGAAAGGTTCAACTCTGTGAGATGAATGCACACATCACAAAGAACATGGTCAGAATTTTTCTGTCTAGTTTTTATGTGAAGATATTTCCTTTTCCACCATAGGCCCCAAAGTGCTCCAAAAATCCACTTGCAGATTCTACAAAAAGAGAGTTTCAAAACTGCTCTATCAAAAGAAAGTTTTAACTTTGTGAGATGAATGCACACATCCCAAAGAAATTTTTCCGATTGCTACTGTCTAGATTTTATGTGAAGATATTTCCTTTTCTAACATAGGCCATAAAGCGATCCAAATGTCCACTTGCAAATTCTACAAAAAGACTGTTTCCAAACTGCTCAATCAAAAGAAAGCTTCAACTCTGTGAGATGAACACACACATCACAAGGAAGTTTCTCAGAATTCTTCTGTCTAGTTTTTAATGTGAAGTTATTTCCTTTTCCACCGTAGGCCTTAAAGTGCTCCAAACGTCCACTTATAGATTCTACAAAAAGAGAGTTTCAGGAATGCTCAATTAAAAGAAAGTTTTAGCTCTGTGAGATGACCACACACGTCGGAAAGAAGTTTCTCAGATTTCTTCTGTCTAGATTTTATGTGATGATATTTCCTTTTCTACCACAGGCCACAAAGCGCTCCAAGTATCCACTTGCAGATTCTACAAAAAGATAGTTTCCAAACTGCTCAATCAAAAGAAAGCTTCAACTCTGTGAGATGAATGCACACATCACAAAGAAATTTCTCAGAATTCTTCTGTCTAGTTTTTATATGACGATATTTCCTTTTCCACCACATTTCTCAAAACACTCCAAATATCCACTTGCAGATTCTTCAAAAAGAGTGTTTCCAAACTGCTCAATCAAAAGAATCTTTAACTCTGTGAGATGAGCACACTCATCACAAAGAAGTTTCTCAGAATTCTTCTGTCTAGTTTTTATTTGAAGATACTTCCTTTTCCAACATAGGCCTCAGATGGCTCCAAATGTCCACTTTCAGATTCTACAAAAAGAGAGTTTCAAAACTGCTCAAACAAAAGAAAGGTTGAAATCTGTGAGATGAATTCACACATCCCAAAGAAGTTTCCCAGATTGCTTCTGTCTAGATTTTATGTGAACATATTTCCTTTTCTACAATAGGCTACAAAGCGCTACAAATGTCCACTTGCAGATTTTACAAAAAGAGTGTTTCCAAACTCCTTAATCAAAAGAAAGGTTCAACTCTGCGAGATGAATGCACACATCACAAAGAAGTTTCTCAGAATTCTTCTGTCTAGTTTTTATATGAAGATATTTCCTTTTCCACCGTAGGCCTCAAAGCGCTCCAAATGTCCACTTGCAGATTCTACAAAAAGAGAGTTTCAAAACTGCTCAAAAAAAAAAAAAAAGATTTAACTCTGTGAGATGAATGCACACATCAGAAAGAAGTTTCTCAGATTGCTTCTGTCTAGATTTTATGTGAAGATATTTCCTGTTCTACCATAGGTCGCAAAGTGCTCAAAATTTTCACTTGCCAATTCCACAAAAAGAGGGTCTCCAAATTTCTCAATGAAAAGAAAGTTTCAATTCTGTGAGGTGAAAGGACACATCACAAAGAAGTTTCTCAGATTGCTTCTGTCTAGATTTTATATGAAGATATTTCTTTTTTCTAACATAGGCTGCAAAGTGTTCCAAATGTCCACTTGCAGATTTTACAAAAAGAGGGTTTCCAAATTGCTCAATCAAAAGAAAAGTTCAACTCTGTGAGATCAACACACACATCACGAATACGTTTCTCAGAATTCTTCTGTCTTGTTTTTATGTGAAGATATTTCCTTTTCCACCAAAGGCCTCAAAGCCCTCCAAATGTCCACTTACAGATTCTACAAAAAGAGAGTTTCAAAACTGCTCAATCAAAAGAAAGGTTTTACTGTGTGAGATGAATGCACACATCATAAAGAAGTTTCTCAGATTGCTTCTTTCTAGATTTCATCTGCGGATATTTCCTTTTCCACCATATGCCTCAAAGTACTCAAAATGTCCACTTTCTGATTCTAAAAAAAGAGAGTTTCAAAACTTCTCAATCAAAGGAAATGTTTAACTCTGTGAGATGAATGCACACATTTACAAAGAAGTTTCTCAGATTTCTTCTGTCTAGATTTTATGTGAAGATATTTCCTTTTCTAAAATAGGCCTCAAAGCGCTCCAAATGTCCACTTCCAGATTCTGCAAAAAGAGTGTTTCCAAAGTGCTCAATCAAAAGAAATGTTCAAGCCTGTTAGATGAATGCAAACATGACAAAGCAGTTTCTCAGATTGCTTCTGTCTAGATTTTATGCGAAGATATTTCTTTTTTCTACCATAGGCCGCAAAGCACTCCAAAGGTCCACCTGCAAATTCTAGAAAAAGAGTGTTTTCAAACTGCTCCACCCAAACAAAAGTTCAGCTCTGTGAGATGAACGCACCCATCACAAAGAAGTTTCTCAGAATTCTTCTGTCTAGTTTTTAAGTGGAGATATTTCCTTTTCCACCATAGGCCTCAAAGCGCTCCAAATGTCCACTTGCAGATTCTACAAAAAGAGAGCTTCAAGACTGCTCAACCAAAAGAAAGGTTTAACTCTGTGAGATGAACGCACACATTAGAAAGAAGTTTCCCAAAATACTTCTTTCTAGTTTTACTGTGAAGATAAATCGTTTTCCATTGTAGGCCTCAAAGCGCTCCAAATGTCCACTTACAGATTCTACAAAAAGAGAGTTTCAAAACTGCTAAATCAAAAGAAATGTTTAACTCCGTGAGATGAATGCACACATCACAAAGAAGTTTCTCAGATTGCTTGTGTCTAGATTTAATGTGAAGATATTTCCTTTTATGCCATAGGCCGCAAAGCGCTCCAAATGTTCACTTGCAGAATTTAAAGACAGAGTGTTTCTAAACCGGTCAATCAAAAGAAAGGTTGAACTCTATGAGATGAACGCATGCATCAAGAAGAAGTTTCTCAGAATTCTTCTGTCTAGTTTTTATGTAAAGATATTTCCTATTCTACCATAGGCCACAAAGCACTCCAAATGTCCACTTGCAGATTCTACAAAAAGAGAATTTCAAAATTCCTCAATCAAAAGAAAGTTTTAACTCTGTGAGATGAATGCGCACATCACAAAGAAGTTTCTCAGATTACTTCTGTCTAGATTTTATGTGAAGATATTTCCTTTTCTACCATAGGCCGCAAAGTTCTCCAAATGTCCACTTGCAGATTCAACAAAAAGACTGTTTCCAAACTGCTCAATCAAAAGAAAGGCTCAACTCTGTGAGATGAATGCTTGCATCACAAAGAGGTTTCTCAGAATTCTTCTGTCTAGTTTTTGTGAAGACATTTCCTTTTCCACCATAGACCTCAAGACACTTAAAATGTCCACTTGCAGATTCTACAAAAAGCTTATTTCAAAACTGGTCCTTCATAAGAAAGGGTCAACTCGGGGAGATGAATGCACACATCACAAAGCAGTTTCTCATAATACTTCTATCTAGGTTTTATGTGAAGATATTTCCTTTTACACCATAGGCCTCAAAGCTCTCCAAATGTCCACTTACAGATTCTACAAAAAGACATTTTCAAAACTGCTCAATCAAAAGAAAAGTTTAACTCTGTAAACTTTTTTAGGCCTCAAAGCTCTCCAAATGTCCACTTGCAGATTCTACTAAAAGAGAGTTTCAAAACTGCTAAATCAAAAGAAAGGTTTAACTCTGTGAGATGAATGCGCACATCACAAAGAAGTTTCTCAGATTACTTCTGTCTAGATTTTACATGAAGATATTCCCTTCTCTACCATAGTCCACAAAGTGCTCCAAATGTCCACATTCAGACTCTACTAAAAGTGGTTTTGCAAACTGCTCAATAAAAAGAAAGTTTCAACTCTGTGAGATGAAGGCACACATCACAAAGGAGTTTGTCAGAATTCTTCTGTCTAGTTTTTATGTGAAGATATTTCCTTTTCCACCATGGCCTCAGTGCGCTCCAAATGTCCACTTCCAGATTCTACAAAAAGAGTGTTTTTAAACTGCTCAATCAAAAGAAAGGTTTAACTCTGTGAGATGAATGCACACATCACAAAGAAGTTTCTCAGATTGCTTATTTCTACATTTTAAGTGAAGATATTTCCTTTTCTACCATAGCCCGCAAAGCCCTCCAAATGTCCACTTGCAGATTCTACAAAAAGAGAGTTTGAAAACTGTTCAATAAAAGAAATCTTTAACTCTGTGAGATGAATGAACACATCACAAAGAAGTTTCTCAGGTTGCTTCTTTCTAGATTTTAAGTGAAGATATTTCCTTTTCTACCACAGCCCGCAAATCGCTCCAAATGTCCACTTGTAGATTCTACAAAAAGAGTGTTTCCAAACTGCTGAATCAAAAGAAAGTTTCAACTCTGTGAGATGAACACACACATCACAAAGGAGTTTCTCAGAATTCTTCTGTCTAGTTTTTCTGTGAAGATATTTCCTTTTCCACCATATACCTCAAAGCGCCACAAATTTTCACTTGCAGATTATACAAAAAGAGAGTTTCAAAACTGCTCAGTCAAAAGAATGATTAACTCTGTGAGATGAATGCATACATCATAAAGAAATTTCTCAGATTGCTTTTGTCTAGATTTTACGTGAAGATATTGCCATTTCTACCATAGGCCGCAAAGGGCTCCAAATGTGCACTTGCAGAATCTACAAAAAGAGTTGTTTGCAAACTGCACAATCAAAAGAAAGGTTCAACTCTGTGAGTTGAACACTCGCATCACAAAGAGGTTTCTAATAATTCTTCTGTCTAGTTTTTATGTGAAGATATTTCCTTTTCCACCATAGGTCGCAAAGTGCTCCAAATGTCCACTTGCAGATTCTACAGAAAGAGTGTTTCCAACAGCTCAATCAAAAGAAACGTTCAACTCTGTGAGATGAACACACACATCACAAAGAAGTTTCTCAGAATTCTTCTGTCTAGTTTTTATGTGAAGATATTTCCTTTTCCACCATTGGCCTCAAAGCACTACAAATGTCCACTTGCAGATCCTACAAAAAGAGTTTCCAAACTGCTCAATCAAAAGAAAAGTTTAACTCTGTGAAATGAATGCAGACAACATGCGGAAGTTTCTGAGATTCCTTCTGTCTAGATTTTACGTGAAGATATTGCCTTTTCTACCATTGGCTGCAAAGCTCTCCAAATGTCCACTTGCAGATTCTACAAAAAGAGTATTTCCAAACTGCTCAATCAAAGGAAAGTTTCAACTCTGTGAGATGAACACAGACATCTCAAAGAAGTTTCTCAGAATTCTTCTGTCTAGTTTTTATATGACGATATTAACTTTTCCACCACATGCATCATATTGCTCCAAATGTCCACTTGCAGATTCTACAAAAAGAGAGTTTCAAATCTGCTCTATCAAAGGAAAGCTTTACCTCTTTGAGATGAATGCACACATCACAAAGAAGTTTCTCAGATTGCTTCTGTCTACATTTTATGTGAAGATGTTTCCTGTTCTAACATAGGCCACAGAGTGCTCCAAATGTCCACTTGCAGATTCTACCAAAAGAGTGTTTCCAAACTGCTCAACCAAAGAAATGTTCAACTTTCTAGATGAATGCACACATCACAAAGAGCTTTCTCAGAATTCTTCTTTCTAGTTTTTATGTGAAGATATTTCCTTTTGTACCATAGGCCCCAAGGCACTCGAATGGTACACTTGCAGATTCTACAAAAAGAGTATTTCAAAACTGTTCCTTCAAAGGAATGTTCAACTCTGGGGGTTGAATGCACACATCACAAAGTAGTTTCTCAGAATGCTTCTATGTACTTTTTATGTGTAGATATTTCATTTTCCACCATAGGCCTGAAAGCCCTTCAAATGTCCACTTAGAGATTATACAAAAAGGGAGCTTTAAAACTCCTCTATCAAAAGAAAGGTTTCAACCCATTAGATGAATGCACACATCACAAAGATGTTTCTAAAAATGCTTCTATCTATTTTTTATGTGAAGATATTTCCTTTTCCACCATAGGCCTCAAAGCGCTGAAAATGTCCACTTGTAGATTCTACAAAAAAAGAGTTTCATAACTGTTCAATCAAAATAAAGGTTTAACTCTGTGAGATGAATGCACACATCACAAAGAAGTTTCTCAGATTGCTTCTTTCTAGATTTTTTGTGAAGATATTACTTTTTCTAACGTAGGCTACAAAGCGCTCTTAATGTCCACTTGCAGATTCTACAAAAAGAGTGTCTCCAAACTGCTTAATCAAAAGAAAGTTTCAACTCTGTGAGAGTAACGCACACATCACAAAGAAGTATATGATAATTCCTCTGTCTAGTTTTTATGTGAAGATATATTCTATTCTACCATAGGCCTCAAAGCGCTACAAATGTCCACTTGCAGATTCTACAAAAAGAGAGTTTCAAGACTGCTAAATCAAAAGAAATGTTTAACTCTGTGAGATGAATGCACACATCATAAAGAAGGTTTTCAGATTACTTCTGTCTACATTTTATATGAAGATATTTCCTTTTCCACCATAGGCCGCAAAGAGCTCCAAATGTCCACTTGCAGATCCTTCAAAAAGAGTGTTTCCAAACTGCTCAAACAAAAGAAGTGTTCAAGTCCATGAGCTGAATGCACACATCACAAAGAAATTTGTCAGAATTCTTCTGTCTAGTTTTTATGTGAAGATATTTCCTTTTCCACCATAAGCCTCAGAGTGTTCCAAATGTCCACTTGCAGATTCTACAAAAATAGAGTTTCCAAAGTGCTCAGTCAAAAGAAAGGTTGACTCGGTGAGATGAATGCACACGCCACAAAGATGTTTGTCAGATTGCTTTCATCTAGATTTTATGTGAAGATATTTTGTTTTCTACCATAGGCCACAAAGCACTCCAAATGTCCAGTTGCAAATTCTACAAATAGAGTGTTTACAAACTGCTCAATAAAAAGTAAGGTTCAACTCTTTGATATGAACGCACACATCACAAAGTAGTTTCTCAGAATTCTGCTGTCTAGTTTTTATGTGAAGATATTTCCTTTTCCATCATAGGCATCATAGCTCTCCTAATGTTCACTTGCAGATTTTACAAAAAGAGAGTTTCAAGACAGCTCAATCAAAAGAAAGTTTTAACTCTGTGAGATGCATGCACACATCACAAAGAAGTTTCTCAGATTGCTTCTGTCTAGATTTTATTTTAATATATGTCATTTTCTAACGTAGGCCGCAAAGCACTCCAAATGTCCACTTGCAGATTCTACAAAAAGAGTGATTCCAAACTGCTTAATCAAAAGAAAGGTTCAACTCTGTGAGATGAATGCACACATCACAAAGAAGTTTCTCAGAATTCTTCTGTCTAGTTTTTATCTGAAGATATTTCCTTTTCCACCATAGGCCTCAAACCACTCCAAATGTACACTGTAGATTCTACAAAAAGAGAGTTTCAAAACTGCTCAATCAAAAGAAATGTTTAACTCTGTGATATGAATGCACACATCATAAAGTACTTTGTCAGACTGCTTTTATCTAGATTTTCTGTGAAGATATTTCGTTTTCTACCAGAGGTCACAAAGCGCTCCAAATGTCCACTTGCATGTTGTACAAAAAGAGTGCTTCCAAACTGCTCAATCAAAAGAAAGGTTCAACTCTGTGAGATGTAAGCACAAATCACAAAGAAGTTTCTCAGAATTTTTCTGTCTAGTTTTTATGTGTAAATATTTACTTTTCCACAGTAGGCCTCAAAGCACTCCAAATGTCCACTTGCAGATTTTACAAAAAGAGAGTTTCAAGACAGCTCAATCAAAAGAAAGTTTTAACTCTGTGAGATGAATGCACACATCACAAAGAAGTTTCTCAGATTCATTCTATCTAGATTTTATGGGAATATATTTCCTTTTCTAACATAGGCTGCAAAGCGCTCCAAATGTCCACTTGCAGATTCCACAAAAAGAGTGTTTCCAAACTCTTAATCAAAAGAAAGATTCAACTCTGTGAGATAAACGCATGTATCACGAAGAGGTTTCTCTGAATTCTTCTGTGTAGTTTTGATGTGAAAATATTTCCTTTTCCTCCACAGGCCTCAAAGCGCTCCAAATGTTAAATTGCAGATTCTACAAAAAGAGAGATTCAAAACTGCTCAATCAAAACAAAGGCTTAACCCTTTGAGATCAGCGCACACATGACAAAGAAGTTTCTAAAAATGCTTCTGTCTAGTTTTTATGTGAAGATATTTCGTTTTCCACCATAGGACTCAAAGCACTCCAAATGTCCACTTGCACATTCAACAAAAATAGAGTTTCAAAACTGCTCAATCAAAAGTAAGAGTTAACCCTGTGAGATGAATGCACACATTCCAAAGAAGTTTCTCAGATTGCTTCTGTCTAGATTTTGTGTGAAGCTATTTCCTTTTCTAACATAGGCGGCAAAGTGCTCAAAATGCCCACTTACAGAATCTACAAAAAGAGTGTTTCAATAATTCTCAATGAAAAGAAATGTTCAACTCTGTGAGATGAATGCGCACATCACAAAGAAGTTTCTCAGAGTTCTTCTGTCTAGCTTTTATGTGAAGATATTTCCTTTTCCACCATAGGCCTCAAGTGCTCCAATTGTCCACTTGCAGATTCAACAAAAAGAGAGTTTCAAAACTGCTCAATCAAAAGAAAGGTTTAACTCTGTGAGATGAATGCACACATCACAAAGAAGTTTCTCAGATTGCTTATTTCTACATTTTAAGTGAAGATATTTCCTTTTCTACCATAGCCCGCAAAGCCCTCCAAATGTCCACTTGCAGATTCTACAAAAAGATTGTTTTCAAACTGCTCAATCAAAAGAAAGTTTCAACTCTGTGAGATGAACGCACACATCAACAAGAAGTTTATCAGAATTCTTCTGTCCAGTTTTTATGGGAAGATATTTCCTTTTCCACCATAGGCCTAAAAGTGCTCCAAATGTCCACTTGCAGATTCTACAAAAAGAGAGTTTCAAAACTGCTCAATCAAAAAACAGTTTTAACTCTGTGAGATGAATGCACACATCACAAAGAAGTTTCTCAGATTACTTTTGTCTAGATTTTATGTGAAGATATTTCCTTTTCTACGATAGGCCTCAAAGCACTCCAAATGTCCACTTGCAGATTCTACAAAATAGAGTTTCAAGACAGCTCAATCAAAAGAAATGTTTAACTCTGTGAGATGGATGCACACATCACAAAGCAGTTTCTCAGATTGCTTCTGTCTGAGTTTTATGTAAAGATATTTCCTTTTCTACCATAGGCCACAAAGTGTTCTAAATGGCCACTTGCAGATTCTACAAAAAGATGGTTTCCAAACAGCTCAATCAAAAGAAACGTTCCACTCTGTGTGATGAATGCACACATCACAAAGAAGTTTCTCAGTATTCTTCTGTCTAGTTTTTATGTGAAGATATTTCCTTTTCCACATTGGCCTCAAACTGCTCCAAATGTACACTTCCAGATTCTACAAAACAGAGTTTCAAAATGCTCATTCAAAAGCAATGTTTAACACTGTGAGATGAATGCACATATCACAAAGAATTTTCTCATATTACTTCTGTCTACATTTTATGTGAAGGTATTTCCTTTTCTACCATAGGCCACAAAGCACTCTAAATCTCCACTTGCAGATTCTACAAAAAGAGTTTTTCCAAACTACTCAATCAATATAAAGTTTCAACTCAGTGATATGAACACACACATCACAAAGAAGTTTGTCAGAAATCTTCTGTCTAGTTTTTATGTGAAGATATTTCCTTTTCCACCATAGACCTCAAAGCACTCCAAATGTCCACTTGCACATTCTACAAACAGAGTGATTCCAAACTGCTCAATCAAAGGAAGGTTCAACTCTGTGAGATGAATGCACATATCACAAAGAAGTTTCTCAGATTGCTTCTGTCTAGCTTTTATGTGAAGACATTTCCTTTTCTACCTTAGGCTGCAAAGCGCTCCAAGTGTCCACTTGTAGATTTTACAAAAACAGTTTTTCCAAACTGCTCAATCAAAAGGAAGTTTCAACTCTGTGAGATGAACACATACATCACAAAGGAGTTTCTCAGAATTCTTCTGTCTAGTTTTTATGGGAAGATGTTTCCTTTTCCACCTTAGGTCTAAAAGCACTCCAAATGTCCACTTGCAGATTCTACAAAAAGAGAATTTCAAAACTGCTCAATCCAAAAAAAGTTTTAACTCTGTGAGATGAAAGCACACATCACAAAGAAGTTTCTCAGATTGCTTTTGTCTAGATTTTATGTGAAGATGTTTCTTTTACTACCATAGGCCTCAAAGCGCTCCAAATGTCCACTTGCAGATTCTACAAAAAGAGAATTTCAAAACTGCTCAATCCAAAAAAAGTTCTAACTCTGTGAGATGAAAGCACACATCACAAAGAAGTTTCTCAGATTGCTTTTGTCTAGATTTTATGTGAAGATGTTTCTTTTACTACCATAGGCCTCAAAGCGCTCCAAATGTCCACTTGCAGATTCTACAAAATAGAGTTTCAAGACACCTGAATCAAAAGAAAAGTTTAACTCTGTGAAATGAATGAGCACATCACAAAGTAGTTTCTCAGATTGCTTCTGTCTGAATTTTATGTGAAGATATTTCCTTTTCTACCATAGGCCACATAGTGCTCCAAATGTCCACTTGCAGATTCTACAAAAAGAGTGTTTCCAAACAGCTCAATCAAAAGAAATGTTCCAGTCTGTGAGATGAACGCACACATCACAAAGAAGTTTCTCAGTATTCTTCAATCTGGTTTTTATGTGAAGATATTTTCTTTCCACATTGTCCTCAAACCGCTCCAAATGTAGACTTCCAGATTCTACAAAAACAGAGTTTAGAAAATGCTCTGCCAAAAGCAATGTTTATCTCTCTGAGATGAATGCACACATCACAAAGTATTTTCTCATATTGCTTCTGTCTAGATTTTACGTGCAGGTATTTCCTTTTCTTTTTTTTTTTTTTTTTTTTTTTTGGATATTTATTTATTTATTTATTTATTTTTTTTTTTTAATGTGCAGTTGAGTGGCTTCCTTTTTTTTTTTTTTTTTTTTTTTTTTTTTTATTATACTCTAAGTTTTAGGGTACATGTGCACATTGTGCAGGTTAGTTACATATGTATACATGTGCCATGCTGGTGCGCTGCACCCACTAATGTGTCATCTAGCATTAGGTATATCTCCCAATGCTATCCCTCCCCCCTCCCCCGACCCCACCACAGTCCCCAGAGTGTGATATTCCCCTTCCTGTGTCCATGTGATCTCATTGTTCAATTCCCACCTATGAGTGAGAATATGCGGTGTTTGGTTTTTTGTTCTTGCGATAGTTTACTGAGAATGATGGTTTCCAATTTCATCCATGTCCCTACAAAGGATATGAACTCATCATTTTTTATGGCTGCATAGTATTCCATGGTGTATATGTGCCACATTTTCCTAATCCAGTCTATCATTGTTGGACATTTGGGTTGGTTCCAAGTCTTTGCTATTGTGAATAGTGCCGCAATAAACATACGTGTGCATGTGTCTTTATAGCAGCATGATTTATACTCATTTGGGTATATACCCAGTAATGGGATGGCTGGGTCAAATGGTATTTCTAGTTCTAGATCCCTGAGGAATCGCCACACTGACTTCCACAATGGTTGAACTAGTTTACAGTCCCACCAACAGTGTAAAAGTGTTCCTATTTCTCCGCATCCTCTCCAGCACCTGTTGTTTCCTGACTTTTTAATGATTGCCATTCTAACTGGTGTGAGATGATATCTCATAGTGGTTTTGATTTGCATTTCTCTGATGGCCAGTGATGATGAGCATTTCTTCATGTGTTTTTTGGCTGCATAAATGTCTTCTTTTGAGAAGTGTCTGTTCATGTCCTTCGCCCACTTTTTGATGGGGTTGTTTGTTTTTTTCTTGTAAATTTGTTTGAGTTCATTGTAGATTCTGGATATTAGCCCTTTGTCAGATGAGTAGGTTGCAAAAATTTTCTCCCATGTTGTAGGTTGCCTGTTCACTCTGATGGTAGTTTCTTTTGCTGTGCAGAAGCTCTTTAGTTTAATTAGATCCCATTTGTCAATTTTGTCTTTTGTTGCCATTGCTTTTGGTGTTTTGGACATGAAGTCCTTGCCCACGCCTATGTCCTGAATGGTAATGCCTAGGTTTTCTTCTAGGGTTTTTATGGTTTTAGGTTTAACGTTTAAATCTTTAATCCATCTTGAATTGATTTTTGTATAAGGTGTAAGGAAGGGATCCAGTTTCAGCTTTCTACATATGGCTAAATAATCAATGTACAAAAATCACAAGCATTCTTATACACCAACAACAGACAAACAGAGAGCCAAATCATGGGTGAACTCCCATTCACAATTGCTTCAAAGAGAATAAAATACCTAGGAATCCAACTTACAAGGGATGTGAAGGACCTCTTCAAGGAGAACTACAAACCACTGCTCAAGGAAATAAAAGAGGAGACAAACAAATGGAAGAACATTCCATGCTCATGGGTAGGAAGAATCAATATCGTGAAAATGGCCATACTGCCCAAGGTAATTTACAGATTCAATGCCATCCCCATCAAGCTACCAATGACTTTCTTCACAGAATTGGAAAAAACTACTTTAAAGTTCATATGGAACCAAAAAAGAGCCCGCATTGCCAAGTCAATCCTAAGCCAAAAGAACAAAGCTGGAGGCATCACACTACCTGACTTCAAACTATACTACAAGGCTACAGTAACCAAAACAGCATGGTACTGGTACCAAAACAGAGATATAGATCAATGGAACAGAACAGAGCCCTCAGAAATAATGCCGCATATCTACAACTATCTGATCTTTGACAAACCTGAGAAAAACAAGCAATGGGGAAAGGATTCCCTATTTAATAAATGGTGCTGGGAAAACTGGCTAGGTATTTCCTTTTCTACCATAGGCTGCAAAGCGCTCCAAATCTCCACTTGCAGATTCTGTAAAAGGAGTGCTTCCAAAATGCTCAATCAAAATGAAGGTTCAACTCAGTGAGATGAACGCACACATCACAAAGAAGTTTCTCAGAATTCTTCTGTCTAGTATTTATGTGAAGATATTTCCTTTTCCACCATAGGCCTAAAAGCGCTCCAAAAGTCCACTTGCAGATTCTACAAAAAGAGAGTTTCAAAACTGCTCAATCAAACTAAAGTTTTAACTCTGTGAAATGAATGCACACATCACAAAGTAGTTTCTCAGATTGCCTCTGTCTGAATTTTATGTGAAGATATTTCCTGTTCTGCCATAGGCCACAAAGTGCTCCAAATGTCCACTTGCAGATTCTACAAAAAGAGTGTTTCCAAACAGCTCAATCAAAAGAAAGTTTCAACTCTGTGAGGTGAACGCACACATCACAAAGAAGTTTGTCAGAATTCTTCTCTCTAGTTTTTATGTGAAGATAAATTCCTTTTCCACCGTAGGCTTCAAAGTGCTCCAAATGACCATTTGCAGATTCTACAAAAAGAGAGTTTCAACACTGCTCAATCAAAAGAAAGGCTCAATTCTGCGAGATGAATGCACATATCACAAAGAACTTTCTCAGAATTCTTCTGTCTTGTTTTTATGTGAAGATATTTCCTTTTAAACCATAGGCCTCAAGGCGCTCGAAATGTCCACTTGAAGATTCTACAGAAAGAGTATTTCAAAACTGGTCCTTCAAAAGAAAGATTCAACTCTGGGTGATAAATGCGCACATCACAAAATCTTTCTCAGAACGCTTCTATGTAGTTTTTATGTGAAGATATTTCCTTTTCCACCATAGGCCTCAAATTGCTCCAAATGTCCACTTGCAGATTCTACAAAAAGACAGTTTCAAAACTGCTCAATCAAAAGAAATGTTTATCTCTGTGAGATGAATGCACACATCACAAAGCTGTTTCTCAGATTACTTCTGTCTAGATTTTATGTGAACATATTTCCTTGTCTACCATAGGCCACAAAGTGCTCTAAATGTCCACTTGCAGATTCTATAAAAAGAGGGTTTCCAAACTGCTCAATCAAAAGAAAGTTTCAACTCTGTGAGATGAACGTGCCCATCACAAAGTTTTTCAGAATTCTTCTGTCTAGTTTTTATGGGAAGATATTTCCTTTCTCACTGTAAGCCTCAAAGCGCTCCAAATGTCCACTTGCAGAGTCTACGAAAAGAGAGTTTCAAAGCTGCTCAATCAAAAGAATGGCTTAACTCTGTGAGATGAATGCACACATCACAAAGAAGTTTCTCAGATTGATTCTGTCTAGATATTATGTGAAGATAATTCCTTTTCTACCATAGACCGCAAAGCGCTCCAAATGTCCACTTGGAGATTCTAAAAAAGAGTGTTTCCAAGCTACTCAATCAACAGAATGGTTCAAATCTGTGACATGAATGCACACATCACAAAGAAGTTTCTCAGAAATCTTCTGTCTATTTTTATGTGGAGATATTTCCTTATCCACTATAGGCCCCAAAGTGCTCCAATTGTCCACTTGCAGATTCAACAAAAAGAGAGTTTCAAAACTGCTCAATCAAAAGAAAGGTTTAACTCTGTGAGATGAAAGCACACATCACAAAGAAGTTTCTCAGATTGCTTCTGTGTAGGTTTTATGTTAAGATATTTCCTTTTCTACCATAGGCCGCAAAGCGCTCCAAATGTCCACTTGCAGATTCTACAAAAAGAGTGTTTCCAAACTGCTCAATCAAAAGAAAGTTTCAACTCTGTGAGATGAACGCACACATCACCAACAAGTTTCTCAGAATTCTTCTCTCTAGTTTTTATGTGAAGATATTTCTATTTCCACCATAGGCCTAAAAGAGCTCCAAATGTCCACTTGCAGAGTCTACAAAAAGAGAGTTTCAAAACTGCACAATCAAAAAAAAGTTTTAACTCTGTGAGATGAATGCACACATCACAAAGAAGTTTCTCAGATTGGTTTTGTCTAGATTTTATGTGAAGATATTTCCTTTTCTACCATAGGCCTCAAAGCGCTCCAAATGTCCACTTGCAGATTCTACAAAATAGTTTCAAGACAGCTCAATCAAAAGAAATGTTTAACTCTGTGAGATGAATGCACACATCACAAAGAAGTTTCTCAGAATGCTTCTGTCTAGTTCTTAAATGAAGATATTTCCCATTCCACAACAGGACTCAAATGGCTCCCAATGTCCACTTGCAGATTGTTCAAAAATAGTGTTTAAACCTGCTCAATCAAAAGAAATGTTCAACCCGGTGAGATGAATGCACACAACACAAAGGATTTTCTCTGAATGATTCTGTCTAGTTTTTATGTGGACATATTTCCTTTTAAACCATAGGCCTCAAAGTGCTTCAAAAGTACACTTGCAGATTCCACAAAGAGTTTTTCAAAACTGCTAAATGAAAAGAAAAGTTCAAATCTGTGTGAAGAATGTACACATAACAAAGAAGTGTGTCAGAATGTTTCTGTATAGTTTTTATGTTAAGGTATTTGCTTTTCCACCATAGGCCTCGAAGAGCTCCAAATGTCCACATGCAGATTCTACAAAAAGAGTGTTTCAAAGCTGCTCAATCAAAAGAAAGGTTCAACTCTGTGACATGAATGTGCAAGTCACAAAGAAGTTTGTCAGAATGCTTCTGTCTAGTTTTTATGTGAAGATATTTCCTTTTCCACCATGGGCTGCAAAGCGCACCAAATGTCCAAATTCAAATTCTACAAATAGAGTCTTTCAAAACTGCTCAATCAAAAGAAAGGTTCAACTCTGTGAGATGAATCCACACATCTCAGTGAAGTTTTTTGAATGTTTTTGTATAGTTCTTGTGTGAAGATATTTCTTTTTCCACCATTGACTCAAAGCGCCAAAAATGTCCACTTGCAGATGCTACAGAAAGAGTGTTTCAAAGTTGCTCCTGTCCGATTTCTTCTGTCTATATTTTATGTGAACATATTTCCTTTTCTACCATAGGCCACTAAGTGCTCCAATTGTCCAACTGAAGATTATTCAAAAAGTGTGTTTCCAAACTGCTCAATCAAAAGAAAGGTTCAACTCTGTAACATGAAGGCACACATCTCAAAGAAGTTTCTCAGAATTCTTCTGTCTAGTTTTTATGTGAAGATATTACATTTTCCACCATTGCCTCAAAGCGCCAAAAATGTCCACTTGCAGATACTACAGAAAGAGTGTTTCAAAGTGGCTCAATCAAAAGAAAGTTTCAACTCTATGAGATGAATGCACACATCACATAGAAGTTTCTCAGAATGCTTCTGTCTAGTTATTATGTGAAGATATTTCGTTTTCCACCATAGGCATCAAAGCGCGCCAAATGTCCACTTGCAGATTCTACAAAAGGAGTGTTTCGAAACCGTTCAATCGAAATTAAGGTTCCACTCTGCGAGATGAATGCACACATCACAAAAACTTTGTCAGAATGCTTCTGTCTAGTTTTGTGTGAAGATATTTCCCTTTCCACCACAGGCCTCAAAGCTCTCCAAATGTCCACTTGCAGATTCTACAAAAAGAGTGTTTCAAAACTGCTCTATCGAAAGTTAAGTTCAACTCCGTGAGATAAATGGCAACTCCATGAGATAAATGACAAATAAGCTTGTCAGAATGCTTCTGCCTAGTTTTAATGTGAAGATATTTCCTTTTCCACCATAGGCCGCAAAGCGCTCCAAATGTCCACTTGCAGATTCTACAAAATGAGAGTTTTCAAAACTACTCAATTAAAATAAAGTTTCAGCTCTGTGAGAGGAATGTACACGTCACAAATCAGCTTCACAGAATGCTTCCATCTAGTTCTTAAATGAAGATATTTCCTTTTCCACCATACGCCAAAAAGTGCTCCAAATGTCCACCTGCAGATATTACAAAAATAGTTTTTTTTTGACTTTGTATCTTTATTTATTTATTTTTATTTATTTATTTTTTTTTATAATTTAAGTTTTAGGGTACATGTGCACATTTTGCAGGTTAGTTACATATGTATACATGTGCCATGCTGGTGCGCTGCACCCAATAACTCGTCATCTAGCATTAGGTATATCTCCCAATGCTATCCCTCCCCCTCCCCCCACCCCACAACAGTCCCCAGAGTGTGATATTCCCCTTCCTGTGTCCATGTGATCTCATTGTTCAATTCCCACCTATGAGTGAGAATATGCAGTGTTTGGTTTTTTGTTCTTGCGATAGTTTACTGAGAATGATGATTTCCAATTTCATCCATGTCCCTACAAAGGACACGAACTCATCATTTTTTATGTTTGCATAGTATTCCATGGTGTATATGTGACACATTTTCTTAATCCAGTCTATCATTGTTGGACATTTGGGTTGGTTCCAAGTCTTTGCTATTGTGAATAATGCCACAATAAACATACGTGTGCATGTGTCTTTATAGCAGCATGATTTATAGTCCTTTGGGTATATACCCAGTAATGGGATGGCTGGGTCAAATGGTATTTCTAGTTCTAGATCCCTGAGGAATCACCACACTGACTTCCACAACGGTTGAACTAGTTTACAGTCCCACCAACAGTGTAAAAGTGTTCCTATTTCTCCACATCCTCTCCAGCACCTGTTGTTTCCTGACTTTTTAATGATTGCCATTCTAACTGGTGTGAGATGGTATCTCATTGTGGTTTTGATTTGCATTTCTCTGATGGCCAGTGATGATGAGCATTTTTTCATGTGTTTTTTGGCTGCATAAATGTCTTCTTTTGAGAAGTGTCTGTTCATGTCCTTTGCTCACTTTTTGATGGGGTTGTTTGTTTTTTTCTTGTAAATTTGTTTGAGTTCATTGTACATTCTGGATATTAGCCCTTTGTCAGATGAGTAGGTTGTGAAAATTTTCTCCCATTTTGTAGGTTACCTGTTCACTCTGGTGGTAGTTTCTTTTGCTGTGCAGAAGCTCTTTAGTTTAATTAGATCCCATTTGTCAATTTTGGCTTTTGTTGCCATTGCTTTTGGTGTTTTAGAAATGAAGTTCTTGCCCATGCCTGTGTCCTGAATGGTAATGCCTAGGTTTTCTTCTAGAGTTTTTATGGTTTTAGGTTGAACGTTTAAGTCTTTAATCCATCTTGAAATGATTTTTGTATAAGGTGTAAGGAAGGGATCCAGTTTCAGCTTTCTACATATGGCTAGCCAGTTTTCCCAGCACCATTTATTAAAGAGGGAATCCTTTCCCCATTGCTTGTTTTTCTCAGGTTTGTCAAAGATCAGATAGTTGTAGATATGCGACGTTATTCCTGAGGGCTCTGTTCTGTTCCATTGATCTATATCTCTGTTTTGGTACCAGTACCATGCTGTTTTGGTTACTGTAGCCTTGTAGTATAGTTTGAAGTCAGGTAGTGTGAAGCCTCCAGTTTTGTTCTTTTGGCTTAGGATTGACTTGGTGATGCGGGCTCTTTTTTGGTTCCATATGAACTTTAAAGTAGTTTTTTTCCAATTCTGTGAAGAAAGTCATTGGTAGCTTGATGGGGATGGCATTGAATCTGTAAATTACCTTGGGCAGTATGGCCATTTTCACGATATTGATTCTCTTTGAAGCAATTGTGAATGGGAGTTCACTCATGATTTGGCTCTCTGTTTGTCTTTTGTTGGTGTATAAGAATGCTTGTGATTTTTATTCATTGATTTTGAAGGACATGAACAGACATTTCTCAAAAGAAGACATTTATGCAGCCAAAAAACACATGAAAAAATGCTCACCATCACTGGCCATCAGAGAAATGCAAATCAAAACCACAATGAGATACCATCTCACACCAGTTAGAATGGCCATCATTAAAAAGTCAGGAAATAACAGGTGCTGGAGAGGATGTGGAGAAATAGGAACACTTTTACACTGTTGGTGGGACTGTAAACTAGTTCAACCGTTGTGGAAGTCAGTGTGGCGATTCCTCAGGGATCTAGAACTAGAAATACCATTTGACCCAGCCATCCCATTACTGGGTATATACCCAAAGGACTATAAATCATGCTGCTATAAAGACACATGCACATGTATGTTTATTATGGCATTATTCACAATAGCAAAGACTTGGAACCAACCCAAATGTCCAACAATGATAGACTGGATTAAGAAAATGTGGCACATATACACCATGGACTACTATGCAGCCATAAAAAATGATGAGTTCATGTCCTTTGTAGGGACATGGATGAAGCTGGAAATCATCATTCTCAGTAAACTATCACAAGAACAAAAAACGAAACACCGCATATTCTCACTCATAGGTGGGAATTGAACAATGAGAACACATGGACACAGGAAGGGGAACATCACACTCTCGGGACTGTTATGGGGTGGGGGGAGGGAGGAGGGATAGCATTGGGAGATATACCTAATGCTAGATGACGAGTTAGTGGGTGCAGTCCACCAGCATGGCACATGTATACATATGTAACTAACCTGCACATTGTGCGAACGTACCCTAAAACTTAAAGTATAATAATAATAAATAAATAAATAAATAAATAAAAACTGCTCAATGAAATAAAGGTTCAACTCTGTGACATGAATGCACAAATCAGAAAGAAGTTTCTCAGACTATTTCTGAATCGTTTTTATGTGAAGATATTTCCTTTTCCACCATTGGCCTCAAAGCTCTCCAAATCTCCACATGCAGATTCTAAAAAAAGAGTGTTTCAAAGCTGCTCAATCAAAAGAAAGGTTCAACACTCTGAGATGAATGCACACGTCTCAAAGAAGTTTCTCAGAATGCTTCTGTCTAGTTTTTATGTGAAGATATTTCCTTTTCCACCATTGGCCTCAAAACACTCCAAATGTCCTCTTGCAGATTCTATGAAAAGAGTGTTTCAAAGCTGCTGAATCAAAAGAAATGTTCAACTCTGTGATATGAATGCATCCATCACAAAGAAGTTTCTCAAAATGCTTCTGTCTAGTTTTTATTTGAAGATATTTCCTTTTACACCATAGGCCTCAAAAAGCTCCAAATGTAAACATCCAGATCATACAAAAAAAGTTTTTCCAAACTGCTCCATCAAAAGAACAGTTCAACTCTGTGAGATGAATGCACACATCACAAAGAATTTTCTCTGAATGATTCTGTCTAGTTTTTATGTGAATATATTTTCTTTTCCACCATAGGACTCTAAGCGCTCCAAATGTCCAATTCTAGATGCTACAAAAAGAGTGTTTCAAAGCTGCTGAATCAAAAGAAAGGTTCAACTCTGTGAGATGAATGCACACATCACAAAGAAGTTTCTGAGAATGCTTCCGTCTAGTTCTTAAGTGAAGATGGTTCCTTTTCCACCATTGGTCACAAAGCACCCCAAATGTCCACTTCCGGATTCCACAAAAAGAGAGTTTCCAAACTACTCAATCAAAAGAAAGGTTCACCTCAGTGAGATGAATGCACACATCACAAAGATATTTGCCAGAATGCTTCTGTCTAGTCTTTATATGAAGATATTTCCTTTTCCACCATAGACCCCAAAGGGCTGCAAATGTCCACTTGCAGATCCTACAGAAAGAGTGTTTCAAAATTGCTCAATCAAAAGAAAGGTTCAACTCTGTGAGATGAATGCACATTTCACAAAGAAGTTTCTCAGAATTTTTCTGTCAGGTTCTTAAGTGTAGATATTTCCTTTTCCACCACAGGACTCAAAGCTCTCCAAATGTCCACTTGCAGATTCTACAAAAAGAGTTTCCAAACCACTCTATCAAAGAAAATTTCAACACTGTGAGATAAATGCACATATTACAAAGAAGTTTCTCAGAATGCTTGTGTCTAGTTATTATGTGAAGATATTACCTTTTCAACAATAGGCCTCAAAGCGCTCCAAATTTCCACATGCAGATTCTACAAAAAGAGTGTTTCAAAGCTGCTCAATCAAAAGCAAGCTTCAACTCTGTGAGATGAATGCTCACATCACAAAGCAATTTCTCAGAATGCTTCTGTCCAGTTTTTAGGTGAAGATATTTCCTTTTCCAGCATAGGCGTCAAAACGCTCCAAATGTCCACTTACAGATCCCACAAAAATAGTGTTTCAAAACTGCTCAATCAAAACAAAGGTTCACCTCTGTGAGATGAATGCACACATCACAAAGAATATTCTCAGAATGGTTCTGTCTAGTGTTTATGTGCAGATATTTCCTTTTCCACCATAGTCCTCAAAGCGCTCCAAATGTCCAATTGCAAATCCTACAAAAAGAGTGTTTCAAAACTGCTCAATCGAAGGTAGGGTTCAACTCTGTGAGGTGAATTCTCACATCACAAAAAAGTCTGTCAGAATGCTTCTGTCTAGTTTTCATATGAAGATGTTTCCTTTTCCACCGTCGGCCTCAAGGCGCTCCAAATGTCCACATGAGGGTTCTATAAAGAGTGTTTCCAAACTGCTCAAGCAAAAGAAATGTTCATCTCTGTGATATGAAAGCACACATCACAAAGAAGTTTGTCAGAATGCTTCTGTCTAGTTTTCATGTATAAATGTTTCCTTTTCCACCATAGGCCGCAAAGCGCTCCAAATGTCCACTTGCAGATTCTACAAAAAGATTGTTTCAAAACTGCTCAATGAAAAGAAAGTTTCAACTCTGTGAGATGAACGCACACATCACAAAGCAGTTTCTCAGAATGCTTCTGTCTAGTTCTTAAATGAAGATATTTCCCATTCCACCACAGGACTCAAAGGGCTCCCAATGTCCACTTGCAGATTCTACAAAAAGAGTGTTTAAACCTGCTTAATCAAAAGAAATGTTCAACCCTGTGAGATGAATGCACACAACACAAAGGATTTTCTCTGAATGATTCTGTCTAGTTTTCATGTGAACATATTTCCTTTTAAGCCATAGGCTTCAAAGCGCTTCAAATGTACACTTGCAGATTCCACAAAAAGAGTTTTTCAAAACTGCTCAATGAAAAGAAAGGTTCAAATCTGTGAGAAGAATGCACACATAACAAAGAAGTTTATCAGAATGTTTCTGTATAGTTTTTATGTGAAGGTATTTCCTTTTCCACCATAGGCCTCAAAGAGCTCCAAATGTCCACATGCAGATTCTACAAAGAGTGTTTCAAAGCTGCTCAATCAAAAGAAAGGTTCAACTCTGTGAGATGAATCCACACATCTCAGTGAAGTTTTTCAGAATGTTTCTGTATAGTTTCTATGTGAAGATATTTCCTTTTCCACCATTGCCTCAAAGCGCCAAAAATGTCCACTTGCAGGTACTATAAAAAGAGTGTTTCAAAGTTGCTCAATCAAAAGAAAGTTGAAACTCTGTGAGATGAATGCATATATCACATATAAGTTTCTCAGAATGCTTCTGTATAGTTTTGTGTGAAGATATTTCCCTTTCCACCACAGGCCTCAAAGCTCTCCAAATGTCCACTTGCAGATTCTACAAAAAGAGTGTTTCAAAACTGCTCAATCGAAAGTAAGGTTCAACTCTTTGAGATGAATACAGCCATCACAAATAAGCTTGTCAGAATGCTTTTGTCTAGTTTTTATGTGAAGATATTTCCTTTTCCACCATCGGCTGCAAAGCGCTCCAAATGTCCACTTGCAGATTCTACAAAAAGAGAGTTTCTAAACTACTCAATCAAAAGAAAGGTTCAACTCTGTGAGATGAATGCACACATCACAAAGAAGTTACTCAGCATACTTCTGTCTACTTCTTACGTGAAGATATTACCTTTTCCACCTTAGGCCCCAAAGCACTCCTAATGTGCTCTTACAGATTCTACAAAAAGAGAATTTCCAAACTACTCAATCAAAAGAAAGGTTCAACTGTGTTAGATGAATGCACACATCACAAAGTAATTGGTCAGAACGCTTCTGTCTAGTTTTTATGTGAACATATTTCCATATTTCCTTTTCAACCATAGGCCTCAAATCGCTTCAAATGTACAATTGCACATTCCACAAAAAGAGTTTTTCAAAACTGCTCAATGAAAAGAAAGGTTCAACTCTATGAGATGAATGCACACATCACTAAGAAGTTTGTCAGAATGTTTCTGTATAGTTTTTATACGAAGATATTTCCTTTTCCACTATAGGCCTCAAAGCGCTCCAAATGTCCACATGCAGATTCTACAAAAAGAGTTTTTCAAAGCTGCTCAATCAGAAGAAATGCTCAACGCTATGACATGAATGCACACATCACAAAGAAGTTTCTCAGAATTCTTCTGTCTAGTTTTTATGTGAAGATATTTCCTTTTCCACTATAGGCCGCAAAGTTCTCCAAATGTCCACTTGCAGATTCTACAAAAAGAGTGTTTCCAAACTGCTCAATCAAAAGATAGGTTCTACTCTGTGAGATGAACTCACACATCACAAAGAAATTTCTCAGAATTCTTCCGTCTAGTTTTTATGTAAATATATTTCCTTTTCCACAATAATTCTCAAAGCCCTCCAAATGTCCACTTGCAGATTCTACAACAAGAATGTTTCCAGTTTCAGTTTTCTACGTATAGCTAGCTAGTTTTCTCAGCACCATTTATTAAATAGGGAATCCTTTTCCCATTGCTTGTTTTTGTCAGGTTTGTCAAAGGTCTGATAGTTGTAGATATGCGGCATTATTCCTGAGGTCTCTGTTCTGTTCCATTGATCTATGTCTCTGTTTTGGTACCAGAACAATGCTGTTTTGGTTACTGTAGCCTTGTAGTATAGTTCGAAGTCAGGTAGCGTGATCCCTCCAGCTTTGTTGTTTTGGCTTGGGATTGACTTGGCGATGCGGGCTCTTTTTTGGTTCCATATGAACTTTAAAGTCGTTTTTTTCCAATTCTCTTAGGAAAGTCATTGGTAACTTGATGCGGATGGCATTGAATCTATAAATTACCTTGGGCAGTATGGCCATTTTCACGATATTGATTCTTCCAACCCATGAGCATGGAATGTTCTTCCACTTGTTTGTATCCTCTTTTATTTCCTTGAGCAGTGGTTTGTAGTTCTCCTTGAAGAGGTCCTTCACATCCCTTGTAAGTTGGATTTCTATTTATTTTATTCTCTTTGAAGCAATTGTGAATGGGATTTCACTCATGATTTGGCTCTCTGTGTGTCTCCTATTGGTGTACAAGAATGCTTGTGATTTTTTTACATTGATTTTGTGTCCTGAGACTTTGCTGAAGTTGCTTATCAGCTTAAGCAGATTTTCGGCTGAGACAATGGGGTTTTCTAGATATACAATCATGTCATCTGCAAACAGGGACAATTTGACTTCCTCTTTTCCTAATTGAATGCCCTTTATTCACTTCTCCTACCTGATTGCCCTGGCCAGAACTTCCAACACTATATTGAATAGGAGTGGTGAGAGTGGGCATCCCTGTCTTTTGCCAGTTTTCAAAGGGAATACAAAAGGACAAAAAACCAAACAACATGTGTTCTCACTCATAGGTGGAAATTGAACAATGAGAACACATGGACAAAGGAAGGGAAACATCACACTCTGGGGACTGTTGTGGGGTGGGGGGAGGGGGAAGGGACAGAATTATGACATATACCTAACGCTAAATGGCGAGTTAATGGGTGCAGCACACCAAGACGGCACATGGATAAATATGTGACGAACCTGCACATTGTGCACATGTACCCTAAAACTTAAAGAATAATAATAACAATAATAAAAAAAAGAGAAAGCCAAAAAAAATAAAAAACAGAAAAAAAAACGGTGTTTCAAAACTGGTCAATCGAAAGTAAGGTTCAACTCTCTGAGAAGAATGCACACATCACAAAGAAGTTTGTCAGAATGCTTCTGTCTAGTTTTTATGTGAAGATAGTTCCTTTTCCACCAGAGGCCTCAAAGTGCTCCAAATGTACACTTGCAGACAGTACAAAAAGGGTGTTTCAAAACAGCTCAATCAAAAGTAAAGTTAAACTCTGTGAGATGAATGCACATATCACAAAGAAGTTTGTTAGAATGCTTCTGTCTAGTTTTTATGTGAAGGTATTTCCTTTTTTACCATAGGCCACAAAGCGCTCCAAATGTCCACTTGGAGATTCTACAAAAGGAGTGTTTCCAAACTAGAAAATCAAAAGAAAGTTTCAACTCTGTGAGATGAATGCACTCGTCACAAAGAAGTTTCTCAGAATACTTCTGCGTAGTTAATACATGAAGATATTTCATTTTCCATTACACTCCTCAAAGCGCTCCAAATGTCCACTTGCAGATTCTACAAAAAAAGTGTTTCAAAGCTGCTCAATCAAAAGAAAGGTTCATCTCTGCGAGACAAATGCACACATCACAAAGAAGTTTGTCAGAATTCTTCAGCCTAGTTTTTATGTGAAGATATTTCTTTTCCACCATACGCCACAAGGCTCTCCAAATGTCCACTTGCATATTCTACAAAAAGATTGTTTCAAAACTGCCCAATCAAAAGAAAGGTTCAACTCTGTGAGAAGAATGCACACATCACAAAGAAGTTTCTCAGAATGTTTCTGTCTACTTCTTATATGAAGATATTTCCTTTTCCACCATAGGCCTCAAAGTGATCCAAATGTCCACTTGCAGATCCTTCAAAAAGATTTTCCAAACTAGTCAATCAAAAGAAAGTTTCAACTCTGTGAGATGAATGCACACATAAAAAAGACATTTCCGAGAATCCTTCTGTCTAGTTTTTATGTAAAGATATATACTTTTACACCATAGGCATCAACGCACTCCAAATGTCCACTTGTAGATAGTTCAAAAAGGATGTTTCAAATCTGCTCAATCAACAGTAAGGTTCAACTCTGTCAGATGAATGCACACATCACAAAGTATTTTCTCAGAATGATTCTTTGCAGTTCTTAAGTGAAGATATTTCCTTTTCCACCAGGGGCCTCAGAGCCCTCCAAATGTCCACTTGCAGATAGTACAAAAAGAGTGTTTCCAAACTGTTCAATCAAAAGAAAGGTTCAAACCTTTGAGATGAATATACACATCATGAAGAAGTTTCTCAGAATGTTTCTGTCCATGTTTTATGAGAAGATATTTCCTTTTCCACCATAGGCCTCAAAGGGCACCAAGTGTCCACTTGTAGATTCTACAAAAAGAGTGTTTCAAAACTGCTCATTGAAAAGAAATATTCAACTCTGTGAGATGAATGCACACATCACAAAGAAGTTTCTCAGGATATTCTGTCTAGTTCTTAAGTGAAGATATTTCCTTTTCCACCATAGGCCTCAAAGTGCTCCAAATGTCCACTTGCAGATTGTACAAAAACAGTGTTTCAAAACTGCTCAATGGAAAGAAAGGTTCAATTCTGTGAGATGAATGCAAACAACACAAAGAAGTTTGTCAGCATGCTTCTGTCTAGTTTTTATGTGAAGACATTTCCTTTACCACCATATGCCGCAAAGTACTCCAAATGTCCCTTTGCAGATTCTACAAAAGGAGTGTTTCAAACTGCTCAATCAAAAGAAAGTTCAACTCTGTGAGATGCATGCACACATCCCAAAGAAATTTCCCAGAATACTTCTGTGTAGTTTTTCTGTGAAGATATTTCCTTTTCCACCGTAGGCCTCAAAGAATTCCAAATGTCCACTTGCAGATTCTACCAAAAGAGTATTTCAAAATAGATTAATGAAAAGAAATTTTCAACTCTGTGACATGAAAGCACGGATCCCAAAGAAGTTTGTGACAATGCTTCTGTATAGTTTTTATGTGAAGATATTTCCTTTTCCGCCATAGGCCTCAAAGCGCTCCTGATGTCCACTTGCAGATTCTACAAAAAGAGTGTTTCAAAGCTGCTCTATCAAAAGAAAGTTTCAACTCTGTGAGATGAATGCACACATCACAAAGAAGTTGCTCAGAAAGCTTCTGTCTAGTTTTTATGTGAAGATATTTCCTTTTCACCACAGGCCTCAAAGCACTCCAAATGTCCACTTGCAGATCAACAAAAAGAGAGTTTCCAAATTATTCAATCAAAAGAAAGGTTCAGCTCCGTGAGATGAATGCACACATCACAAAGAAGTTTGTCAGAATGCTTCTGTCTAGTTTTAACTTGAAGATATTTCCTTTTCCACCATAGGCCTGAAAGCATTCCAAATGTCCACTTGCTGATACTACAAAAAGGGTGTTTTAAAATTGCTCAATCAAAAGTAAGGTTCAACTCCGTGGGATGAATGCACATATCACAAAGTAGTTTGACAGAATGCTTCTGTCTAGTTTTTATGTGAAGATATTTCCTTTTCCAAAATAGACCTCAAAGCGCTCCAAATATCCACTTGCAGATTCTTCAAAAAGAGTGTTTCAATACTGCTCAATCAAAAGAAAGGTTCAACTCTGTAAGATGAATGCACACATCACAAAGAAGTTTCTCAGAATGCTTCTGTCTAGTTATTATATGAAGATATTTCTTTTTCCAATATAGGCCTCCAAGCACTCCAAATATCCACTTACAGATTCAGCAAAAAGAGAGTTTCCAAACTACTCAATCAAAAGAAAGGTTCAGCTCTGTGAGATGAATGCACACATCACAAAGAAAGTTGTCAGAATGCTTCTGTCTAGTTTTTATATGAAGATATTCCTTTTCCACCATAGGCCTCAAAGCACTCCAAATGTCCACTTGCAGATAGTACAAAAAGGGTGTTTCAAAAATGCTCAATCAAAAGTAAGGTTCAACTCCGTGATATGAATGCACATATCACAAAGTATTTTGACAGAATGCTTCTGTCTAGTTTTTGTGTGAAGATATTTCCTTTTCGACAATAGACCTCAAAGAGCACCAAATGTTCACTTGCAGAATCTACAAAAAGAGTGTTTCCAAACTTCTGAATCAAAAGAAAGGTTCAACTCTGTGAGATGAATGCACAGATCACAAACAAGTTTCTCAGAATGCTTCTGTCTAGTTTTTATGTTAAGATATTTCCTTTTCCATCATAGGCCTCAAAGCTCTCCAAATATCCACTTGCCGATTCTACAAAAAGAGTGTTTCAAAACTGCTCAATTAAAAGGAAGGTTCAATTCTGTGACTTGAATACACCCATCACAAAGAAACTTGTCAGAATGTTTCTGTATAGTTTTTATGTGAAGATATTTCCTTTTCCACCATAGGTCTCAAAGCACTCCAAATATCCACTTGCACGTTCTACAAAAAGAGTGTCTCAAAGCTGCTCAATCAAAAGAAATGTTCAACTCTCTGAGATGAATGCACTCATCACAAAGTAGTTTCACAGAATGCTTCTGTCTAGTTATTAAGTGAAGATATTGCGTTATTGACCATCACCCTCAAAGTACTCCAAATGTCCACTTACAGATTCTACAAAAAGAGTGTTTCAAAGCTGCTTAATCAAAAGAAATGTTCAACTATGTGAGATGAATGCACACATCAGAAAGAATTTTCTAAGAAGGATTCTGTCTAGTTTTTATGGGAAGTTACTTCCTTTTCCACCATAGGCTTCAAAGCCCTCCAAATGTCCATTGCAGATTCTACAAAAAGAGTGTTTCAAAACTGCTCAATGAAAAGAAATGTTCAACTCTGTGAGATGAATGCACACATCACAAAGAAGTTTCACAGAATGCTTCTGTATAGTTTTTATGTGAAGATATTTCCTTTTCCACCATAGGACACAAAGAGCTCAAAATGTTCACTTGCAGAGTCTAAAAAAGAGTTTTTCAAAGCTGCTCAATCAAAAGTATGGTTCAACTCTGTAAGATAAATGCACACAACCCAAAGAAGTTTCTCAGAATGCTTCCGCCTAGTTGTTAAGTGAAGATATTTCCTTCTCCACCATATGCCTCAAAGCGCACCAAATGTCCACTTGTGGATTCTACAAAAAGAGTGTGTCAAAACTGCTCAATCAAAAGAAAGTTTCAACTCTGTGAGATGAATACACATATCACAAAAATCTTTCTCAGAATGCTTCTGTTTAATTATAATATGAAAATATTTCCTTTTCCACCTTAGGCCTCAAAGCTCTCCAAATGTCCACTTGCAGAACCTTTTCCACCATAGGCCTCAAAGCTCTTCAAATATCCACTTGCAGATTCTGCAAAAAGAATATTTGAAAGCAGCTAAATCAAAAGAAATGTTCAACACTGTGAGATGAATGCACACATCACAAAGGAGCTTCTCAAAATACCTCTGTCTAGTTTTTATGTGAAGATATTTCCTTTTCCACCATAGGCTGCCAAGCGTTAAAAATATCCACTTGCAGATTCTACAAAAAGAGTGTTTCAAAACTGCTCAATTGAAAGTAGGTTTGAACTCTGTGAGATGAATGCACACATCACAAAGAAGTTTGTCGGAATGATTCCGTCTAGTTTTTATGTGAAGATATTTCCTTTTCAACCTTAGGCCACAAAGCGCACTAAATGTCCACTTGCAGATTCTGCAAAAAGAGTGTTTCAAAACTGCTCAATGAAAAGAAAGGTTCAACTCTGTGAGATGAATGCACACATCACAAAGAAGTTTCAGAGAATGCTTCTGTGTAGTTTTTATGTGAAGATATTTCCTTTTCCACCATAGGCTGCAAAGAGCTCAAAATGTCCACCTGCAGATTCTACAAAAAGAGGGTTTCAAAACTGCTCAATCAAAAGTAAAGTGCAACTCTGTGAGATTAATGCACACATCAAAAAGAAGTTTCTCACAGTGCTTCTGTCTAGTTGTTATGTGAAGATATTTCTTTTTCCACTACTGGCCTCAGAGCACTCCAAATATCCTTTTGCAGATTCTACAAAAAGAGTTTTTAAAAACTGCTCAATCAAAGGGAAGGTTCAACTCTGTGAGATGAATGCACATATCACACAGAAGTTTCCCAGAGTGCTTCTGTCTAGTTTTTATGTGAAAATATTTCCTTTTCCACCAGAAGACTCAAAGCACTCAAAATAACCACTGGCAGATTATACATAAAGAGAGTTTCAAAACTGCTCAATCTAAAGAAAGGTTCAACTCTGTGAGATGAATGCACACACCCCAAAGAAGTTTCTCAGAATGCTTCCGTCTAGTTTTTATGTGAAGGTATTTCCTTTTCCACCATAGGCCTCAAAGCCCTTCAAATATCCACTTGCAGATTCTGCAAAAAGAATATTTGAAAGCAGCTAAATCAAAAGAAATGTCCAACACTGTGAGATGAATGCACACATCACAAAGGAGCTTCTCAAAATACCTCTGTCTAGTTTTTATGTGAAGATATTTCCTTTTCCACCATAGGCTGCCAAGCGTTAAAAATATCCACTTGCAGATTCTACAAAAAGAGTGCTTCAAAACTGCTCAATTGAAAGTAGTTTGGAACTCTGTGAGATGAATGCACACATCACAAAGAAGTTTGTCGCAATGATTCCGTCTAGTTTTTATGTGAAGATATTTCCTTTTCAACCTTAGGCCACAAAGCGAACTAAATGTCCACTTGCAGATTCTACAAAAAGAGTGTTTCAAAACTGCTCAATGAAAAGAAAGGTTCAACTCTGTGAGATGAATGCACACATCACAAAGAAGTTTCAGAGAATGCTTCTGTGTAGTTTTTATGTGAAGATATTTCCTTTTCCACCATAGGCCGCAAAGAGCTCCAAATGTCCACTTGCAGATTCTACAAAAAGAGGGTTTCAAAACTGCTCAATCAAAAGTAAAGTTCAACTCTGTGAGATTAATGCACACATCAAAAAGAAGTTTCTCACAATGCTTCCGTCTAGTTGTTATGTGAAGATATTTCTTTTTCCCTACTGGCCTCAGAGCACTCCAAGTATCCTTTTGCAGATTCTACAAAAAGAGTTTTTAAAAACTGCTCAATCAAAGGAGAGGTTCAACTCTGTGAGATGAATACACATATCACACAGAAGTTTCTCAGAATGCTTCTGTCTAGTTTTTATGTAAAAATATTTCCTTTTCCACCAGAAGACTCAAAGCACTCAAAATAACCACTGGCAGATTATACATAAAGAGTGTTTCAAAACTGCTCAATCTAAAGAAAAGTTCAACTCTGTGAGATGAATGCACACATCACAAAGAAGTTTCTCAGAATGCTTCTGTCTAGTTTTTATGTGAAGGTATTTCCTTTTCCACCATAGGCCTCAAAGCCCTTCAAATATCCACTTGCAGATTCTGCAAAAAGAATATTTGAAAGCAGCTAAATCAAAAGAAATGTCCAACACTGTGAGATGAATGCACACATCACAAAGGAGCTTTTCAAAATGCCTCTGTCTAGTTTTTATGTGAAGATATTTCCTTTTCCACCATAGGCTGACACACGTTAAAAATATCCACTTGCAGATTCTACAAAAAGAGTGTTTCAAAACTGCTCAATCAAAAGAAAGGTTCATCTCTGAGACATGAATGCACACATCACAAAGGAGTTTCTCAGAAGGCTTCTGTCTAGTTTTTATGTGAAGATATTTCCTTTTCCACTATAGGCCACAAAGCGCTACAAATATCCACTTGCAGATTCTACAAAAAGAAATTTTCCAAACTCCTCAATCAAAAGAAAGTTTAAACCCTGTGAGTTGAATGCACACATCACAAAGAAGTTTCTCAGAATGCTTCTGTCTAGTTTTTAATTGAAGATACTTCCTTTTCCACCACTGGGCTCAAAGCACTCCAAGTATCCACTTGCAGATTCTACAAAAAGAGTGTTTCCAAACTGCTCAATCAAAACAAAGTTTCAACTCTGTGAGATGAATGCACACACCCCAAAGAAGTTTCTCAGAATGCTTCTGTCTAGTATTTATTTGAAGATATTTCCTTTTCCACAATAGGCCTCAAACCGTTCCAAATATCCACTTGCAAATACTAGAAAAAGATTGTTTCAAAACTGCTCAATCAAAAGAAATCTTCAACTATGTGAGTTGAATGCACACATCACAAAGAACTTTCTCAGAACTCTTCTGTGTAGTCTTTATTTGAAAATATTTCCTTTTCCACCACAGGCCCCAAACTGATCTAAATATCCACATGCAGATTCTTCAAAAGAAGTGTTTCAAAACTGTTCAATCAAAAGAAAGGTTCAATTCTGTGAGATGAATGCACACATCAGAAAGAAGTTTCTCAGAAGGCTTTTGTGTAGTTTTTATGTGAAGATGTTTCCTTTTCCACCATAGGCCTCAAATCGCTCCCAATGTCCACTTGCAGATTCTACAGAAAGAGTGTTTCAAAGCTGCTCAATCAAAAGAAATGTTCAGCTCTGTGAGATGAATGCACGCATCACAAAGAAGTTTCTCAGAATGCTTCTGTCTAGTTTTTAAGTGAAGATATTTCCCTTTCCTCTAGAGGTCCCAAAGCCCTCCAACTTTGCAGATACTACAAAAGGAGTGTTTCAAAACTGCTCAATCAAAAGAATATTTCAACTCTGTGTGTTGAATGCACATATCACAAAGAAGTTTCTCAGAATGCTTCTGTCTAGTTTTTATGTGAAGATATTTCCTTTTCCACCATAGGCCCCAAAGCGCTCAAAATATCCACTTGCAGATTCTACAAAAAGAGTGTTTCAAAACTGCTCAATCAAGAGAAACGTTCAACTCTGTGAGATGAATGCACAGATCACAGAGGAGTTTCTCAGAATGCTTCTGTCTGGTTTTGATGTGAAGATATTTACTTTCCACCACAGGCTGTAAAGCGTTCCAAATATCCACTTGCAGACACTACAAAAAGAGTGTTTCAAAAGTGCTAAATCAAAAGAAAAGTTCAACTCTGTGAGGTGAATGCACACATCACAAAGAAGTTACTCAGAATGCTTCTTTCTTGTCTTTATGTGAAGATATTTCCTTTTCCATTCAGAACCTCATAGCAGTGTTCTGTAATCCTGTGTGAGGGACAAACACTCAGAATCCAGCCACTGTGTACTGGAATCCTATCTGAGGGCACACATTTAAAATCCAGATATAGTCTCCTTGCTTTAGTGAATACACTTATCTCCTTTTCCTGCTATACATTGAGGCAAATTATTTTTCTGTATCTTAAATAAATGGTAAATACCTGAAATTTCTTACTTTTTCCAGGCAGAGTGTCTTCACTATTTAGCTGTAGAAGTATAGCTATTTTTGTCTGTGTCATAATTTTGTACTCAGGAACCCTGGCCATGTCACTAGCCAAACGGACATAACTTATGGATTACATGGACAGCAACCGGTTGATACGCTCTAGAGAAAAATAGCAGCTACCATAGACTTCAGGAAAGACATATCGAGCAAATGACAAAAATGTGGGTTTCCTACCTTCAGGGAGTCTAAGAATGCAGTAGAAAGTGATGTGGAGCAAACATCTTTCAAATGGAAGGAAGGGATAGGGAAAGGAAGACTGTTAGAGGCTCTTCTGAATGTTAGAGGCAACATAAAACATATTTGGGTGTGTATTCCAAATAAAATGCAAATGTCAAGAATGATGTCAGCTGTGAGTGGGACTCAGAGAAAGAGAAATGCTTTGGACTACAGAGGCCTGCAGTACAAGTGGATCTACAATTTTGTTTAGGGAATCCAATGCCTCAGGTATCTATGAGAGGCAGAATTTTCCTACGGAGCCAGCGGCAAGGCTCCAGAGGAGAAATACAGTAGAAGCCACTTTATTTTGGAGTAAAAGCCTTTTGTACAAAAATTACCCACCCCCCTCCTTTTTTGAGAAACAATTTCACATTGGGATACTAATAAGAAGGAAGGCTCAATCATGAATAAGGGTGACCCCATTGTGATCTGAGCATTATAGGATCATACTAACTACAACCAGTCTTCCATCATTCCATGGATATTGCATGTATGCCACGTTGCCTTCTCAGTTTCCAAGGGATCAATTAATGAACAGGCTACTCACATTTTCAGCATCCTACTCCTGACACACTCCCACCCTTCTTTCTGTTTATCTGTGATTCATAGAGATTTGCCTATGACTGGATTCCTGAGGAGAAAAAAGTCTGGATTACAGATGGCATTCCTTGTTATGGAAGGCCCTTCCTTCTGAAAGTCTATTTCTATCATGTTCTTTCCCTGTGCTGTCAAAGGGTCACCCCTTTGTACAGAGGAGAAGAGAAATCCATCAAGTAAATAAAATTTCATTTACCTTTGTAAAAATTATTTCTACCAATTCACCTGGAGGACCTTATGGTTTGGTCCAATAATCAGAGATTTGAAAGAACCTGATATTGTTGGCCAGCAGATTAGAAAAGAGTTATTAGAGAGAGATGGCTCAAGTGATAATAATTGTATGCCTTGTGAATGCTCACCTAAACCAAAGATCACTGAAGATAATGTATTTTACCATAATGTTTTAATCTCAGGTAAATGCCAATCAAGAGACAAACACTTGTTTATCTCCTGATTGATATTGATCTGAATTAAGCTGTCTGCCATTTGGAGAAATTTAAATGCTATTTTAAACACACAGTCTTGTTACTTGAGTTATTTATGATCTTAAGGGGCTCCCCTCCTTTTGTGGGTTAGATTGTGTCTTCAAAAAGAAAATATATATATTAGAGTTCTAGCCCCTGATGTCTGTGAGTATGACTTAATTTGAAATCAAATTATTTGCAGATGCTGTATAATTATGATATGCTAGATGAGCTCATAATGCATTAGAGTGGGCCATAATTCAATATGGTTGATATCCTCATAAGAAGGGAAGAGGAAACAGAGACGCAGGGAGGAGATGGCCATGGGAGGATGGAGGTAGAGAATAAAGTGAGGTATCCTCCAGCCAAGCAATGACAATGAAGCTCAGTGATCACCCGGTGCTAGAAGAAGCAAGAAAGGATTTTTTCCCAGGTCCTTCAGAGAAAAATGCAGCACTGCTAACTCCTTCATTTAAGATTTCTAGCTTCCTGAACCGTAAAAGAACAACTTTATCTCATTTTAAGCGACCTAATGTGAACCACTTTGTCACAGCAGATGTAGGAAATTACACCTCCTTAAAGAATGCAGAATCCTGGCCCGTGCTTGCCTCATACTTATTGAATGAGAATCTAAGGGCTCTAGAATCTGCATTTGGAAACAAATACATAATACACAAAGAGAACTCACTAAGTACTCTACATGCACTTCATCCTCACAAGCCATGAAGTAGTTTACTATTATAATTCTCATTTTGCATATGGGAAACTGGAGCATTAAAAGATTAAGTAATTTGCCTACAGTCACTCACATAACCAGAAAGTGGAAGAGCTGGGATTCAATCCCAGTTCCAGACATCCTGATATCCTGGGTTCAGACACCACACACTTAGCAACTATTACACACTTAGCATTATTATTATTATTGTTATTATTATTATTATTTTAATCACCATCTCCACCTTCTTAAGCACTCAAAAGTTGAAATCCAGTGGTGTGTTGCTGTTTCCATCATAGCAAGTTATAGCCACAATCATAAATTACACTTCCTCCAAAGCAGTATACTGACTTCTCATCTCTTTTTAAAATCCCTTCCGTCCTTCTTTTCTTTCTTCTCTTCTCTTTTCTTTCTCTTGCTCTGTCACCCAGGCTGGAGTGCAGTGGCATCATCTTGGCTTACTGCGACCTCCACCTCCCGGGTTCAAGTGATTCTCCTGTCTCAGCCTCCCAAGTAGCTAGGATTACAGGCGCCCAACACCATGCTCGTTTAATTTTTGTATTTTTAGTAGAGATAGGGTTTCACATCTTGGCCAGGCTGGTCTTGAACTGCTGATGTCGTGATCCATCCACCTCGGCCTCCCAAAGTGCTGGGATTACAGGCATGAGCCACTGTGCCCAGCCTCTTTCACCCATTGAAATCTCATTCCAACAATTACCATCTTTTTTGAGTGGTATTTTTGAAGTTATAAATGAATTCCCTATAATACATAGTGAGAATATTTATGGGAGCTTCCTAATTCACCTTTCTAAACATTCTGCATTGCTTCTCATTTCCTTCTTTAAATTTCCTTCTACCTTGGCTTCCTTAAGACCACTCAATGTTGGCCCCATGCTTTCATTTTTTTCTTTTTTCTTTTTTTTTTCTTTCTTTTTTTTCTTTTTTCTTTTTTTTTTTTTTGAGACGAAGTTTCCCTCTTTTCACCCAGGCTGGAGTGCAACAGTGTGATCTCAGCTCACTGTAACCTCCGCCTCCCAGGTTCAAGAGACTCTCCTGCCTCAGCCTCCCGAGTAGCTGCGATTACAAGCATGTGCCACCATGCCCAGCTAATTTTGTATTTTTAGTAGAGATGGGGTTTCTTCATGTTGGTCAGGCTGGTCTCAAACTCCCAACCTCAGGTGATCCGCCAGCCTCGGCCTCCCAAAGTGCTGGGATTACAGGCATGAGCCACAATGCCCAGCCCATGCTTTCTTTTTAATAACTCCTTGCTGCCTAGTTTTTTCATGTCCACTGTGTAAGTACTAGTCTTAATGGGTATTTCTTTTCTTACTATTCTGCACCAATGTTTCCCTGATTGACAAGAGTTTTCCTGAAATGTATTCTTGGAATGGAATTCTATGATACGCTTAGAAAATTCTGCATACCTTATACTTCAGAATTTGTATGTAAAAGACTCCAGTAAATGATGCAGGGAAGCAAAAATATTTGTGTGTTTTGCGAGTTGTATTCATATGCGTATAAAATTCCCACAGCACTTTAGGTAACAATGCTCTGCACACTTTTCCTGTGCTCCTTTTATCCATTCCCACACTTCCAGCATTTCCTTTGACGTTTGATTTTCTTTCTTTATTTTTTTTACTCCAATATTTTCCTGTAGGTTCCAAACCTATATTTTGAAATGTCAACTGATTCTCCCCCTCTGTCTTCACCACCTACATCTCAAATTTGACATAGCCATAAACACATTTTATATTTTGGCAAATAAATCTATTTCTTTTAAAGCATTGCCCATCTCAGCTAATGATGATAATATCAAGCCAGTCGCCAAGAAAATTTAGAGTATATATACCTTGACTCTTCCTTCTAAATGAATTATTAAGTTCAGCTGTTTCTACCTTGAATTACCTTTCTATTCTGCCATTTCTCTTCTGTGTTGCTGCTAATGTTTTTATTTAGTCATTCATCACATCATGCCTGTACTGCTGGAATAATCTTGACTATTCTTTCTGACTTTTTCTTCTAACTGCATCTCAAAAACTTCTATCTAGAATGAAAATAAGTATATATATATACTATATATACATATATACATACACACTACATGTATGTATATAGTATAAGTATAGACATGCTATATACTATATATATATGCTATATATTTATATACACACACACCCACTATGTTTTTAAAAATTGTTTACTTATGTCCCATCATTGAAGGGTAAAATACAAAATCACTGATATTGAGAGACATTCTCCTCAATCATTTAACATTTTCCTTCACAAACCTGTGCTGTAGCCACACCCAGAACAGGTTATGTTCCTTCAAAGACACACACACTTTTCTATTACTCTCCTTTTATTCCTTCTATTCCATCTGCTTAGACCATTTTTTACTTGTTTTCTGTCTATCTTCATTCATTTTTCAGGATCCAATTAAAATATTGATACAAAGGCTGAGATCTTTATATCTTCTCTTATTTAAATTCCTGGAGCACCAGATAACTTCCTCTATTATAATTCTTACAGTATGCAACCATAACTCTCATTTGAAAACAATGAATACATAATTATAAAATCAGATATATCATAAAATGATTGGTATCAATATGTGAAAAAAAATCTTCAATGTTGAAAATACAAGATTACAAGCCATCTGAAAGTAACTAAACATCTATCAGAGAAAAATGTTCATCATTTTTTGATGAAACCAAAAGTAAGAGAATTTGGTATTAATCTACTACATCATTGGTAAATTACATATTAATTATTGTGAGAAAGAAATAATTGATGGAATTTAAAGAAAATCGGTTTTCCTTTATTTTTATTATTCTACCTAAAAGTATTATATCTAATTAAAATAATGATTTTAAAATTATCCTATCAAGTATGTCATCACACTAAAATCCATTGTATTTAATTTCTCAACTGAGAAATTGTATTCAATTGTATTCAATTTCTCTACTGAAAAATTAATATGAAAGCAATCACATAGCATTCAGAAATTAATAAATGTTTAAAGAAATTAAACAGCATTAGATTTTCTTGTTAAATTTTTTTCTTCTCTCAGTATGGCTTATGTCTCATTGCTTCTATTGAACACAGCACAATTCAAGTATTAATAGAGCGCCTTTATAAAAGTTGTGAATCTCAGAAATGAACAAGCTTACCTCCCTAGCTATTTATTAAAAGTTACAAGTCACTTTTTTTTAACTTCCTAATAATCTTAGAGGGGTATATTTTGTGTTTTTGTTTGCTATATCTTTTATAAAGAAGATCTCTAATGATTTGAAAGTTAGAACCAATTTTCTGAAGGATTGAGCCACGCTCCTTGAACTTGTGTGTTTGTGGGTGGCACACTATGTCTTTTGCAGACCCGGTACCTACCCCTTGGTCTAGAACATATTTTCCTCCACCTGCCTTTTAAGTTTTTATTTCAGCAGGGGTGGGTGGTTTGTGGTTGACCGAAAATAGAACGGGTTACAAAAGCCCTTCCTGTTTGATATTGAATCTGCTATTTGAGTCACCCTTACATTATGAACTGACTGTTAATTAACACATTTGGTAAGAGAATATCCTGATCTGCTTTGCATGTGAGGCTCTCCCAGTAATAAACAAAGAAGCATAATTAAACAAGATTTTAATTTCTCTATGCCCTGTTAGAAATTCAGATACAATTCAAGTCATCTTGGAAATTTTAAGTTGCATTCCGATGTCGCCTCTGTTCTGACCATTGTGCAATGGGCCTTCAACTGTTGTAGTAGAGGCCAACTGATATTCCTTTTTTATTCATTTATACACAGGTATATATATGGTGTGTGTATGCAAATATATATGTAAATATTCATATATGTGTACATGTGTACATACATACATATGGAGATAATACAAGTTTGCATTGTATTTAAAATTTTTTTACCCAAATTAACAATGACTCTACTGTATATCTTTATTGGTTATATCACGTTTATATAAATAAATTTATATAAGTGAGAATTTTCAAGTAAGTGAAATTTGAATTGGATTCAGGGTTTTATTTTTTTGAAATTTCTGAATTAAAATTACTTGATTTTTTAAAATTTTATCTTAAAATATTCAAGACCCATTTGTAAAAAAAAAAATACAGGATAAAAATGAAGTGTGTCTTTATGAGTTACAAATTTTTATTTTACTTTAATAATTGTTAAAATAATATTTTTTCCATGAGGCATTTTATAATGCCCTCTTTATTTATTTATTTTTTTGGTGAAGTACTTATTTTATTATTATTATTATTATTATTATTATTATTATACTTTAAGTTTTAGGGTACATGTGCACAATCTGCAGGTTAGTTATATATGTATACATGTGCCATGCTGGTGCACTGCACCCACTAACTTGTCATCTAGCATTAGGTATATCTCCCAATGTTATCCTTCCCCCCTCCCCCCGCCCCACAACAGTCCCCAGAGTGTGATGTTCCCCTTCCTGTGTCCATGTGTTCTCATTGTTCAATTCCCACCTATGAGTGAGAACATGCAGTGTTTGGTTTTTTGTTCTTGCAATAGTTTACTGAGAATGATGATTTCCAATTTCATCCATCTCCCTACAAAGGACATGAACCCATCATTTTTTATGGCTGCATAGTATTCCATGGTGTATATGTGCCACATTTTCTTAATCCAGTCTATCATTGTTGGACATTTGGGTTGGTTCCAAGTCTTTGCTATTGTGAATAATGCCGCAATAAACATACGTGTGCATGTGTCTTTATAGCAGCATGATTTATAGTCCTTTGGGTATATACCCAGCAATGGGATTGCTGGGTCAAATGGTATTTCTAGTTCTAGATCCCTGAGGAATTGCCACACTGACTACCACAGTGGTTGAACTAGTTTACAGTCCCACCAACAAAGTAAAAGTGTTCCTATTTCTCCACATCCTCTCCAGCACCTGTTGTTTCCTGACTTTTTAATGATTGCCATTCTAACTGGTGTGAGATGGTATCTCATTGTGGTTTTGATTTGCATTTCTCTGATGGCCAGTGATGATGAGCATTTTTTCATGTGTTTTTTGGCTGCATAAATGTCTTCTTTTGAGAAGTGTGTTCCTGTCCTTTGCCCACTTTTTGATGGGGTTGTTTTTTTCTTGTAAATTTGTTTGAGTTCATTGTAGATTCTGGATATTAGCCCTTTGTCAGATGAGTAGGTTGTGAAAATTTTCTCCCATTTTGTAGGTTGCCTGTACACTCTGGTGGTAGTTTCTTTTGCTGTGCAGAAGCTCTTTAGTTTAATTAGATCCCATTTGTCAATTTTGGCTTTTGTTGCCATTGCTTTTGGTGTTTTAGACATGAAGTTCTTGCCCATGCCTATGTCCTGAATGGTAATGCCTAGGTTTTCTTCTAGAGTTTTTATGGTTTTAGGTTGAACGTTTAAGTCTTTAATCCATCTTGAAATGATTTTTGTATAAGGTGTAAGGAAGGGATCCAGTTTCAGCTTTCTACATATGGCTAGCCAGTTTTCCCAGCACCATTTATTAAAGAGGGAATCTTTTCCCCATTGCTTGTTTTTCTCAGGTTTGTCAAAGATCAGATAGTTGTAGATATGCGACGTTATTCCTGAGGGCTCTGTTCTGTTCCATTGATCTATATCTCTGTTTTGGTACCAGTACCATGCTGTTTTGGTTACTGTAGCCTTGTAGTATAGTTTGAAGTCAGGTAGTGTGAAGCCTCCAGTTTTGTTCTTTTGGCTTAGGATTGACTTGGTGATGCGGGCTCTTTTTTGGTTCCATATGAACTTTAAAGTAGTTTTTTTCCAATTCTGTGAAGAAAGTCATTGGTAGCTTGATGGGGATGGCATTGAATCTGTAAATTACCTTGGGCAGTATGGCCATTTTCACGATATTGATTCTTCCTACCCATGAGCATGGAATGTTCTTCCATTTGTTTGTATCCTCTTTTATTTCCTTGAGCAGTGGTTTGTAGTTCTCCTTGAAGAGGTCCTGCACATCCCTTGTAAGTTGGATTCCTAGGTATTTTATTCTCTTTGAAGCAATTGTGAATGGGAGTTCACTCATGATTTGGCTCTCTGCTTGTCTTTTCTTGGTGTATAAGAATGCTTGTGATTTTTGTGCATTGATTTTGTATCCTGAGACTTTGCTGAAGTTGCTTATCAGCTTAAGGAGATTTTGGGCTGAGACAATGGGGTTTTCTAGTTATACAATCATGTCATCTGCAAACAGGGACAATTTGACTTCCTCTTTTCCTAATTGAATACCCTTTATTTCCTTCTCCTGCCTGATTGCCCTGGCCAGAACTTCCATCACTATGTTGAATAGGAGTGGTGAGAGAGGGCATCCCTGTCTTGTGCCAGTTTTCAAAGGGAATGCTTCCAGTTTTTGCCCATTCAGTATGATATTGGCTGTGGGTTTGTCATAGATAGCTCTTATTATTTTGAAATACGTCCCATCAATACCTAATTTATTGAGAGTTTTTAGCATGAAGGGTTGTTGAATTTTGTCAAAGGCCTTTTCTACTTCTATTGAGATAATCATGTGGTTTTTGACTTTGGTTCTGTTTATATGCTGGATTACATTTATTGATTTGCATATATTGAACCAGCCTTGCATCCCAGGGATGAAGCCCACTTGATCGTGGTGGATAAGCTTTTTGATGTGCTGCTGGAATCGGTTTGCCAGTATTTTATTGAGGATTTTTGCATCAATGTTCATCAAGGATATTGGCCTAAAATTCTCTTTTTTGGTTGTGTCTCTACCCATATAATGCCCTCTTTAAAGCCTCAAAATCTCAAATGCAGAAAGAATGACTTTTAAATATCCTACATATTTAAGCCATTTATTTTATACAACAATCCCATAGATGCAAAGCTACTACTAATAAACAAATAACCTAAGCCGAATTAAATAAAAGTATACAAAAAAAAATTATCCGTCTCTGGTGGTGGATGCCTGTAATCCCAGTTACTCATGAAGCTGAGGCAGGAGAATTGCTTGAACTCAGGAGATGGCGGTTGAAGTGAGCCGAGATCCTGCCACTGCACTCCAGCTTGGACGACAGAGCGAGACTGTCTCAAACAAAAAATAAAAAAAAGAAAAGAAAATAAAAGAAAGAAAGAAATTACTTCTTTTACACTTGCTCTTCTGTGTTTAGTTTCGAAATTATCATCTTCATGCAAAGTAGCATAGTGCCTGGCAGATAGAAAAAGTTAGCTATTATTTATTTATTTATTTATTTATTTATTCATTTATTTATTTGAGATGGAGTCTTGCTGTGTCTCCAGGCTGCACTGCAGCGGCACAACCTTGGCTCATTGCAACCTCTGCCTCCCGAGTTCAAGCAGTTCTCTTGTCTCAGCCTCCTGAGTAGCTGGGATTACAGGCATGCACCACCACGCCAAGCTAATTTTTTTTTAAATTTTATTTTTTAAGTAGAAATGGGGTTTCACCATTTTGGCCAAAATGGTCTATGTCTCTTGACCTTCTGATCTGCCCGCCTCTGCCTCCCATGGTGCTGGGATTACAGGCGTGAGCCACTGCACCCAGCTGCTAGCTATTATTTCTAATCCTTTGCCATGCTAAGGTATAATCTTCCCAAATCCGGAAGTAATTTTATAACTTCAGCTAATTGCAGTGATAAATTATTGAAATATTTTCCTAAAGAAAATACACAAATGAAACCTTAAAAATACAAGGACTGGGCCGCGCACGGTGTCTCATGCCCCTAATTCCAGTACTTTGGGAGGCTGAGCTGGGTGCATCACCTGAGGTCAGGATTTCGAGACAAGCCTAGCCAACATGGCGAAACGTCGTCTCTACTAAAAATACAAAAATTAGCTGTGCATGGTGGTGGGCGCCTGTAATCCCAGCTAATCGGGAGGCTGAGGCAGGAAAATTGCTTGAACCTGGAGGCTGAGGTTGAAGTGAGGCTAGATCTCACTGCTGGACTGCAGCCTGGGGCAACAGAGCAAAAACTGTCTAAGAAAAAAAAAAAGGCTGGGCGTGGTGGCTCATGCCTGTGATCCCAGCAATTTGGGAGGCCACGGCGGGCAGATCACGAGGTCAGGAGATGGAGACCATCCTGGCTAACACAGTGAAACCCCGTCTCTACTGAAAATGCAAAAAATTAGCCGGGCATGGTGGCGGATGCCTGTAGTCCCAGCTACTCAGAAAGCTGAGGCAGGAGAATGGTGTGAACCCGGGAGGCAGAGCTTGCAGTGAGCCAAGATCGCGCCACTTCACTCCAGCCTGGGCGACAGAGGGAGACTCTGTCTCAAAAAAAAAAGAAGAAAGAAAGAAAGAAAGAAAGAAAGAAAGAAAGAAAGGAAGAAAGAAAGATGAAGGTATAGTAAATTATGAAAGAGAAAAAGAGAGAATAAGCATCTTCAACAAGAAAAATGAAAATAATAAAAACTATACAATTGGAAAACAATAACTCTTGTTAAAATATTTTACATGTCATATTGTAAATAAGACACCCTCAGTGTATGCAGAAATGATTACACTAGTATAGGAAACAACTGTCATTGTAGATACATAAACTAGAGAAATGCGAATCAGAAATAAGTTTATCAACTAGAAGAGAGAAGAAATTTTTGTTTGAGTAAATCTACTGTCTATAATTTAAAAATACACAATGGTATTTCTTTCATTAAATAGCTTTATTTAAATATAAAAATAAAAGCTTATACATAGGCCAGAAGAAATATTGCTGGTTTATAATAAGGTTCATAGGAACTAAAACAGGTAATTAGATAAGACAGTGTGTAAATAATTATGTTATTTTAGTAAAAATATCCAACACTGTACCTTTCAAATAAAAATATACTTTTTTAAAGGTCAACAAAAAGTTATTGTGCTTCAAATTTTAACATTTATCCTCCAAGTGAAATTACTATAAGAAGAAACAACTAACCTATAAATAAATAATCGACTTTTTGGAAAAGTTAACAAACCTCTCTACACACAATATAATTAAGAAAGATAATAAGAAACATATATAATTTCAAGATTTTCAATTTTTTTTTTACTAAGCCAGAGAAGATAAATGAGTTAATCATTCATGTCAGTAAGTAAATACAGGATCAAAAAACATACCTAATGGAAGGACATTAATAACGAAAAGTAAAAATTATAATCTAGAAAATGAAAGATATAAATTGATTCATAAATGGATAAGACTTTTTTTGAAGAAATCATTTCAAACTAGAATAAGCAAGAGGAATAGATCAAAACAAAAAGGAAAACAGTGAAGGTGATATACACATCCTCTTACTGAAAATTAATTTTAAAGAACTGCTTTGTAAACACTAAAACTCAGAGTCATCAATGTGTCTGGATATGGATTCATTTTTATTTCTTCTGCCCAGCACTTGTTTTATACTTTAAATTAGAGTCCTCAAGTCTTTCCTCTGCAATGGAAATTTTATGGCATCATGTAAAGTATACAAATAGTGAAGGCATTGCCAGTGTTTTCTTGTGTATAAGTATTCTCTACCATTAGAATGGAAACGTCATCAAAGTGGGCCCTTAGTGAGTGTTTGCTGAGTGGATGAATACTGTCCTTAAATATGGCTTCTCCATTCTCTTTGGACTCTTTTTGAAATTCCTATCATACATGTGTTGGGGACTTTCTTGACTGGTCTTTCTGACTTTTAAATCCTTTTATCTGGATAAATTCATCATTATCTCCCAATTGACTAATTCTTTGTGTTTATTGCATTTACACTTCTTTTTTATATAATTTTCACTTCTAGAGATTTTAATTTTTTTTTCCTTTTTTGAGATGGAGTCTTGCTCTGTCACCCAGGCTGAAGTGCAGTGGCATGATCTCGGTTCACTGCAACCTCCTACTCCTGGGTTCAAGTGACTCTCCTCCTGCCTCAGCCTCCTCTCCTGCTTCAGCCTCCTGAGTGGCTGGAATTACAGGCAAGCGCCACCACACTCGGCTAATTTTTGAATTTTTAGTAGAGACGGGGTTTCATTATGTTGGTCAGCCTGGTCTAGAACTCCTGATATCATGATCCACACGCCTCAGCCTACCAAAGTGCTGGGATTACAGGTGTGAGCCACCACGCCTGGCTGCTTTTAATTTTTTATATCAATCTTTACTTTGTTCTTTTTTGCCTGCTTTTTTTTTTTTTCCCAGAGTCTTACTCTGTTGCCCCGGGCAGAGTGCAATGGCGTGATCTCTGCTCACTGCAATCCCCCAGAGTTCTATCAATTCTCTTACCTCAGCCTCTGGAGTAGCTGGGATTGCAGGCACCCGCCACCATTCCCAGTTATGGTTTCGCCATGTTGGCCAGGTTGGTCTTGAAGTCCTGACCTCAGGTGATCCACCCACCTTGGCCTCCCAAAGTGTTAGGATTACAGGCGTAAGCCACTACGCCTGGACTTTTGCCTGTTTTTATTTATATATATATATATATATTTTTTTTTTTTTTTTGAGATGGAGTCTACCTCTGTCGCCCAGGCTGGCGTGCAGTGACGCGATCTCAGCTCACTGCCAGCTTTGCCTCCCAGGTTCACGCCATTCTCCTGCCCCAGCCTCCCGAGTAGCTGGGTCTACAGGTGCCCGCCACCATGCTGGGCTAATTTTTTTGTATTTTTATTAGAGAGAGGGTTTCACTGTGTTAGCCAGGATGGTCTTCATCTCCTGACCTTGTGATCCACCCAACTCGTCCTCCCAAAGTGCTGGAATTACAGGAGTGAGCCACCACACCAGGCGTCTGTTTTTATTTTTAAGTCTTCGATTCTTTTTGATGAATTTTATTCTTTTTTTTGGCAGAGGCTCACTCTGTTGCCCAGGTTGGAGTACAATGATGCCATCTTGGCTCACTACAAAGTCTGCCTCCTGGGGTCAAGCAGTTCTTCTGCCTCAGCTTCTTGAGTAGCTGGGATTACATGCACCCACCACCGTGCCCTGCTAATTTTTGAATTTTTAGTAGAGATGGGGTTTCACGGTGTTTGCCAGGCTGGTCTTGAACTCCCGACCTCAGATGACTTACCCATCTCAGCCTCCCAAGGTGCTGGGATTACAGGCGTGAGCCACCATGCCTGGCCCTGGATGTTTTCTTCTTAAAAAGCCAGTTGAGAATTCTAAGTGTACTCACTTAAAAGGAAAATTTAGTTTGCTATAATATTTCTCATATTTGCTGTGGTGAATTCATCTCTAGGAGGTTTCTTTGTATAATTATTTCATTATCTCTCTAATAGTTAATTCTCCACATGTTTTGTAATATTTTTGCACACTCAACTTGAATGAGAAGTTCTCTACATGTCATAGTCATATAACAAACAGAATTCACCTTCCTTCGCCACTAATCACACTTCTGTATATTCAATAAAATGTGCATTTCTTCATGGATACTCTTTGAATCATCTAAATGGAGACTCTTTATAGAAATATTGAATCATTAATTCTTCCAACTACTGTACTCCTTTCCAACATACTGTCTTACTGATTTTTCACTTTTTCCTATTTATATCCATTTTGTTCTACTAACCCGTCTGTCATTGGCCTTCTTCTATAGCCAACCTCAAATTTCAGTTCACAGTAGCTGTGAACAGCACTCAAATTGCTGCTGTATTCTTAAAATAGAAATTTACTTCATAAAGCAAAAGTGAATTATATGTGTGTTACAAAAAATATTCCTAGCAGAGATAAGATGGGATGGTATTTGCTGGGATGTGCAGCATCGTTTTTTCCAAATTAATTTCTATCAGAATTCTCTCCTTCCTACTGCCAGGCAGAGCTCACCACTCACATGTCATGAATGACATTTTTAGTCATTTTTCATCTTATCTGATCATATGACTTGAGTTAATGTTTAGATCTGCTAAGGGCAAACACCACCATGGAATTAAATTTGCAAGAGGGAAGAAGGAGGAAGCAGGAGAAGGTGGGTAGAGTCTTCAGACTAGGGTGCAGATCGTACACCTGTAGAGGGAAAGAGGGAAGGAAGGCTGATTGGGGTAGAAAGAGACTGCAGCATGGTTCCAAGAATGCTTTGGCCTAGGTCACTGCGGACTCCTTAAATTAAAATTACTCATTGGAGACTCTCACAACTCACTGGAAACGTCCTCACATACAATCCCCATGTAGCTCTATGACTGTTGGAAACATGACTGCTGCACAAGTGTAGAAGTGCTTCCAGAGACAGAGGGCTAAAGCCAGGCTGTCGCTGACTTATGCTGTCTGAGTCAGGATATCTGCACTGCAAATTTCCTTGGTCATTAAAATCCATTATCCCCACCTCCTAACCCCACCACAGCACACACATATTTGTCCAAACAGGTTCTTCATACCAGCTCTTCCAAAATTCCCATGATCCTCTCTTTTCCAAGAGGAATCTTAGAAAAGAAAGGTTAATGAGACCAAGTCTAGCCCATGCTATAGCAGTTGGTCTCAGAACTGCCTTTGAATGCCCAGTTGTGTGAGGGGGAGAGAAAGAGAGAGAGAGAGAGTATGGTAGTGGGGAGTGTGTGTGTGTGTGTGAGTGTGTGTGTGTGAGAGAGAGAGAGAGAGAGAAATTATCTCTGCTTCTTTTGTAGAAAAGTAGCCCTACCTCCTCCTGCTAATCAGGGTGTATTCATCCTGCCCCAGTGGTGACGTATTTCTTGTCTTTTGGTTACTGGACCTAAGGAATCTAAAGCACCCAACAGATAACCTTCTTTAGAGAGCAGGACTTGCCTGCCTTCCAGATCCCAGAGCTGCAGTGATGAGAAGCACAGGAAAACCTGAGAAGATTATTGGGAGCATTTGTAATTAGGGACATTCCTGTTTCTACCTCTTGTTTTCTGAACCTGTAGATTCTTCCTATGGCACAAGAGCTACTATATAAAGATTTGTGATAGAATATGTATAAAAGATGGTGCCCCCTGCATTCAGAATGTCTCCTTTAGCATAGTGCCTCAGTTGCATCTTTAGAATGTTTTTCCAGGGCTCCATGAGTCTAGCTGCTTCTTGAAGAGTGTATGTAATACAAATAGTAGATTATATGGTCATGGACCCACTTCTGCCCATCCTTTGCTGTGAACAAGGAACCCTGGTCAGATGCTATAACATGTGGGATTTTATGCCTGTGGATCAGGAATTCTGGAAGCCTCAGAAAAGTGGTCCTGGCTCAGGCTCTGTGAACAGAATTGCCAAACCCAGCCCTGGAATAAGGATATATCCCTCTGAGGATGAAAAGGTGGTCATTCAAGGTCAAAAGACTTGCCATATAAGAGTCTCATTATTGATGTATGCTGTTGAAAAGTAGGACAGTCAGAGGCAGCAGTAGTTAGATCAACCTTGATACATAGAAGTCCAGGCTGTGGGGCCCATATGTATTGTCCATCTCTGCCAACATGGTCATATGAGTGACTGCATATGTGTGACTGTTGTGCTTGTTGTGGAAAAGCCAATCTCCAAGGCTGGCAGCTTGTCAAGTCATTTTGTCTGATTGGTTATTGAGTGCCTCTTCTGTGATGAGTGCTTTCTTGTGAGTGTTAACATGCAATACAAGATTCTTTACACTCCGTGCCTGCTCCTGCATGTCCACTCATATGCTTCTAACCCAGCTTCCTTGTCTCAGATATTTCAGTTCTTTTCTATCTAAGCCTCTGACCAGAAGATTCACCCACTGACTATGGCAAAGAAATCTGTTTATATTCCTGCCTTAGGCCATGTTTCTTCTATGTAAAGTCAATGGCCAGGGCCACTGCTCCCAGTGCTGCTAATAGGGAATATTTTAATTTCCTTCTGTCTTTCAGAGTCATTCTTGCATTGGGCTGCAATGCAACTACACCTTTAAACAGAGATTGCCCCTTTCTCCCTCCTTCAGATGGCCACAGGGACACAAATGCAGTCACAGGTGTGAGCTGAAGGAAGGTTGCTGGTGCAAACATGATGGGTGACATGAGGATCTGGGTTACCTGCTATTCAACTTATCCACTTGCTCTCATCTTGCTTGGCCTTTGTCTCATATTTAGTATTTCCACCTCATGATGAACTACTTCTTTTCCCTTCTGGTATCATGACTTGGTGGTTCCAATAGAACTCAGCCTGCAAGAGGTAGCGCCAGAAGCATGGTAACTTATCAAGCACAGCATCTCCCCTTGTTCCAACATATAATTCTCTGCTATGGAGGGCATGGCTTTGTTTCAGAATCCCAGGAGCTGGTGTTGTAATTCTTTCACTGAGAATTGCCATGTGTGCCACACTGCAACCACCATTGACACCTGCAAGAATACAGGTCCTGCAAGATCTTATGACCCAAGCTGCAGGGCTGTTCACAAAGCAGCCTGGACATGCTGTGGAGCCCTGTACTGCCCTGTACTCTTCAAACCCTGTGGTCTTCCTATCTCCCTGACTTGTCTTGTGGCTTACTTGTGTTATGTTGCTTAGGGTTTCTTGAGTTTTGTGAGTTTGTATTTTTATAACTGTGTAGATATAGATGGATAAATATAGATATGGTCAGAGAGGAAGAGTAAGAGAGAAAGACAAAGAATTTTACAAAAGACTTTACTGGACATGTTTAAAAAAAATCAAACTCCACCTCTAATCCCAGAACTTTGGAAGGCCAAGGTGGGTGAATCACAAGGTCAGGAGATCGAGACCATCCTGGCTAACACGGTGAAACCCCGTCTCTACTAAAAATATACAAAAAAATAGCCAGGTGTGGTGGTGGGAGACTGTAGTCCCAGCTACTCAGGAGGCTGAGGCAGGAGAATGGCGTGAACCCAGGAGGCAGAGCTTGCAGTGAGCTGAGATCTTGCCACTGCACTCCAGCCTGGGTGACAGAGCGATAATCCATCTCCAAAAAAAAAAAAAATCAAACTCCATAGTGAGAAGTCAAACAACACAATAACAAAATGGGCAAGAGATTTGAGTAGACAACAATAACCAAAGATATATGAATGATCGATAAACACTGAAAAATGCATCATTAACCACCTGGGAGTGGAACTTAAAAATCAAAATGTAATAACACTGCACAGAAACTATAATGGATCCAGAAAGATGTCAATTCTGAATGTTTGAGAGGACATACAACACCCTGAATTATCATATTTAGGTGGGAGTATAAAGTGGAAAATCAGTTTGGATTGCAGTTTGGCAGTTAAACATACACTTACAATTTGACCTAGAATATTCCATTCTTACTCAAGAGAAATGAAAACATGTGCATACAAATGAACGTAGCAGCTTTACTTGTAATAATCAAGGAATAGAAACATTTGTAAATGGTTCACCAACAGGCTAAAGGATAAACATATTGTAGTATTTCCATACAATAGAATAAAATAGAAAGAACTGCTGATTTTGCAACGTAGGTGATCCTAAAATATATTGAGAGAATGAAACAACAGTAGGCATATTATAAAAGTTTATTATTACAAAATTCTAGAAACTGAATTTATAGTGGTAGGTTGCAGATCAATGGCTGCTTGGAGCCAGAGGTTTTGGTAAGGAGTACAAAAGAACTTTTGAGGCGATAGACAGCTTCAATATCTTCATTGGTGGTAGCCACATAACTTTATATGTTTGTACTTAATTTGGATGTATTTTATTGTATTGAAAGTAAACCTCAGTTAAGTTGACTTTTAAAATTTATTACATTCTAAAACATTAATTTGCTTCCATCCATTATATTTATTCACAAATTCTACAATAGTATGTTTTAGAAGACCTGTAATAGACACAGTAACTGGCATATTCATAAAGGAAATTTCCTTATGTAGGATAGTTTTTAGGGGAAATGCCTGAAACAAAAAAATCTCTATCTGCTTATCATAATTCACTGCATAAAAGATCTAAATGTGTAACTGGCAATCAGCTTTAGCTTTGATTATCTTTCATAGCAGCATGGATCAATTATGTTTACCCAGTTGGCTATCTCTCCATGCTAAACTCATATTGCATACATGCCTCTGAAATTCCAGTCATGTATAGTCTGTAATTTATACCTATATTACACAATTTGTATACTTTTCCACTTTAAAGGGGGGATTTATACCTGCAAAGGGACTTGACCTACAACTATCATCCAATTCTGTTCCAAATTTTGGATACTATGACTCTATTCTGGGAAATTATTCAATAGTTTTGTTTCATTTGACTCTTCCTACAGACATAATGTGTTGAAGTAAACCTGTTTTTTATGTTTGGAAAGTAACCTTTTGACGGGTGTTTTCTAGCTTTTGGAAAACATGTACTCGAAGCAGAAGTAATTTGTTGTTGAGGGAATAGAACCACAGCATTTCTGACCTAGGCAAATTGAAACCTTGTCATCCTTGATGACAAACATGACATGACACATGATTTCTTTTTTCAGGGAGTTCTTATGTAACATATTTTACCCCCAACTAGTTGGTATCATTCAAATCAAATTTTATAATTTTACTGTGTATTAGGATGCAGTTTTATAACTTCCAAAGCATCTTTACGCATATTTTTTCTCAAATAAATCCTACAGCAACTGTGTGAGATACTCAAAGGTGAGAATATTATCCCCATTTTACAACTAAGCAAACAGACTCCAAGATTTGTTAACTTTTTAGAACTGAAGTTTAGTCCACTATTTTATGTTATCAACCTTTGATTTGCTGTGCTATACCCACCAATTTAGAAAAAAAATTTACCCAAGGTTGTAACATATAATACAATTAATTTATTTTTTTTCTCTCCGCTTGAAAACAGAAACAGTGGTGATGATGGAGTATCTACTGATTATTTTGCTGGGACAAGTTGATGTCACTGAATTTATAAATTGAACTGAACTGATAACCTCAGTTACTTTGCCAAAATTCCTTCTTTTAATATTACATAAACTGTAGAATGCAGAAGAGGTACTTTTAATTTCTAATTATTTAAGTAGAGAAAGACTCAACACTTCCTTTTAGGCTCACACATAAAATTTCTGGTTGATACATCACCAGCGATTGTGTTTCAGCATGTATGTAAATGCAGCTTTCTGAATAGGCAAACTTACAGGAAATATGGACTATCATTGTATTTATATACAGCAGTATCTCAGACATCATTCCAAAAACTAAAGGACAACGAGGAAATATTTCCAAAAGCCATATTACAGTGCTTTGGGGGAGGTAAAAGAGAGAATGCTGCAATATGTTTTCCTGTTTGACTCAAGCTACATTCTAGGAGATATTTTAAAAAGTGAATAAAATCTCTGTGTCATAGTCAAAAGATGTAAGGCAAACCACAATTATCCAAGGAAATCTGAAATGAATATTACTAAATACAACCTTCTGGATTTGGTTTTACTTACCTAGTATGTTGACTATGTCTGCTTATGGTTTCCTTACTTATGCCTACCTACACCATCTTTTAATTATGTGTGCCAATAAAATTTCATCTACGTGTAGAATTTCCTTTGCTTGACAAAAACACTTTGTTCTACTGTGAATCAACTGCTGGGGCTTTCTATTGTATGGATATCTACAAAGGGATGTGCTGTAACTCAAGTATAAGCAGATGGTTCTTTCATTATTGTAAATCAAATTGGTACAACCTGTGACTGGGTTCGATGTGGCCCCAGCTCTCTGAGGCCTGTGAAAACTGCTAGGTTGCTCGTTTTCATTTTTTCTTATCCCTTAACTGGAGTTGGAGGCCCTTGCAAGTCCAAGACAATGACGTCTTAGGCAACCTCAGTTGTCTAGTGTGACTTAATAAGCCTGATGTATGTAGTAGAACCAATCTTTTCTTTTATATATAATGCCATTTTAAGTGATGTGAACCTTATTCTCTAGGTTACAGGTATTGGATTATTTTAGTTCTTTATTATAATAAGCAAGGTGTTAATTTGTTGTTGTTGTTGTTGTTGTTGTTGTTGTTGTTTGAGACAGAGGCTCACACTATCGCCCAGGCTGGAGTGCAGTGGCGTGATCTTGGCTCACTGCAAGCTCCACCTCCCGGGTTCACGCCATTCTCCTTCCTCAACCTCCTGAGTAGCTGGGATTACAGGCACCTGCCAGCATGCTCAGCTAATTTTTTGTATTTTTAGTGGAGACAGGGTTTCACCCTGTTAGCCAGGATGATCTTGATCTCCTGATCTCATGATCCGCCCGCCTCAGCCTCCCAAAGTGCTGGGATTATAGGCGTGAGCCACCGCGCCCTGCCCGTTAATTTGATTTTTTAACTCCTAAATTCTACCACTTTCCTTCCTCGCTTTCTAATGAAAATTGATGGAGAAAATAAGCTGAAAATATCACAATTCTAAACATTCCACTATTTTGAGATTCTAAAATTATTGGCTTTTGGTGTTCACTGATTCATGTCGGATTTTTAGTAGCATAATCAAACCTTTTTTTGGCAATGGTATAGAGTGCAAAATGCAAAGCCATTTGCCATGGTGTAGATGCTCTCAGTATGCCCCTGTGTCTAAAGAGATACTATTCTTCAACATAAATCAGACATATAGAAAATACTTACAGCACAGAAAATATGAACTATGGCATAGAAATACATTAAATTAGCTAAATGACATCCCTAATAAAGATCTGAATCTGGCCGGGCACGGTGGCTCACGCCTGTAATCCCAGTACTTTGGGAGGCCAAGGCAGGCGGATCACCTGAGGTTAGTTCGAGACCAGCCAGGCCAACATGGTCTACTAAAAAAATTACAGAAATTAGCTGGGCATGGTGGCAGGCGCCTGTAATCCCAGCTACTTGGGAGGCTGAGGCAGGAGAATCACTTGAATCCGGAAGGCGGAGGTTGCAATGAGCTGAGATTGTGCCATTGCACTCCAGCCTGTGCAACAACAGCAAAACTTCATCTCAAAAAAAAAAAAAAAAAGAATCTATTCTAAAACTGGGAATTTTATGTTTAAGTAGATTCACTTAATTTTTTCCTATAATCTCCTGGGACAAATAAATGTTTTCAACAGTTGCGCTTAACAAACTGAAGAACTGGAAGGAGAAACAACATTATTAATAATTACTTCCAGAGTGGGGCGTGGCTCACATCTGTAATCCCAGCACTTTGGGAGGCCGAGGTGGGCTCATCACGACGTTAAGAGATCAATACCATCCTTGCTAACACGGTGAAAACCCGCCCCTACTAAAAATACAAAAAATTAGCCGGGCATGGTGGCGGGTGCCTGTGGTCCCAGCTACTTGGGAGGCTGAGGCAAGAGAATCGCTTGAGGAAGGCTGGCCAACATGGCTAAACCCCATCTCTACTAAAACTACAAAAATTAGCTGGGCATGTTGGCGCATGTCTGTAATCCTAGCTACTCCCAGAGGCTGAGACAAGAGAATCGCCTCATCCCGGGAGGCGGAAGTTACAGCAAGCCGAGATCACGCCACTCCACTCCAGCCTGCTCTACAGAACAAGACTCCGTCTCTCAAAAAAAAAAAAAAAAAATACTTCCTACGATGCATGATTAGATTACAAAGTTTTCTATTCTTTTCTTTTAAAAATAAATATCTTAGCTGCCTGTTTTCATTCTGGCCATCAAAATTGCCTAAAGTCTTTGTGGGCAATATCATCAACCCTTGAGGGAAATTCAAGATATTCCCAACACAGAAATATTCTTAGCTGAAAAGAGTATGGGATGACAATTTTCAACCTGGCACATATAAAAAGAAGAAAAATGTTGGGTAAATGAACAGCAGAAGAAAGATGACATTCACATGTCCTATGCAATTCTGAATACTTATTTTACATAGGTGAATATTTTAATGAAAGACATTTATTGATCCAAAATATTTTTTAACTTAACGAACTTTGGCAAAACAATGCCCTTCAGTCAGTGACTATATTATCAAGTTTCATCTACCTCTGATCAAGGAAACAAAAATAATAGTAATTCCATACTCAGTATGTGTGAGAAAATAAGAGCTGTGTTTAGTTCTAATTATTTTGAGTTATGCCACATAACACATAACAGTATATATTTATTTTGAGTTCATATGTAGAATTAGACTACTTTTTAATTTTGGGAACATGGAGAACAATATTATAGGATTATATTAGTAAGGCTATGGTAAATACTAACATTAAGCTCTCCTTATGTGCCACACACAGTTCCTTCACCAAAATGGGCAGAATTTTAGCTGAAGACTTATAATGAAGTCTCAAACTCCTGAGCTCAGGCAATCCACCCACGTCGGCCTCCCAAAGTGCTGAGATTACAGGCATCAGCCACAACACCCGGCCCAATTTATCCCTCATTTTAATATTTTTTTAAATTTTTTTTTCTTTTTTTGAGACGGAGTCTTGCTCTGTCGCCCAGGCAGGAGTGCAGTGGTGGGATCTTGGCTCACTGCAACTTCGGCCTCTCAGGTTCAAGCAATTCTCCTGCCTCAGCCTCCCAAGTAGCTGGGACTACAGGTGCCCACCACCACGCCCGGCTAATTTTTTGTATGTTTAGTAGAGATGGAGTTTCACCATGTTAGCCAGGATGGTCTCAATCTCCTGACCTCATGATCCACCTGCCTCAGCCTCCCAAAGTGCTGGGATTACAGGCATGAGCCGCCTCACCTGGACTATCCCTCACTTTATAACATTAATCAAGTTCTTTTATAATTTTATGTTAAAGATTTTTGAATTTTGTTAATCTATTTTATTTTCCTTCATAAAATGATCAAAGCTAGAAATAACATTACAAAGTATATCATAATCATTAATAGAAAGAGCTTTATAATCAGCTTAAATTTCTTTTCTCTCTTTTCTAGTTATGTGATCTTAGGCAAGTTACATAAATTACCTGTGTTCAGTTTATTTATTTGTGAAATGGGGAAAATAATGGTGCCTGTCTCTGGGTAAGATTGTAGTGAGGGTGAATAACAGATTTATCAAGCATAAAGCAGTGCCTGGGACACAGGAATTGCCCTCTCTGCATGCCCCTACATATGTGTGCATACAGGCATGAATCACTTGATGATGGAATAAATTTGGAGAAATATGTCTTTAGGCAGTTTTGTTATTGTGCAAATATCTCAGAGTGTACTTACACAAACATAGATGGGATAGCCTACTACTCTGCTAGAGTATATGGTAGAGTATATGTAGCCTGTTGCTCCTAGGCTACAAATCTGTACAGCATGTTACTGTACTAAATACTGCAGGCAACTGTAACACAGTGGTAGGTATTTTGCATCTTATCATAGAAAAGGTGCAGTAAAAAAAAAAAGGGTACACTTGTAGAGGGCACTTACCATGAAAGGAGCTTGCACAGCTGGAAGTTGCTCTGGGTAAGTGAGTGAGTGGTGAGTGAATATGAAGGCCTAGGACATTATGGGCACTGTTGTAGACTTTAGCAATACTGGATGCACACTTAAGCTATGCCAAATTTATTTTTAAATTGTTTTCTTTTATCAATAATAAATTAACTTTAGCTTACTGTAATTTTTTTATTTAATATACTTTTTTTAACCTTTTGGCTCCTTTGTCACAACTCTTAGCTTAAAAGATAAACATATTGTACAACTTTAAAAAATATTATTTTCTTTATATCTAAGTCTATAAGCTTTTTCCAACTTTTAATTTTTGTGTTACTTTTTAACTCTTTTATAAAAACAAACACAAACACGCACATTAGTTTAAGCCTATGCAGGGTCAGGATCATCAACATCATTGTCTTCCACCTTCATATTCTGTCTCAATGGAAGTTCCTTGGGGCAATAATACACATGAAGCTGTCATCTCCTATGATAACAATCCCTCCTTCTGGATACCTCCTGAAGGACCTGCCTGAAATTGCTCTACTCTTCAGTTTTCTTTTTCTTTTTAATAAGTAGTACCCTCTCAAAACATGATAAAAAGGACCAGGCATGGTGGCTCATACCTGTAATGCAAGCAATTTGGGAGGCTGAGGCGGGAGGATCACTTGAGGGCAGCAGTTCAAGAGCAGCCTGCCCAACATGGTGAAACCCTGTTTCTACTAAAAACACAAAAATTAGGCAGGTGCGGTGGTGGGCACCTGTAATCCCAGTTACTCGGGAGGCTGAGGCAGAAAAATCACTTGAAACCGGGAGGTGGAGGTTGCAGTGAGCCGATATCACACCATTGCAACTCCAGCCTGGGCAACAGATGGAGACTCCATCTCAAAAAAAAAAGATAAAAAGAATAGAGTAGTAAATGTATAAACCAGTAATATTGTCACTTATTATCATTATCAGGTATTATGTTCTGTAAGTAATTATATGTGCTAGAGGCCTGGCAGCACAATAGGTCTGTTTTCACCAGCATCAGCACAGACATGTGAGTAATGAATTGTACAATGATATTACATTGACAATGACATCACTAGGAAACAGGAATTTTTCAGCTCCATTACAATCCTACAGGACCAATAAGTGGTCCACCATTTATTGAAATGTATTTACATGGTGCATGACTGTAAAATTACTAGTCTTCAAAAATCAGTTGTATCTTCAACATTTCCTACCTCTGCAAAATTCATCACCATTCTCCCAGTTACCCAGGCTTGAAACCTCAGAATTCTATCAAATTATTTCATTTCCTTACATATCATGTTTAATTAGTCACTGATTCCCATCAATTGTCCCCTATCATGTTTAATAGCACCAACACATTATTTCTCTTAGAAAAATATTTTTCTAGTTTAGGCTCTTAATTTAGACTATTTTTAAAATATCTGAAAGTTTGCCATACAGTATTTATTTCTTATTTCTTGAAATATTTTCTACATTTTGATACAACTAAACTTTCTGAAGCATAAATATCTCACTTTGTCACTTGTCTGCTCAAAAAAAAAACCATAAAAATATCTTCTTGGTCTAGAAAGTAAAATTATAATGCTTGGCATGATGTAGACAGAAATCCCCATTTATCCTTTTTCTCCTTTGCCCCCACACTTTTCTTCCATGTTCACACCAGTACCTAATGTCCCAGACATATGGAATTCATTGTTTCATGAATAGAGCCAACACATTATAACTACCATGCATTTAGTCAAACCATCTGGCCACCTGGAATTTCCTACCATCCCCCATAAAATTTAAATTAAAAAATTCCACTGTTCTGTCCTCTCTGAAGATGTCCTTGAATCTTTATTGAAACTCATTGACATATCCTTTGGTTCCTGCAGACTTTATTGTATATGTCATAATTTAGCACATACATTACTCTGCCGTACATTTTAGTAAGTTAATGGCCTGTCTCTTTTCACTGATAAAACAGTGTCAGGCTTTTTTCATTTTTGTATTCCCTACTGGTCCACAGAGTGCTATGAACATATAATGTGCTAAGTTAATTTTAAATTGACTTAAACTTACTGGTGAATTCACCGATTAACTGTTCTTTTCCAGTATTACTCTTAGAAATGTCCTTGCCTTGATATATTTTATGTTCTAAAAATATTAACTTCATTTTAAGAATCACATCCTCCAAAACAAAAGAAACAAAAGCTCCCATACAATTCTAATGCTAGTTATAGGTAACATTAAAAAATGGCATACCAATTGTAAAAAACAAAAACAAAAAACAAACAAAAACAAACAAACAAAACAATTCCCATGAAAGCCAGAGGCAAATAATGCAAATTTTAATGTCAATATTGTCATTTTTTCCTAGGTTAGGGGACAATATAACCACATTTATAAACTTGTTCTTTTTGTCTCTCCTCGTGTTGACCTCACACATAGCATATTATGCCATTAAAACAACAAAAAAAGGAGAAAATGCTATATTGAAATACAGTATTTTCTTACAACAATTCCTTACTGTGAATTGTGAATGAAAATTAAATTCTTTAATCACTAGGAAAGACTCTGAGTGTGCGAGTCTTTCTTTCAGCTGATATAAACATTGATAAGATCAAAGCTTGCTCTAAATTATCTGTCTTACCAGGTCCTGACTGAATCTCAGAACAAAATCCTGTAGTTTCTCTTTATTTCAGACAAACCTTTGATCTTTTAAAAATATAGGCACAGATGGGCACAGTGGCTCAGGCCTGTAATCTCAGCAGTTTGGGAGGCCGAGGCAGGCAGATAACGAGGTCTAATATCGAGACCATCCTGGCCAACATGGTGAAACTCTGTCTCTACTAAAAACACAAAAATTAGCTGGGCATGGTGGTGCACACTTGTAGTCCCAGCTAATCAGGAGGCTGAGGCAGGAGAATCGCTTGAACCTGGGAGGCTGAGGTTGCAGTGAGATGAGAACGTGCCATTGCACTTCAGCCTGGGTGACCAAGCGAAATTCCATCTCAAAAATAAAAAGATAAATAGGCAAATCTGGCTAAGGAAATGGCAAAAAGGCAAAAAGATATGCACAAAAAAAGTTAGCCACTACTTGCATTGAAAATGGGTTTAAGGTTTTGGCAAGTGTTTGAGAAAAATATGAATTAAGCTGATTTTCTGTGGAGACAAGTCTCTAGGCGTTTAGTTTTGGTTAAGGTAAATACTTAAATCTATATAAAATTTTAAAGACCTTACTAACGTAAACAAATGGTGTTGAGTTTGGACTTCTCTACAATATCTATGTGGAATCTTAGGAAAGGAAGAGTGAAAGGATACAATACATTTTAAATGGTAGTTCAGCCTAAATCCTAAGCAGAAGCATAATACGCTGCTGCATTTTTTTTTTGACAGAGCCTAACTCTGTCCCCCAGACTGAAGTGCAGTGGTGCCATCTTGACTCACTGCAACCCCAGTCTCCTAGATTCAAACTATTCTCCTGCCTCAGCCTCCCAAGTATCTGGGATCACAGGCAGACACCAGCCATGCCCAGCTTGTTTTTTGTTTTTGTGTTTTTTCTTTTTTTGGAGACAGAGTCTTGCTCTGTCGCCCAGGCTGGAATACAATGGCACAACCTCCGCTCACTGCAACCTCCGCTTCCCAGGTTCAAGTGATTCTCCTGCCTCAGCCTCCTGAGTATTTGGGATTACAGGCACGTGCCGCCATGCCCAGCTATCCGCCTCCCATGTTCAAACGATTCTTCTGCCTCAGCCTCTTGAGTAGCTGGGATTACAGGCATGTGCCACCATGCCTGGCCAATTTTTGTATTTTTAGTAGAGACAGGGTTTCACCATGTTGGTCAAGCTGGCCTCGAACTCCTGACCTCCTGATCCACCTGCCTCAGCCTCCCAAAGTGCTGGAATAATAGGCGTGAGCCACCATGCCCAGCCCATTTTTTGTATTTTTAATAGAGGTGAGGTTTCACCATGTTGACCAGGCTGATCTCAAACTCCTGACCTCAAGTGATCTGCCCGCCTCCACCTGCCAAAATGCTGGGATTACAGACAAGAGCCACTATGCCTAGCCAATATGTTACTTTTAAAAAATAAGTTATTCGTTTTAGTTTTCTTCTGTTGCTAAAAATCATTTCTATTTTGTAGGGAAAAGGAAGAGGGATCAGACTGTTACTTTGTCTATATAGAAAGGGAAGACATAATAAATTCCATTTTGACCTGTACCTTGAACAATTGCTTTGCCCTGAGATTCTGTTAATCTGTAACTTTGCCCCAATCACTGTGCCCCAACCTCTTTGCCCCAACCTTGAGCTCACAAAAACATGTGTTGTATGGAATCAAGGTTTAAGGGATCTAGGGCTGTGACTTGTTAACAAAATGTTTACAAGCAGTATGCTTGGTAAAAATCATTGCCATTCTCTATTCTCAATAAACCAGGTGCACAATGCACTGTGGAAAACGACAGGGACCTCTGCCCTGGAAAGCCGGGTATTGTCCAAAGTTTCTCCCCATGTGATAGTCTGAAATATGCCTCATGGGACGAGAAAGATCTGACTATCCCCCAGCCCAACACCCATAAATGGTCTGTGCTGAGGTGGATTAGTAAAAGAGGAAAGCCTCTTGCAGTTGAGATAGAGGAAGGCCACTGTCTCCTGCCTGCTCCCGGGAACCGACTGCCTTGGTATAAAACCCAATTTTACATTTGTTCAATTCTGAGATAGGAGGAAAACCACCCTATGGTGGGAGGCAAGACATGTTGGCAGCAATGCTGCTTTATTGTTCTTTACTCCACTGAGATGTTTTGGCAGAGAGAAACATAAATCTGCCTACGTGCACATCCAGGCATAGTACCTCCCCTTGAACTTAATTATGACACAGATTCTTCTGCTCACATGTTTTTTTGCTGACCTTCTCCCTATTATCACCCTGTTCTACCACATTCCTCTCGCTGAGATAATGAAAATAATAATCAATAAAAACTGAGGGAACTCAGAGGCCGGTGCCGATGCAGGTCCTTGGTATGCTGAGCGCCGGTCCCCTGGGCCCACTTTTCTTTCTCTATACTTTGACTCTGTGTCTTATTTCTTTTCTCAGTCTCTCATCCCACCTGACTAGAAGTACCCACAGGTGTGGAGGGGCTGGCCACCCCTTCATATTTTCACTTAATTTACTCTGAATCCGTGCCACTTTTGCATTTGAGGCTAATGTTTGTATTGAAGGAAAGGATAGCAAGTCAATTTACAATTGGATTTTTTCAATGTATAGAGTTACATGTTTACTAAAAGGAGTAGCCCTTAATTCTTTTTAAAAAGCCCATAGCAAGCAAGATGATTAACAATTTTTATATGAACAAATGTCTTACAATGTTTTAAACATCTAGAGAACACTGATACCATCTTCACTTATTGACAATGGCATATTATCAATTCACTTTTCCAAAGAGATAGAAGTTACTTCTTTTGACTTAGATCTGACTTCTTAAACTGTCAAATGAAGTAGCTGAGTATAACTCACCACCTACAACTTTGATATTTAGCCTCCTCTCTTCATTTGCTTAGTATTATATGTACTGTAGCCCTTACTTTAATATTTCTATATCTTACACATCTTTCTCTCTTAAAAATGTGCTTTCATTTAGATGAGAAATACAATTTTAAGGGAGAAGTTGACTCATGCCTAGTTCTGTATTTTTTTTAATTGCTGATATGTCCTGAGGAAATTAATGTTGCCCTACTGGGTATGATGCTGTCCCTCTGGAGAGATTCCTGTGAGTTATGACCACTGGGGATTTTATAGGTGTCCACATTAAGCCTTTCACTGAGAGTAGAGATTAACTTGCAGTTGCCTCTCTGGCACAAATATATCTAAGAAATCAACATAATCTTTCAAAACCCTTCCGGCTAATACTAGTTTGTAGCCACTATTAATATAGTGGTTCTAAGTTTGTTCCAGGGTCTCAAAGCCTTAAATCATTTCATGAAAGCCTACTGCAAATGTCAACATATAATGCTTACAAGGACATAACTGGGTGTTTCACACTATTATTTTAGTTTTAACCCACTTGATCCATCAAGTTATCTGTCATAGAACAAATGAAAGGCCCCTTTAGGGAAGTCTCAGAATAAAAAATAGGCCTAGTTATGTTCGTTGGGAGAGAAGTAAATAAAGCATGGGTTTACATTCTCTGTCTACAAGAAATTGTCATTGTAGCTGTTGTTTGTTTCAAAATCTATGTACAGTTCTGACCCACCAACTGACAATGGCTGCCTGACTCTAACACTCAGGTGTGTTATTGTAAATTCCCTGAGTCTTCTTTATAGCAAGAGAAAAAATCAGGACATTCTGAAAGTAATACACTGTGGATATTTACATGGCCAGATTATAATTTTCTCTGCTTAATAATAAAACTTAATAATGAGCTTAATAATAAAACTCACATACAAATACAAAATAAACCTCTGTCAAAATTTATTTCACTTATTCCTGAGGAAATCAGTAGGTGGGAAAGCTGGTTCCAAGAACAAGTAAAAAAAAAATAATTACAGATTTTTTTTTCCCCAAAAACAAGAAATGTTAGAATAAGACAACTATGTTAGAAGCAAAACTGGGCCGGGAGCACTGGCTCACACCTGTAATCCCAGCACTTTGGGAGGCCGAGGTGGGTGGATCACGAGGTCAGGAAATCGAGACCATCCTGACTAACACGGTGAAATCCGGTCTCTACTGAAAATACAAAACCAAAATCAGCCAGGCGTGGTGGCCTGTAGTCCCAGCTACTCAGGATACTGAGGTAGGAGAATGGCATGAACCCAGGAGGCGGAGCTTGCAGTGATCCCAGATTGCGCCACTGCACTCCAGCCTGGGCGACAGAGTGAAACTCCGTCTCAAAAAAAAAAAAAGAAGCAAAATTGATTAATAACAACAAGTACTGGGTAAACTGGATATACACAGGCAAAATATAAACTTTGGGCCCTTAACTTACATAATATACAAAAATAAGCTAAAATAGATCAAAGAGTTAAAAGTAACAACTACAACACTTAAACTCAGATAAAAAAACATAGAAAATATTCTTTATGTTAGATTTAGCAATGATTTCTTAGATACGACATCAAAGGTACAGGGAATGAAAAATAACAAAAAAAATAGTTTCATCAAAAGTAAAGGTTCTGTGCATTAAAAGTCACCGTTGACCAGGTGTGGTGGCTCACGCCTGTAATCCCAGCACTTTGGGAGGCTGAGGCGGGTGGATCACAAGGTCAGGAATTTGAGACCAGCCTGGCCAATATGGTGAAACCCCATTTCCACTAAAAATACAAAAATTAGCTGGGCATGGTGGTGTGCACCTGTAATCCCAGCTAATTGGGAGGCTGAGGCAAAAGAATCACTTGAACCTGGGAGGTGGAGGTTGCAGTGAGCTGAGATTGTGCCACTGCACTCAAGCCTGGGTGACAGAGCAAGACTCCATCTCAAAAAAAAAAGTCACCCTCAAGACAGTGGAACAACAACTCAAAGAATGGGAGAAGATGTCTGCAAATCACATATGTGATATGACATCAGTATATGTGGATATAATATGTATAATAGAATAAAGAACTCCAGCAACTCAACAATAATAAATGGTTCAATTTGTTAAATAGGCAAAAGACTTGAATAGATAATTATCTAAAGAAGATATACAAATGGCCAACAAGCACACGAAAAGAGGTTCAATATCACTAGCATTAGAAAAACACAAATGAAAATAATGATGAGATATCATTTCACACCCATTAGGATGATTACAAAAAAGAAATCCCAGAAAATAACAAGTGTTAGTGAGGATTCAGAGTCAATGGGAACCCTTGTGCATTGCTGGTGGGAATGTAAAATTGTGTAGCTTCTGTGGACAACAGTTAGGTGGCTCCTCAAAGGTTAAACATAGAACTACTATGTGATCCAGCAATTCTATGCCTATATACATGCCCGAAGTAATTGCAAATAGAGACTCCAACAGATATTAACGACCATTGTTCACAGTACCATGATTTACAGTAACCAAAAGCAGGAAGCAACTCAAATATTCATCAATAAATGAATGAATAAACAAAATACACCATATTCACATAATGGAAACTTATTCAGCCTTATTAAGGAATGAAATTCTAATATACACTACAGAATTTCAATGATTACTACATATCTAAACTTTGAAAACATTATGCTTAGTGAAATAAGCCAGATGCAAAAGGATAAATATTGCTTGAAGTACTTAGAATAAGCAAATCATAGAGACAGAATAATCATTACCAGGGACTAGCGTGGGTGGGAAGTTATTCTTTAATGGGAACAGAGCTTCTATATGGGATGATTAAAGAGTTCTGGAAATGGACGGTGGTAAAGTTTGTGCAATTTGGTGAATGTAATGCCTTCTGAATTGTTCATTTAAAATTCATTAAAGTGATAAATTTTACAGTATGTGTATTTTACCACAATTTAAAAAAGAAAAATAAAGAAAAAATATGTATTCCCAATTGCACTGTATTTTTGGTTATTAAGCATAAAATTTAAACTTTATTAAACTTATTAGAAAAAGGGAATTGGAAATGTGATATAATGCAGTAATTCACAAAAATGTATACAGTAAATGCACTCAAGAGCAGTTTTTCTGATGCTTGATGAACTCCTATCAGTTGTGAATTAAAACTGATTAATATCCTTCATGGAAACAGATCCATAAGGTCTGGCATTGTCTTTTTCTACTAGAGAGAAACCTAGAAGTTATCACATAATTGCATAGCATCTAGGATCAAATCAACTAATACATAGCCAAGTCAAAAGAAAATGAAGTAATCTTTGGGTTGGCCTTCTAGATGATAGCTTTTAATAATGAAATATTACACTAAAAATACATGTGTTATGTCAGAGTTTTAGATACTTTTCCTTAGCAGTCCCCTATTACAAATATGTCCTCTGTTAGTGCTAATCCATAACTAACTCAGTTCCTTATTTTCATGTCAGTAATCTCCAAGTGTTATTCTTTTTTTTTTTTTTTTTCAGACAGAGTCTGACTCTGACTCCCAGGCTGGAGTGCAGTGGTACGATCTCGGCTCACTACAGGCTCCGCCTCTGGGTTCACGCCATTATCCTGCCTCAGCCTCCAGAGTAGCTGGGACTACAGGCGCCCGCAACCATGCCCAGCTAATTTTTTGTATTTTTAGTAGAGACGGGGTTTCACCATGTTGGGCAGGATGGTCTCGATCTCCTGACAGCGTGATCCGCCTGCCTCAGCCTCCCAAAATGCTGGGATTACAGGCGTGACCCACTGGCTCAGCCTCCAAGTGTTATTCTTAATCAAAAAAAGAAAAAGTTTATCTGACTATATTTGACCCTGATTATTTATGTAGCTTCAGAAAGAGGAGTTAAACACATAAGTGAAGTCTTCCCTCCACCAAGTTCTAAAATGTAAGATTCACGGCCTTCTGAAAACACTCCCTTACCAATGTGAGGCTGGAACCATAGAACAGGTGGAGGACTTAGTAGGTGTTGGCTCAACATTTAAAGTACAATCTTATTTCTTAATAGGTGTTTTCATACCTTATAAACACAGGTATGGCCTTGGATGTCCAATTAAATCCCAGGAAAAAAGGACAGATTCTTGATGAAACTATGCAAATAATGAGACAGCAAGTAAAAACGGCTCCCCGGCAGAACCTCCGACCAGCTTGCACACTGGCAGGAGTGCAAACTGAGGTGGAGCCTCGGGAAGTTTGCAGCAGGGAGGAGCCTGGCCTCTTCTGTTCCAGGGCGGAGGCTGGGATTCGATCTATGAGGCAGGAAGCTGAGTAGAGGACTCTCTTTACTGACAGTCTCTGTTTCCCCTTTTTTCCCTTTCGCCAATAAATTCCATTTTTCTCACCCTTCAAAGCGTCTGTGAGCCTAATATTTCATGGCTGTGTGACAAGAACGCAGCTTTTAGCTGAACTAAGGAGAAAGTCCTACAATAATAATATGTTGTCCTACAAGCATGCAGAGTAAGTACAAATATATTGTTCTGAATTCTCAGAGAAAAATAGAAATGAGACAGCGTTTGAATGATGTATTTCACTTACAAGATGTAGTATATAAAATTGAGGATCAGAGATAGAAAAAGAAACTGTGTGATTCATACTCCTTCTACTGGATGTTGAGTCAGTTTTTTGCTTTGATAAAATTATCTACCAATGAGGCAAAAAGATAAATCCTTAAAACAATGAGATTTAAAAGTAAGTTGTTATGCTCAGTACTTTATAGGAGAACATTCAAGTAAGTGTCAGAGGAAAACAAAAACCACCTAGAGATGCAACTAATTGGCTGTTTAATTTATATAGTAAACAGTAATATAAAAATGGAGAAGAATAAACTTCTGCATTAGGTTCAATACTATCTCATAAAGACTTGACCAATGTTTCACCTGGGGGCATATACCTCTCCAATTTCCTATTACAGTCTCTAATCTATGAGTTAAATGTCTACAGTTCCTAAACAATTCACCTCTTTTTTTTTTTTTTTTTTTTTTGAGACAGAGTATCCCTGTGTCACCAGGCTGGAGTGCAGTGGTGCGATCTTGGCTCACTGCAACCTCTACCTCCTGGGTTCAAGTGATTCTCCTACCTCAGCCTCCTGAATAGATGAGACTACAGGCATGCACCACGATGCCCAGCTAGTTTTTGTATTTTTAGTAGAGATGGGGTTTCACCATGTTGGCCATGATGGTCTCCATCTCTTGACCTCCTGATCTGCCCATCTCAGCCTCCCAAAGTGCTGGGATTACAGATGTGGGCCACCGCACCCCACCACCATTCATCTTAATATGTAAGATTATGTAAAATGAACTGAGAAGGCTGAGCCCTTTAGAATTGACCTCGTGCAACTCATGCAGATGTGTGGAACTAATGAAGAAATATGGAGCACACCAAAGAAGTCCAATTTATTGTAGCCTCACTCATTTTATAAGGCAAAAATTGTCACTGTTTTTCTAGAGGTCACCTAGGAAATCTAGAATATACTTATTTTTCCCTAAAAATCAGAAAACATTTACTTTTTGGAATTTAAGATATAATTTCAGATGGGCAAAAATTAAGTGTTATCAGAGGAGATTTGGTCACTGTGATAAAGATAGGAATACAGGTGCAGAGAAGAAAATGGTGGTAAAAATCCCAATAATAATACAATATTCTAAAATAAGCATAGAAAAAGATGTCATAATTGTTAGAAAATGTATCCCTTTCATAATTAATTATGCTGTACAAATGTTTTTTCTTATTTTTCTTTCTAGCTTCATTGAAGTATGATTGATAAATAAAAATTGTACATATTTAAGTTATATAATATGATGTGTGTATACATTGTGAAATAATAGCCACAGTCAATTAACATTTTCATCAACTTACAAAGTTACACTTTCTCTGTGTGTGTCTATGTGTGCTTGTATGGAAATACGTAAGACCTACCCTGTTAGCAAAATTCAAGTATACAATACTTTCTTATCAGCTGTAGCTACTATGCTATATATGTTAGGTATCCAGAATTTATTCATCTTTTAACCAAAAGCATCTCCCCATTTTTCCTACCTTCTAATCCCTAACATCTAATGAGTTTAAATTTTTTAGATTTCACAGATAAGTGAGATTATGCAGTATATTTGTCTTTCTGTGTCTCGCTTATTTTACTTAGCATTAAGTTCTCTCAGTCCATCAATGTTATCACAGATTTTAGGATTTCCTTCTTTTCTCAGGATGAATAATATTCTATGGTATGTATATGCCACATTTTCTTTATCCACTAGTCTGTAATAAATGCTATTATTCAAAATACACAAGAAACCCTTCAAATTTCACAAGAAAGTAAACAATTCAGTTAAAAATGGGGAAACAATATAAATGGAGAAGACACCAAAGGAAATATAAAAATGGCAAAAAAGTATTTGAAAATATATTCAACAGCATATGACTTTAGGGGGATAAAGCAATTCTATATATTGAAATTTCCTTTAACAAAGAAAGCAAATAGAAAACTTTCTCAGAAAAACAAAATTTAAGTGATTGTCAGCTGACCTGTCTTGCAAGAAATACTAAAGGAAGTTCTTCAAGGGGAGAGAAAATGATGCAAGTGAGAAATTCAGATCCACAATAAAGAAATACATGAAAAAGAATAAATTAAAGTTAAAAACTTTTTTTATTCTTATTGATCCATAAGATAACTGTTTAGTAACAAAAAATGAGTAATTATAGAATGTGGACAGATGAAATGAAAAATAGCAATGTCATAAGGTACAGGAGGTACAATCTGGTAGTATTTTTATGCAATACCTACACTACATGTGAAGTAACAATTTTATTTGAAGATAGACCTAAACTGTATATAATCAATTCTAACTAATTTAAAGATAGACTTAAAATGCATATAATCAATTCTAAGAAAACCACCACAAGTTTTTAAAAGAAGTGATGAGGTCACATCTCATGAGGTGATGAGATACACCAAGAGCTGAGACAAAAATGCAATCATAGAAGATGCTCAATTAAAATAAGAGGAGGCAGGCCAGGCACGGTGGCTCATGCCAGTAATCCCAGCACTTTGGGATGCCAAGGTGGGTGGACCCACCTGAGGCCAGCCTGACCAACATGATGAAACACCGTCTCTATTAAAAATATCAAAGTTAGCTGGGTGTTGTGGCACACATCTGTAATCCCAGCTACTCTGGGCTGAGGTGGGAGGATCACTTTAACCTGGGATGTGGAGGTTGCAGTGTGCCAAGACCACCACTGCACTCCAGCCTGGGTGACAGAGTGAGACTCTATCTCAAAATAAAATAAAATGAAATAAAAATAAATGAATATAATTAATATTTATATTCTACTTCAACAAAAGTAGAATACACATTCTTCTCTAGTTTGTACAAGACAGACTGCATTATGGGCCATAAACTTCTTAAAATTTTTCAAAGAATAAAGTTCATACAAAGTACACAATCAGACCACAATAAAAATTAAAGTAGAAATAAATAGCAGGAAGAACTGAAAAATTTTTCAAATATTTGAAGACTTAACAAAACATCTAAGTGCATCCCAAAAGAAGACTAAAGAGTAATTAAACTATTTGGAATTAAATGGAAATGGAATCACAACTTATTAAAATATATGAGATACAGTAGAACTGGTACCTAAATTTATAGCATTAAATATATATTATTATGAAAAAAGAGATAAAATCAATAACTTAAGCTTCTGCCTTAAGAAATTAGAAAAAGAAAATCCAAAGTAAGTAACAAGGGAAAAAATATATAAAGTATAGCAAATATCAGTAAAATAGAAAACAGGAAAACAATAGAGAAAATCAATGAAACAGAAAGCTGTTTCTTTGAAAAGATCCATAAACTTGCTAACATTTAGACAAACTAATAAAGAAAAAAAGAGAGAATACACAACTTACAAATATTGGAAGTGAAAGAGGGGTATGGGTTATGACTACTGATTTTGTGGACATTAAAAGAATAATATATTTACTATATTAAAAACTCTATACTCGCAAGTTCAATAACCTATATAAAATGGACAAATACCTTGAAAGACACAATATGCCAATACTCACAAAAGAAAAAATAGATAACATCAGTACTTTTATATCTATAAAAGGAATTGAATAAATAGTTAATAACCCACCCCCCCCCACCAATGGTTCCAGGCCCAAATGGCTTTAGTGGTGAATTCTATCAAGCATTTAAAGGAGAAATTATACCAATTTTCCACAGACTTTTCAAGAAAATGGAGTTAGAGATAACACTTCCTAACTTATTCTATGAGGTAAATATTACCCTCTTACCAAATCCAATAGACATAACACGAAATAAAATCAATATATCAATATCTCTCATGAACAAAGATCCAATAATCCTTCACAAAATACTAGACAATTGAATCTAACTATGTGTTTATTCTAGGTAAGACTGTATGCAAGACTGATTCAATATTAGAAAATTATCTGCAGAATTTCCTAAATCTGCAGGAAGAAAAATCATGTGACTGTATCAACTGATGTAGAAAAAGCTTATGGCAAAATCTATCACCCATCTATAATTTGAGAAACTCTCAGAAAACTAGGAATTGAGGTGAATTTTCTTAACTTGACAAAGAACATCTACAAAACCCCTAAAACTATCATACTTAATGATGAGAAATGGGATGCTTTTTCCCAAAAACCAGGAGCAAGAAGAATTTTGTTTTTTGTTTTTTTTCTTTCACCACTTGCAAAATGAAACCACCACTTTGGAAGACAGATGGGCAATTTCTTATGCCCATAGTTGCTATACTATATGTAAAAAAAAAAGTCTTACATATAATATAGCAGTTGTGGTTTTTTTGTTTGTTTTGAGATAGAATCTTGCTCTGTCACCCAGGCTGGAGTGCAGTGGTGCAATAGAAGGATACTGTAACCTCCACCTCCTGGGTTCAAACAATTCTCCTGCCTCAGCCTCCAGAGTTGCTGGGACTACAGGCACCTACCACCATGCCCGGCTAATTTTTTTTTTTTTTTTGTATTTTACTAGAGACAGTATAACTTGTTGATTTGGGAAATTTTACCATGTGGCCCAGGCTGGTGTCCAACTACTGAGCTCAGGCAATGCGACCACCTCGGCCTCCCAAAGTGCTAGGATTACAGGCGTGAGCCACCACGCCTGGCTGCAAATGTGTTTTTAGGTGTTTATCCACCTTATTTGAAAACTATGTCCACACCAAAACTGGCACATGAATATATATATAGCAGTTTGTTTATAATTCCTGAAACTGGAAGAAACCAAGAGATCTCATAATTGATGACTGGAAAAAAAAAACCACTGTGATACGTCATATAAGGGAATATTACTTCCTAAAAAAGTAAATGATCTGGCAAAAGATTCAGTGAGGAGGTTTAATAGGTGATGCACTTGGGCATTATTTGGACCAGTCAAAGTATTCTGTATGATACCACAACTGTGGAAACATGAGAGTATGCATTTGCGTTTGTTTTTTTTTTTTGTTGTTTTGTTGTTTTTTGAGACGGAGTCTGCTCTATCACCCAGGCTGGAGTGCACTGGCACGATCTCAGCTCACTGCAATCTCTGCAACCCGGGTTCATGCCATTCTCCCGCCTCAGCCTCCCGAGTAGCTGGGACTACAGGTGCCTGCCACCACGCCCGGCTAATTTTGTTTTTGTATTTTTAGTAGAGACGGGGTTTCACCGTGTAGCCAGGATGGTCTCTGTCTCCTGACCTCGTGATCTTCCCGCCTTGGCCTCCCAAAGTGCTGGGATTACAGGTGTGAGCCACCGCACCCGGCCTGCATTTTTTAAAAAACAAAGAATCTCACAGCACAAAGAGTGTCACTTAATATATGCAAATTTTAAAACAACAACAACAACAAAGTAGGTGTTCTGGGGATCCTGGGATGGAATGCAGAAAGTGATAAAAAATCTAAAGTACTACAAATGTAGAAAGCCACTTCCCTCTAGAGAGTGGGAAAAACGTGCTGACATAAGCATCTTAGAAAATGGATGGGCCTTCCGTGGTAGCTCACACCTGTAATCCCAGCACTTTACGAGGCCAAGGTGGCGGATCACCTGAGGCTGGGAGTTTGAGATCAGCCTGGCCAAAATGGTGAAACCCTGTCTCTACTAAAAAGACAAAAATGATCTGGGCATGATGGCAGGTGCCTGTAATCCCAGCTACTCAGGAGGCTGAGGCAGGAGAATCGCTTGAACCTGAGAGGTAGAGGTTGCAGTGAGCCGAGATCACGCCACTGCACTCCTGCCTCAGCCTGGGCAAGAAGAGCAAAATTCCATCTTAAAAAAAAAAAAAAAACAGAAAGAAACAAAGAAAATGCATGAAGACTGAAAGGAAGAGAAACTGCAAACAACTCACATGATCTGGTTGGTATAGCTGTTTCCTAAAGGAAATGGGATAGCGATTCTGATATTGATAGAGAATAAATGTATATTGGAACTAGACAGTTAAGCAAACGATGACAAATGACAGGAGCCTGGTTTCTCACTATTAAAGTGGGAGCTTAAATGTAAGCAAGGGGAGAAGGCCAGAATGATCATGTGATAAAAGAATTGAGTGGTAGACATCAGTATGAACTAACACACACATTACATTTAGAAATATTTATATTTATGTCTATACAAGGCTTTGTATACACACATTTATTTCTTTGCTCTGTAAGCTAAGACGGTCCAGAACCAATGATATCCCAGCAGAAATGAGCATATCTAACACTCAAGTCTTCAATTCTTGGGTTCAAAATTGAGGCACAGAAAGGTTAAGTGATAGCTAGAAGGTGAAAGACTTTAAAGTAATATTCAAGCCCAAGTTGAACGGAATCCAAAGGCCAAGCTCTTTCTATTCAAATAGGCCACTCTTTCACTAATGTAGTGAGTAATAAGAGTGAATGAATGTTGTTCTTTCTTCAGGAGAATATTAAATATTTGTTTTGAAGGCAGAGAAAGAGCATGGTATTTAATGTTGACAATTACATAAATCATTATGTGCTTTGAGACAGTGGACTAAACTTTCCTAAAAAGTCCTCTCACTCTCGTAGGACTGCTCTACACTGGGTCTGTGCCAATGGCCATGCAGAAGTAGTAACACCTCTGGTAGATAGAAAGTGCCAGCTTGACATCCTTGATGGTGAAAACAGGACACCTCTGATGAAGGTAAATGGTAGCCAGTTCTTTCAGCAGGAGATGGATTTGGTTTAAATACATAGAATAAAAATGAATATATCTCATTGAAATATAACTAGTTTGTGAAACCTGTGGAATATTTATTTATATTTCCTATAATTTATAATTTACTTCTTGCTTTAATACTGACAGGCTGCGCAATGCCAGAGGGAGGTTTGTGCAAATATTCTCATAGATTCTGGTGCTGATCCAAATATTGTAGATGTGTATGGCAACACAGCTGTCCATTATGCTCTTTATGGTGAGAATTTGTCAGTGGTGGCAAAATTGCTGTCCTGTGGTGCAGACATCGAAGTGAAGAACAAGGTAGATGTTAACCAATGTTATTTTCAAAATATTTGAAATCCATTTGTTTTAACATTAACATATGTAAATTGTTTTATATTTGGAAGCTCAAACATTCCTATTTTCCTATGAAAATAGTTTAACAAAACTTAGTTGTCTAGGATTTTGCTTTAAATATTAATATTTTTACAAGAACTATTAGTATGGCTTTTCTGTGCATTATGATAAATATTTGAGTTTGTTAAAGGTAAAATTTTTCAAATATTCTTTCCCACCCAAGTTTTTTTTTTCTTTCCAATTAGTGTAAAACTACAGGAAAGTAAAATTTGCCTGCATAAATTGAGTCAACATGTAAAATTTAGGAGACATGAAGAAATCTGGATTTCCTCTTAAAGGATTGAATCTGGTGTTTCTTGAGCCCATATGACTGTTTGGTATGCTATGAAGACATTCTAGCTTTACATAAAGCATATGTTTCCAGTTTGCTACTGTGCCCACCTAGTTACATCACTTATTCAACTTACCTCTTTTGCCTCTGTAAATATTTCAGTTATCAATTCCTCTCTCATAGTATATTTTGGTAAAGATTTCAAGTTATTGAAGACAGTTTATAGGTGTTTATAACATTTAGTTTATATTTTACATTAATTCATTAATAATGGGGTTGTCTTCCAGAATTTAGAATATTTTTTAAATGAAGATGTTTCTTCATATAAACCATAAATAATCATCTTCTATTAGAAGGCCTTTAAGCCTTTTTAGATTAATCATGTTTATATTTGAATGGGTTATGCAAATTGCAAAAAATACTATATCTTTCTCCACAGACTTGTCCCTTAAAATTCAAGCAATTTAGTGGCTTCTATTTTGCTAATCCATATACATGAGTTAGAACTTTCATTAATAAGCCATTTTATTCATACTTCTGATATTTTGCCAAAAAATAGTATCAATTACAATAGAAACCAGAATAAAAATAGATTATTGCATTTTAAGAAGTGGATATGCATTCGGATCCTAGGAGTATCATTATAATTGAGAATAAACTTTTATACTGAATTGCTTTTCTTTTTTTCTTTTTTTTTTTTGAGATGGAGCCTCGCTCTGTCACCAGGCTGGAGTGCAGTGGTGTGATCTTGGCTTACTGTAACCTCTGCCTCCCTGGTTCAAGTGATTGTCCTGCCTCAGCCTCCTGAGTAGCTGGGATGCAGGCATGTGCCACCATGCCCAGCTAAATTTTTTGTATTTTTAGCAGAGATGGGGTTTCACCATGTTGACCAGGATGGTCTCGATCTCCTGACCTTGTGATCTGCCCACCTTGGCCTCACAAAGTGCTGGGATTACAGGCATGAACCACCTCACCTGGCCTTTTATACTGAATTTCTAATAGCTTAGATAAAACCCTATTGTCTGGTAATAGGATAAACCTCATGGATGATTTAATAATAAGCAATCAAAGTTTATTTGAAGCCAATATCTTTTAATTTAGAGCCACTTCCTTAGTGACCCATTTAGAGCAGGAGAGCCTGACATTGGCATCTGGAATGTTGGGATCATTGACAGAAGAGAATCAAGTAAGTTTGTATCACCCAGAGGAAACCTCCATTTTTGGGGGGAAGATTTCAAAACTGCATCCCTGAAATTCTAATTTGTCAAATGTTAATGTTTGCCACAAAAATAGACTGTCAAATAAGTATTAGGTAAAGTTCAATTCATTTATTGAATAATGAACATTTAATTCACAGTTGTATAACATTTCTTGAACATAGATAATGGTGGAATCTGTTGGGGTACAGTGCTTCTGGTAAGGTAATTATTCTTTGGAATATAGTGGAAGAAACACTGTTCTAGAGGTAATAATTTAGATTACTAATTTAGTAAAAAACAAAGTATTTACTACTATGTCTTAGGGTTTAAGGATATAGAGGTAAAAGATACAGCCCCTGCCCTCAAGAAGCTCTTGGTTTAAATGGGAAACAATAAAATCATTACAATATAATGATTTTTGGAGATAACCAGAGTTAATGTGGTGATGCAGAGGCTGAATGTTTACAAGAGAAGGTGCAGTGCATGGGAAAGCACAGAAAAGTGAGAAAGAAGGGATTGCTATTGATTTACTTTCCATTGTTTAAGTTCATAGGATATTATATCAGGTATTCAGTTCAGCTGAGAAATATGTAATTTCATGAATTATAAATGGTTTTTGCTGTTTTACAGGCTGGCCACACACCACTTTTACTGGCCATAAGGAAAAGAAGTGAGCAAATTGTGGAATTTTTACTGACAAAAAATACAAATGCAAATGCAGTTGATAAGTTTAAATGGTATAGTAGTTTTTTTAATTAAAAAACACTTGAGTAGTGTGCTAGAGTAATAACACTCAAGTCAGAAATATTAAATTAATAACATTTACTTAAAATTATTAGATTATACAGAAAAATACCAACACAAATTATCAGTTAGTAAGAAAAGCAATTATTTGGACTGGTCAACATAAAGAACAGTATATAGTAGGATTTTCTTCTTTTGTTATATTGACTGATTCTTATTTGTAATCTGATGTTTTTGGTTGCATTATCTTCTATTAGCTAAAGTGGTTCTGTATTAGTTTTAAGAAGTATGAATTTTTAGTTTACTTTGTAATTCAATATTGAATGATTAACACCTTTATAGTATTTTTCTAACTTCTGTTTTTCATACACTTTTTAAAAATGCAATATTTGCTGGGCATGGTAGCTGTCATCTGTTATCCCAGCACTTTGGGAGGCCAAGTGGGTAGATCACCTGAGGCCAGGAGTTTGAGACCAGCCTAGCCAACATGGTAAAACCCCATCTCTATGAAAAATATAAAAATTAGCCAAGCCTGGTGGCACATGCCTATAGTCCCAGCTACTCAGGACAAATATTATTCCTAATATTGTTTTAAGTCTTCAGATTGCTCTCACTTGTCCGACTTCTAGCTAATTTTGAAGTACAAAATATTATATCAAACTAAGGAGGAAATAGATAATTCTCCACTTAAAACTTTGCCCCTTTTAGATTAGTGAACAGAACATATTTTCTTGCCCCTCAGTGGACTTTATGTTAGCCAATTCTACTATGCCATATCCCAGTGAGACATGAGTCTTTTCACCCCTTCCTTTTAGCCTTGGTCGTGATTTACAAGGATAAACACTTGAGCACTCAAGATACTTAACGTTTGTTAATACATGTAAATGGTTAATTCTACACTGACAGGCACATATTAAATTGGTTCTGTTCCTAATAATGAAGTTATCTCTTTGTTATTTCAGCACAGCCCTCATGCTTGCCATATGTCATGGATCATCAGAGATAGTTGGCCTGGTTCTTCAGCAAAATGTTGACACCTGTGCTGAAGATCCGTGTGGAATGATTGCAGAACGTTATGCTGTTGCTTGTGGATTTAATCCGTAAGTGTTTACATTTAAAGGTTAAGTGAGATTTTATAGTTTGTTTCAGGTAGGTTTTGAATGACAGTGAGTTAGTTCACTTCATCAGCCAGAAAGCTAGACTTGTTAGAAGGAGTAATGGCTCCAGGATTCTTTATTTTAGGGCTTTAGGGATGCTAATGTTGTCTTCTTGATTTGAAGTATAACCCCTATGCATGGGATAAACATAAAGTCACAATTTTGGTTTTTCTAATTAGCTATTTGGGTTTCAAAATGTCCACTTTAAGCAGAAAACCTGATAGTGTCCCCAGGGGGCTGTCTTCCATACCTTCATTCTTGAATTTTTTAAAAGAATCTGAACCTAAGTCCAAGGAAGACATTCCTTTCGTACAAGTCAGAAGGACTGGGGGGGAAATGCCCATTCTCTTCATTTTGTTGTTTCCATTCATTCTGTTGCTGCATCGTTGCCATTGAAACTGCTCCTGCAGTCTGGTAATGATTGACCTTTGTGACCAGGATGCCCTTATTAACACAGATCCCTCAGTCTTCATGGTGTAGACTTTGAAGTTACTACATGTTTTTAAAGTTCACGTACATATTCTCAGCCATTGTTTCCAAAGTACCAGCACCCTACTCTGGCAGCTAGAACTTTTAGCTTTAGCCACACACATAGTGAGCAAATTGACCCTTCTCCTCACACTCAAAACCTGATGTGAAACCCACATCTTAGCCTGGGCATGGCCTAGACCTTCATGGTAAGTTATCCTTTGAGTGACTTTTTTCTATTTTCTCTAGCCAATATTAGTTGTGGTAGTTTGAAACTGTAAGTCAGGTTGAAATAATGTTACAGGAAGAAATTAGAGATCCATTTTGTCTTTGTTAACAGATCTATATCCCTGGCCCTTTATATCCTGTGTAGCACCATTTTGTAGGTAGTGGAAGGTCTCACCTTATTCTGTAAAATCCCATGTCATCTTTCCCAAGTTGTAGTGGGTTCCAACTTGTGGTTGTCCCCTCAAGTGATTCTTTTTTCCTAAAAGTAAAAATCTCCCGTGCTACTTACATCTCTACCTCGAGTTTTTAAAATATTTTCAAATGCTGCATCACCATGAAGCCATTCAATAGACTTCACTAAATCTCAAGTAAGTTGGTTAGATTTAACAGAGCTAAGCCTCATCCATCACTGATCAGTCTTCACGTATAAAAATAAGGATTTTTGCTGGCTTCAGTGGTTCATATAGTAAAATTGAAACAACGTTGAGAAGATCAGCATGGTCCCCACACAAGGATGACATAGAAATCCGTAAAGTGTTGCATATTTCTTGCAGTCCCCCAAAGGACATTTTACTACTTTCTAACTAGCTCCAAGGAAATGGTGTGAGTCAAAGCAAAATGGGTGACACCCAGTATTGCAATTGTGATTTTCATACAAAAAATTATTTATGTAAGGTGATCTATGAAATGAGATGTGGTAACATATAGGATCTTGTGTGCAATATTTTGTTAGTACGGATCTCAGAAATGAGAAAATACCAACTTGCATCTTCTTTGTGGAACTTACAAAAAATGAAAGTAGGGTTTTGTCTTCCACAGCAGCTGGAAATGAACATAGTGACTAAGCATCATTCTAACAAAGATTTGTTGGTTCAGAATTTAAGGAGGTAGATAAAGAGTAGTAGTAGTAGTCCAAGCCAGATGCTGACATCTATTAGTTTTCTGCCCTTGGTGTGACTGATGAGCTCAGTAATAGAGTATAATTAGGTTATCTGATTTAATGATTTAATATATGTATAAATAAATTTCATTACAAAATATAAAATAGCTTAGATGCTCTGAATGACAAGCCACAAAGAATAGAACATCTAATATCCAAAAGTAGGAATTAATAACAGAAAATTGCAATATTTGAATATTATAACCTATGAAGAAACACTTTTTTTTTTGTAATTTAATTTTTGTAAAGATATGGTCTCCCTATGTTGCCCAGGCTGGTCTTGAACTTCTGGACTCAAGCAATCCTCCTGTCTCAGCATCCCAAAGTGCTTACATCACAAGCATGAGCCACTGCACCAGGCCAATATATTGGGTATTATTGGGAATTTTAAAATAGTTTCAGCAATAAGGTTCAAGAACAAATTACTTTTTTGCTTCACTTTTTATTTTAAGCATTTTTAAAATGTTATCTTATTAAATCTTTATAATAACATAGTGAAATAAGGCCCTAAAATCCTCATTGTTAGAAGACATTGAGTCTAAGAGAAGTAACTTGTTCAAGAAAAAATACCTGTTGGTAGCCATGCTAGGACTTATTCTGAGGTAAGGACATTTTCCATATGTCAAGCTACCTCTAGTTAATTTACTGAGTTATACTGCCCTCACTTCATGAGTGTTTTATCTTTCTTTCATCTTTAATTAGAAGCTTAATAAGTTCATAGAGCTTACAAACTTAAAGACTATGGAAAAAGTAATGTTCTGATGTTAGCTCTAATATTGTCTGAAATACCCTAAGAACTTCATAAATTTGGTAAGTGTTTTTTATATCAATGTTAAAATAGTAATTTTATTTATTTCATTTTTATACATAGCATTCATCAACAACTTTTGGAATACAAACAAAAGATATCTAAAAATTCTCAAAATAGCAATCCAGGTAAGACCTCTGATAGTAAACTAATCTTGGTGGTGCTACCATGAGATTATAGGAGTGTTGATCACAAAAGAGCTATTAAAAAAGCAATGTGTAAGTAGCATGTGTTTACATATATACCTATATGTAAGTGTTTTTATATATACATAGCTTTGATTTAATTTTTTAGTTTATAATTCAGAATTCATTAAGAATTTAGTTGTAGGTGGTTTATAATCTCAAAAATATTATCTGAAAAAATATTTGTTTAATTGTGGTCCCTAATATCCTATATAATACTTTTGTATAAATAAGTAAAACAATTTTTAAGTTTATATATTGTATGTTTCCTCAACTGTCATAACAATTTATGCTTGTTATAAAATGTATAACCCTTGGTGTGATTGATGAACTCAGTAATAGGGGATTATCAGCTTATCAAATTTAATGAATTAATATATTTATAAATAAACTTTATTACAAATTATAAAATAGCTTAATGCCTTGAATTACAAGCCACAAATAATAGAACATCTAATAATGAAAAGTAGGAATTAATAACAGAAAACTACAACATTTGAATATTATAATCTATAAAGGAACACAGTTAAATAAACTGTTAAATAAACAAATATTTATGTTTGTTTATTAAACATAAATAAACATATAAATGTTTATTTGTTAAATAAAAAAATAATTTATTTTTTTGTTTGTTTCTTTATTGTAGAGACAAGGTCTCCTTATGTTGCCCAGGCTGGTCCTGAACTTCTGGGATTTATTTAATTTTTACAATAAATGATTTGCATTTAGAAAATTAGAATTAATTACAGTTGAGTCTTGAGCAACATGAGAGTTAGGATGCTCATCCCCCCATGCAGCTGAAAATCTGCTTTATATGAAAATCTGTTTCTTTTGACTCCTCCAAAACTCTACTAATTTTCTACTGTTGACCTGGAGCCTGAAAAAAGGTGAAAGCAGAAGCAGTCAATTAACCCATAATTTCTATTTTATATGTACTATATACTGTATTCTTAGAATAAAGTGAGCTGGAGAAAAGAAACTGTTATAAAGAGGAAGAAATATATTCACTATTTATTAGATGGAAGTGAATTATACATAAAGGACTTCATTCTCATTGCCTTCACATTGAGTAGGCTGATAAGGAGGAGGCAGAGGAGAGATTTGTCTTGGTATCTTGCAGTGGCAAAGGAAAAGAAAAATCTGTCTATTAGTGGGCTCCTAAAGTGAAAACCCTTATTCAAAGATCAACTGTGTGGCATAGTGACTTGTGTCACTAAAAAAGTAACTCTCTTTAGAATTTGGAACTCAATAATGCTTTTCTTGCACCATAAATGAATGTCAATAAGAATTAACATAACTTAACGAGGGTGCATCAGTACCAATAGGAGATTATTTTTCAAAGATACCTACTGAGTGCAGAAGTCAGAAAAGCAATTCTTTGTTGAGAAGTGCAGGTTATGTTACATAGTCTTGTACCAACAAGGTCTCACTATTATCAACTTCATTCCCTCTAAGTTGAAACCAAATAAGATATATTTACTTCATTAGAACAAGATGTGTTGTTCTATCTGCTGGATAATTAGTGTGTTAATAGTAATTTTGTTACAACAAGTTACTCTGTTCCTACTAGCCAAAATATTATCATTATAAATATTCAACTAGCTCAATTCTAGGCTCAACAAATTATAATAAAAGTGGAAAAAATTTTCACAATAACAAAAGTGCTACTGTGATACCTAAATGTGACACAATACATTGTACAATATGAACTGTATTAGCACATCTTTAATTTATTACATATTTACCAAAGGACTTCTATAAGTTAGATTTTGCAAGTAGCAGGAGACCAAGATGGAATACACATAGTCTGGGTCTTTAAGGTGCTCATAATACATTAGAGCTGTCTCTATTGAATTTCTGCATTTTTCCAACAGAATTTCCTAACTATGTTTTTTGTTTATCCACTTGTCCACTTAACAAATAACTGTCAGGTATCTTTAGGGTACTAAGCATCTTTCTTGTTATTATCATTGTCATTTTTTATTATTTACTACTTTATTAAGGTACTAAGCATTTTTCTTGTTATTATCATCTTTTTTATTATTTACTACTTTATTTAGTGCTTACTGTGTGCCAGAACCCCTTTGGGAGCTTGTAATTATCACTTATTATGTCATTACCATATTCAGTATGTGTCAGACATTTTATATCCAACGTGAAGAATTAAAGCTTTAAAAAGTTTGATAGTGTCCAGGAGCGGTGGCTCACTCCTGTAATCCTAGCACTTTGGAAGGCCAAGGCAGGCGGATTGCTTGAGCTCAGGAGTTTGGGACCACCCTGACTAACATGGTGAAATCCCATCTCTACTAAATACAAAAAATTAGCTGGGCCTGGGTGGCATGCATATGTAATCCCTGCTACATGGGAGGCTGAGGTAGGAGGATTTCATGAACCCAGGAGGTGGAGGTTGCAGTGATCTGCTGAGATCGTGCCACTGCACTCCAGCCTGGGTGACAGAGTGAGGCTCTTGTTTCAAAAAAAAAAAAAAAAAAAAAAAAGGAGAAAACAAAAGTTTGGTAGTATTTAAGGAAAGCAAGCTGAATGAGTAGAAGTTTTCCAAGTAAAGAGTCAGAAGGATGATATTTAGCCAAAGGAAAATTTAACCAGACTGTGTGTTTGGCAGAAGGAACATCTGAAGGAACACCTGACGAGGCTGCACCCTTGGTGGAAAGAACACCTGACATGGCTGAAAGCTTGGTGGAAAGAACACCTGACGAATAGGATACAGTGAATTCCTCTTCAAAGATTTTAGCCTGTAAAAATTCTTTAAAATTCAAGAGGGGGTTAAGTACAGTGAGTTCTGAGTTCCTCATCAAAGAACAAATATGTCAGTATGTCCAGCTTCTCTGTTCTTTGTTCTCCATTTTAAAGTTTAACTTCCTCGTTCATTATGCCTCCTTGCCCCTAGTTTCATTAAACAACCCCCTCCTAGCCTCTAACACCTGCTTTGTCTTTAGTCATTCTTAGTCACCTGCTCTGTCTTTAGTCATCCTTAGACACCTGCTCTGTCCTTAGTCATCCTTAGACACCTGCTCTGTAACTGTCTTTCCCGCTGAAACTACTCACCCTGCCACTCCAGCTCATACCCCTGCTCTCTTTGAAATAGCCAATCTGAATTAGCTTAGAGTGTGCAGTCCAACCCTATCCAATAGGGAAAAGACACAACAGTAGGGACTAGCTGCGTTAGGAATAAGAACACTTTCCCTCCCTTGTCCGGTGTTATCTTGCCATTACTCCATCTGCAAGACCACTCTTCCATAGAAGTAAATTTGCCTTGCTGTAAAAACTTGTTGCTGGAGTGCTGACTGTTCTTTGTGGCACCGAAAATTTGTTTTCCACAAATTTGGGGGCCCACCCAGCATTCCCATTTTCCTCTGGGGGAGGGTCCAGTCCTCTCCTGTGAGGAGGCGCACCCCGCTGCCTTGTTGCAGTGGCTATAAAGGTAAGAAATCAAGACTCAACTGGTGAGATTAATAAACCTGGGATCTCAGCAACGTGGAAAGAAACAGGCCAGCATCTTTGGGGAAAGGATCTTCACATGCCGTGGTGACCAGGTAACTGTGCACAGACTGAGGTAAGAAATGTCGCAGGGGTGACAAAGTATTTCCTTGGTGGTCAGGATATTCTGGAGGTTGAAAGTGTGTGTGAATGATCACAAGCACTACTGCTTGTGGTGCTGTTTGTGTGGATGATACTAAGCATTATTGCTCTGAGGAGTGAGTGGGTCCTATCTGCGGTTTTTTATTTGAATAAAAAACCTTTGAAGAGGAATTCACTGTATCCTCACAGGGCTCAGGGCAGATCCTGCTGTGGGTTTTATACCATGATGCCAATGCTAAGAGGGACCTAAAATTCCTGGGAGGGAAGCAACCAGAGTGGATGAAGGAAAAGAAGGGTGCAAGGAGCCTCCAGCAGGTGGGGATAAAGGATAGGGAAGAAATCTCTAGCATGTGGGATTGAGCCTAACCAGGACCTAACATGGGAAAATCCCCAAGTAAGACAGGGAGCAAAAAAGAAGAGGATAGTAACAAAGACATGCCCCCTGATAGTACCCTGGGTCTCATGTTAAAATATTGGAAGGATAATGAGAGGAGTAAACATAAGAAAAAGCATTAGAGGATAAAAAATTGCTGTTTCATTTGGACCCAATGTCCCATTTTCAAAACCTCAATCTTCTGGCCAAAGTTTGGGTCGAATGAGGATGTAATGTGTCAACTTCTAATTCAATATGTTAATGATAAAAATCTGGTTTCTCAAGAAGAACTAGACTATGCTCTTTGTTGGAGACAGGCACCTGTCTTTATTCCCTTAAAGACAACTAGGGAAGAACCCGATCCAGCATCTCAAATTGAAAAGTCAGACGAGCTGACTCCCACACCTAAAGCCAGCACATGGGATCCCCTATACCATTTTGCCCTGCTCAGTGCCTCTGACCCTTCCCCTTGGGCAGCTGCTGCCACCCCAGATCCCACCCCAGATCCTTCTCCTGCTCACAATGTTCCTCCTCCTTACAACTCTAATTCTTGGGAGTTATCATCCCATGAGCGTGTCCCCTGTCAACCTAAATACCTCTTCTTAAAGGGACTCCAGCATGAGGTACAGCAATATAAATAGTACATTCAGAACTTCCCTTTTCTCTCCACACCTAAGGAGTCAGCCCCAACTCTCTTCCCCTTAAAAGACATGCCACAAGTAGGAGGAGCCATTGTATTTGTGAATGCTCCCTTGACCAGTTCAGAAGCCTGAAGTTTAAAAAAGGAAATTAAGCCATTATTAGATGAACCTTATGAGGTGAAAAATCAGGTTGATCAATTCTTGGGACCTCAGTTATACACTTGGGTCGAGTTTATGTCCATCCTAGGCATCCTCTTTTCGGAGGAGGAAAGAAGCATGATCTGATCCATAGGGCTGCTATGGCAATTTGGGAATATGAACACCCTCCTTGTCAAAACGTTCCTACCACAGACCAAAAATTCCCTGCCGAAGATCCCCAGTGGGATAATAATAACGCAGCTCACCAAGAAAACATGCAAGACATAAGGGAAATGATAATGAAAGAAACTAGGGAATCAGTACCCCAAACTCAAAATCTCTCTAAAGCATTTGATATACAACAGGAGAGAGATGAGTGGGCTGTGAAATTCTTAGACTAAAGGAACAGAAGAGACAATATACAGGCCTAAATTTGGAAAATCCCCTGGGACAGCGAATGTTAAAGCTCCATTTTGTCACTAAAAGTTGTCCAGATCTAAATGCTCCAATTAAAAGACACAGACTGGCAAATTGGATAAAGAGTCAAGACCCATCAGTGTGCTGTATTCAGGAAACCCATCTCACATGCAGAGACACATATAGGCTCAAAATAAAAGGATGGAGGAAGATCTACCAAGCAAATGGAAAACAAAAAAAGGCAGGGGTTGCAATCCTAGTCTCTGATAAAACAGACTTTAAACCAACAAAGATCAAAAGAGACAAAGAAGGCCATTACATAATGGTCAAGGGATCAATTCAACAAGAAGAGCTAACTATCCTAAATAAATATTCACCCAATACAGGAACACCCAGATTCATAAAGTAAGTCCTGAGTGACCTACAAAGAGACTTAGACTCCCACACATTAATAATGGGAGACTTTTACACCCCACTATCAACATTAGACAGATCAACAAGACACAAAGTCAACAAGGATACATAGGAATTGAACTCAGCTCTGCACCAAGCAGACCTAATAGACATCTACAGAACTCTCCACCTCAAATCAACAGAATATACATTTTTTTCAGCACCACACCACACCTATTCCAAAATTGACCACATACTTGGAAGTAAAGCTCTCCTCAGCAAATGTAAAAGAACAGAAATTATAACAAACTATCTCTCAGATCACAGTGCAATCAAACTAGAACTCAGGATTAAAAATCTCACTCAAAACCACTCAACTACATGGAAACAGAACAACCTGCTCCTGAATGACTACTGGGTACATAACGAAATGAAGGCAGAAATAAAGATGTTCTTTGAAACCAATGAGAACAAAGACAAAACATACCAGAATCTCTGGGACACATTCAAAGCAGTGTGTAGAGGGAAATTTATAGCACTAAATGCTCACAAGAGGAAGCAGGAAAGATCCAAAATTGACACCCTAACATGACAATTAAAGGAACTAGAAAAGCAAGAGCAAACACATTCAAAAGCTAGCAGAGGCAAGAAATAACTAAAATCAGAACAGAACTGAAGGAAATAGAGACACAAAAAACCCTTCAAAAAATTAATGAATCCAGGAGCTGGTTTTTTGAAAGGATCAATGAAATTGATAGAACGCTAGCAAGACTAATAAAGAAAAAAAGAGAGAAGAATCAAATAGATGCAATAAAAAATGATAAAGGGGATATCACCACCGATCCCACAGAAATGCAAACTACCATGAGAGAATACTACAAACACCTCTATGCAAATAAACTAGAAAATCTAGAAGAGATGGATAAATTTCTGGACACATACACTGTCCCAAGACTAAATCAGGAAGAAGTTGGATCTCTGAATGAGCCAATAACAGGATCTGAAATTGTGGCAATAATCAATAGCTTACCAAAAAAAAAGAGTCCAGGACCACATGGATTCACAGCAGAATTCTACCAGAGGTAAAAGGAGGAACTGGTACCATTCCTTCTGAAACTATTCCAATCAATAGAAAAAGAGGGAATCCTCCCTAACACATTTTATGAAGCCAGCATCATTCTGATGCCAAAGCCGGGCAGAGACACAACCAAAAAAGAGAATTTTAGACCAATATCCCTCATGAACATTGATGCAAAAATCCTCAATAAAATACTGTCAAACCGAATCCAGCAGCACATCAAAAAGCTAATCCACCATGATCAAGTGGGCTTCATCCCTGGCATGCAAGGCTGGTTCAATATATACAAATCAATAAATGTAATCTAGCATATAAACAGAACCAAAGACAAAAACCACATGATTATCTCAATAGATGCAGAAAAGGCCTTTGACAAAATTCAACAACCCTTCGTGCTAAAAACTGTCAATAAATTAGGTATTGATGGGAAGTATTTTAAAATAATAAGAGCTATCTATGACAAACCCACAGCCAATATCATACTGAATGGACAAAAACTGGAAACATACCCTGTGAAAACTGGCACAAGACAGGGATGCCCTCTCTCACCACTCCTATTCAACATAGTGTTGGAAGTTCTGGCCAGGGCAATTAGGCAGAAGAAGGAAATCAAGGGTATTCAATTAGGAAAAGAGGAAGTCAAATTGTCCCTGTTTGCAGATGACATGATTGTATATCTAGAAAACCCCATTGTCTCAGCCCAAAATCTCCTTAAGCTGATAAGCAACTTCAGCAAAGTCTCAGGATACAAAATCAATGTACAAAAAACACAAGCATTCTTATACACCAACAACAGACAAACAGAGAGCCAAGTCATGAGTGAACTCCCATTCACAATTGCTTCAAAGAGAATAAAATACCTAGGAATCCAACTGACAAGGGATGTGAAGGACCTCTTCAAGGAGAATTACAAACCACTGCTCAAGGAAATAAAAGAGGATACAAACAAATGGAAGAACATTCCATGCTCATGGGTAGGAAGAATCAATATCGTGAAAAAGGCCATACTGCCCAAGGTAATTTACAGATTCAATGCCATCCCCATCAAGCTACCAATGACTTTCTTCACAGAATTGGAAAAAACTACTTTAAAGTTCATATGGAACCAAAAAAGAGCCCGCATCGCCAAGTCAATCCTAAGCCAAAAGAACAAAGCTGGAGGCATCACACTACCCGACTTCAAACTATACTACAAGGCTACAGTAACCAAAACAGCATGGTACTGGTACCAAAACAGAGATATAGATCAATGGAACAGAACAGAGCCCTCAGAAATAACGCCGCATATCTACAACTATCTGATCTTTGACAAACCTGAGAAAAACAAGCAATGGGGAAAAGATTCCCTATTTAATAAATGGTGCTGGGAAAACTGGCTAGCCATATGTAGAAAGCTGAAACTGGATCCCTTCCTTACACCTTATACAAAAATCAATTCAAGATGGATTAAAGACTTAAACGGTAGACCTAAAACCATAAAAACCCTAGAAGAAAACCTAGGCATTACCATTCAGGACATAGGCATGGGCAAGGACTTCATGTCTAAAACACCAAAAGCAATGGCAACAAAAGCCAAAATTGACAAATGGGATCTGATTAAACTAAAGAGCTTCTGCACAGCAAAATAAACTACCATCAGAGTGAACAGGCAACCTACAAAATGGGAGAAAATTTTCACAACCTACTCATATGACAAAGGGCTAATATCCAGAATCTACAATGAACTCCAACTAATTTACAAGAAAAAAACAAACAACCCCATCAAAAAGTGGGCAAAGGACATGAACAGACACTTCTCAAAAGAAGACATTTATGCAGCCAAAAAACACATGAAAAAGTGCTCATCATCACTGACCATCAGAGAAATGCAAATCAAAACCACAATGAGATACCATCTCACACCAGTTAGAATGGCAATCATTAAAAAGTCAGGAAACAACAGGTGCTGGAGAGGATGTGGAGAAATAGGAACACTTTTACAGCATTGGTAGGACTGTAAACTAGTTCAACCATTGTGGAAGTCAGTGTGGCGATTCTTCAGGGATCTAGAACTGGAAATACCATTTGACCCACCCATCCCATTACTGGGTATATACCCAAAGGACTATAAATCATGCTGCTATAAAGACACATGCACACGTATGTTTATTGCAGCATTATTCACAATAGCAAAGACTTGGAACCAACCCAAATGTCCAACAATGATAGACTGGATTAAAAAAATGTGGCACTTATACACCATGGAATATTACACAGCCATAAAAAATGATGAGTTCATGTCCTTTGTAGGGACATGGATGAAATTGGAAATCATCATTCTCAGTAAACTTTCGCAAGAACAAAAAACTAAACACCGCATATTCTCACTCATACGTGGGAATTGAACAATGAGATCACATGGACACAGGAAGGGGAATATCACACTCTGGGGACTGTTGTGGGGTTGGGGGAGGGGGGAGGGAAAGCACTGGGAGATATACCTAATGCTAGATGACGAGTTATTGGGTGCAGCGCACCAGCATGGCACATGTATACATATTTAACTAACCTGCACAATGTGCACATGTACCCTAAAACTTCAAGTATAATAATAATAATAATAATAATAATAATAATAATAATAAAATAAAATTAATTAAAAAAAAAGAACCCAGCACAAAGCCAGTCTGCATGGCCTAGAGACATATTTTGCTGGATAATGATTACTTGATTTTCTTTTTGTTTTTGTTGCATTTTTCTGTTTGCTTAGTTCCTGACATACAAGAAAATCACTGTCAAAATATTAGCTTAACATTCGTTAAGGAAACAGAAAGACTTCAGTGACCACACCTTATAAAGCAAACAGTTTTGTAAATCACTTTGGAAAATTTCACTAAAATTAAAAACCTTAACAATATAATAAGTAAATAAATTTTAAAACCACAAAACATTAGTGTGTTTGTAGGGGGGGAGTCTGATTTACAGAGTAACTGCATAGTAATTATAATTATTATAATGTCCAGTTTTCAAAAAAAGTTACAAGGCATACAAAGAATGGGAAAGTAAGGCTCATTCAAAGGAGAAAAATAAATTGACAGAAAATATCTCTAAGGAAACCCAGACATCAAACTTACTAGACAAAGACTTTAAAACAACTCTCTTAATTATACTCAAATGTCAAAAAGAAAACATAAACAAAGAAAGAAAGGAATCAGAAAAAATATTAAAAAGTAGGAATATCAGCAAAGAGATAACAGAAATTCTGGAGTGGAAAACTACAGTGATAAAAATTTAAAAATCACCAGGGCGATTTAAGAGTATATTTGCACACACAGAAGAAGTCATGAGCTTGAAGATAAGATAATGGAAAATATTGACTCTGAGAAACAGATAAAAAATGAGCAGAGACTAAGGAATCTGTGGGACATCATCAAATAGACCAACATTCATATTCTATAAGGATAAATTATGTTGTTAAAAACTTTACCATTCTTTCTTTCCACCTTTCTTTCTTCCTTCCTCCCCCTCCTCCTCCTTTTTACTTTTCTTCCTCTTCCTTTCTCTTCTTCTTTCTCTCCTTCATTATCCCTTTCGCTCTGTTTCTTTTTCTCCCTTTCTCTTTTTCCTTTTCTTTCAATTTTCTCAATTACTAAGAGATGTTTAAATACCCTTACCATGTTAGTAGATATGGTTATTTCTCCCTTTAGTTTTTTGAGATTTATAGTCACTCTAAGTAAAGAGATAACCCAAACATAAGCCTCACAAACAGGCGTCCATACCATTCTTATTTGATCCTGTCATTCTTCATTGCTGTATTAACTTTCTGATGCTTTTAAGGATGTTTTTATAACAAATTGTTTAGTTTTTTCCAATGGAATGTTTATTCTGAATTATCTAATTCATATTGTAAGTATAGAGGGAGTTTAATATAAAATTATTAAACTAATATTTGTGAAAGAATGTATTTGTGCATTTAACAAATATGTTAATCCTCAAACTGTTATTGGGCAGCTGAGCATACAGCAATAAAAATAACATAATTTTTATGTGTACAATATTTATGGAATACGTTACTGGACCAAATAAATAATTTAGTTAATAACATGACAAAGAACAGAAATTGTATACACTATAGAGCATAGTAATGGAATAATGAATGATTAAAGTTATTAATATTAGGTAGAAAATGAAGGGTATCTTTGAGAGCAGAACTCAAGGAAGCAAGCAATTCACCTTATGAGGAAAGAGTTACCTGTGGATAAAGGAGAAACTGAAAAATTTACAAGTCAAGACTTTTTGAGCAAAAACAAAAATATGACTATTAGTCACCAATTCGGTACAGTGAAAAAAAAGTTGAAGAGATATCTTGGAAGTAAACCATGTTGTGGAAGAGCATGTAGGGTTTTGATAATCATGGGATGATTCTGAAGTAATTTTAAATGCGATAGGAATATATGAGATAATTTCACCAGAGAATAACATGATTGTGTTTGCATTTCAAAGGGGTGCATCTGGTGCACTGTTTAGAATAAATAGGTTATGTGACCAAATAAATTGGGAGGCTACTCTAATCCAGAGAAAAAAGGTAGTGACTTAGGAGAGAATGCTGTTAATATGAGTGGTATTAGTGGTGAGAAGTCGTTAGGCCATGGATGTATTTCATAGGACTGGCCAAGAGAACTACAGCTAAATTGGAGTGTAGGGAGTGAAATGGAGAACTCAAAGATGACTCTCAGCACTGGAAGGTGACAGCTGCCACTGAAGCATGCTGATGCCTCTTATTAAGAGAGTTACTTGGGAATGGCAAGATCAAAACTTTTCACTTTCAAATTTATGAAAAATATTGTTTTCAGAACGAATGACTTTGGGATCAGAAAGCCACCATTCTAATTGATGGTTCCATGACTACACAGGCTCACACTCCCAAGAGCAAAAGTAAATCATCACAAAAGTCCTTCCTGATAATTCTAGAGAATGGAGAATTACTGTAACATCTTTCTGATTTTAGGAGAGGCAGCAGTTCCTTTTTTAGCCCAAACGATATTTTTTTTAAAGCTCAGCCAAAAGACTCCATTATAATTTTCAAATGTGTGTAACTTAAATTCTCATATTAAATACCACTATGCTTAAATTAGTCAAAACATTTTCCCCATCTACAACTCTATCTTTTCATTGCAATCATTTTCACAAAAGTGACTGCAGCTCACAGACCCTAAAAGGGGAAAATCCAGAGTAGGTTATCTGATCTAGTTAGTTTTGAAGACAGGATCTAGAGATTATTTAATATGAAATAGGTCACCTGAAATGAAGTGTTTACTGAAAACAGCTTGGATCGGCCCAGTTTTCTACCACTGAACAATGCATTTGGTTTAAAAAACACAACAACTCTGGGGAATATCGGCTGCTTCCAACTGTGTTGAAGGTGTTAAAGAAAAGAGCATAAAATTAAAAATGATCATCTGAGGCCTTTATAGTCTCTGTTCAAGAGACTAGAGTCTTCCATTCTTAACGAAACACCCAAATATCTTAATAATTGGGCAAAATCTAAATATCAGAGAGATAATTTTATCTTAATGATCATTAAATTATAATTGCGATTCAGACCTTGCTACGTCTCTGAGTCAAAAATTAGATCTTTGTTTAGGAATCAGTGGTACTCTGCAACTTGGAAATAGGAAGATTTTAGAAGACTCAAACATTGACTTTCTTGTGTGCAAAAAAAAAGACGTATTGAGATAAGACAAGTCTTTCCTTGCAAGGATACCTCTATGCTCATACAACACCTCCCCTAACGTTACTATAGCTTCCAGGTCACTAACCAGTGTCAGAGAGCAGCCTATGCAACTACAAATTCAAAAGATGTGGAACATAGGGTCAAGCCTAGAATAAGAAGTCTTAGCTAATTAAGTATGCTTTTTCCCCCAAATTCATATTAACAAAAACTTGGATATGTCAGAGAATGCATTCTAAGTTCACTCAACCTAGGAGGGAGAAACATAATTTTAAATTAAGAGCTGAAACATTGTTCTCCTAACAAAAAGCAAGGAAAATGATATATCACACCACAGGAGGGATTTCACAAATTAGTGTCAATATCAAAACCTTAAAATACGCAAGGAAAATGCAGATTCACAATGAACTCTTGTACTTGTTTTGTTCAGAAAAGAGATGGTTCTGAGAGAACGACAGTGAACTAACCCCAGCTGGTTTAGTTGGTGCTTTCAACTGCTGCTTCTGATCAACTCCTTTAGCTAGAATAAATTGATGAGGATTCTGGCATGTGGTATTAGAGATGGTTATTAATTTTTTCCTCTTATTTGCGTTGTTCAATGTAGTAAATACTAGCTGTATATGGCTACTTCAATTCAAATTATTACAATGAAATATACTTCAATATTGAATTTTTTAGTCACTCTTGGTTCATTATTGAATATCTTCAGCTAAGATTTCCCATCTAAATACACTAAGAGGTGGCTTAGTTAACTGGTCGTTCACAAATATTGACGATGTTGTTAACTCCTGATATATTCTCTGCAAAGAGAATATTCATGAGCCTCCTCCTGAAATCAGCAGCCTAGAGATAGTTTTATAAATTGGATACAAGTTGGAAATCTATATACTCTTTAAGTTTTTGAAATATTAGCTTCCCAGGGAAGAAAATCAAATTCATAAGATATGTTAGGACAATTTAACTCCAGATGTTCAAAACTGAAATGACATATTCTACAATATGTGATAAAACCACCCCCTAACAACTTAAAGCAAAACAGGGATTGACCTTAAAGACCTGCCTTTTCCTCATCTCTCAGCCAATCAGTTTTCAAATCTTGCATTTTATTTTGAAATGTACTTATCCCCCTAGTCTGTTGTTTCTAGACTTGGCACATATTTAAGTTTGTTTCCTCTATCTACTGACTTTCCTCTCTTCAAACAGTATCTATGCCTGCCAAATGTGAACATACAAAAAACTAATCAGAATATGCCATTCTGATTTAAACTGATTATTAGTTAATACTCTCAAGATAACATCTGGGTTCTTAGCTGCACTGAATCAAGCCTACTTACATCTTTTTTTTTTGTCTTCGGCTGCACTTTTCCTATCACATCACACCCCAGCAATGACAAGCTGTGCGGGCCTTCTACCCCATTTCCACTATTTTGCCCCTGCCGCCATGGCTTTTTCCGCGCTCCCGCGGCTTTTTGCCCCGCCGCGGCGGGTTTTTGCCGCCGTGGCTTTTTGCCCGCGCCACCGCTGCTTTTTGCACCTTTTTGCCCCCGCCGCCGCGACATTATATGGTTTTTTGCTCCCACTGCTTTTTGCCCCCGCCTCCGCGGCTTTTTGCCTCCCCGGCTTTTTGCCCCCGCCGCCGCGACTTTTTGCCCCCGTCGCCTCCGCTTTTTGCCCCCGCCGCAGCGGCTTTTTGTCCCCGCCACCGAGGATTTTTGTCCCCGCCGCCGCGGCTCTGAGGGGGGGAGCAGCAGACTCGGCTGCCAGCTCTACTGGTGTCTTGGCAAGGGCAGCGCCGAGGGGCGCTCCTGGTCCAGCTCTCCTGGCTCAGGGGGTTCCTTGCCTAGGCGCTGGCACCCCGGGCTCCCTGCCTAGGCCCCTGTGGCCTGCATAGAGCGGCGCTGCACGCGGAGGCGATGGGAGAGAAGAAGGAGGGCGGTGGCAGGGGTGAAGCGGAGGGTGGTGCAGGGGCTGCGGCCAGCCGGGCGCTGCAGCAGTGCGGGCAGCTCCAGAAGCTCATCGTCATCTTCATTGGCAGCCTGTGGGGGCTGTGCAGCAAGTGCGCTGTGTCCAACGACCTCACCCAGCAGGAGATAGGGACCCTGGAGGTAAGGGGTTCGGGGACCCGGGCTGGGCTCCAGGAGCGGCCCGGACACCTCCTTCAGGGCCCCAGTTCACTCCTGGCAGAGTTGCATCCTTGAGCCCGAGTCACCCCCTTGGAGGCTTCCCCTCCCTCCTGCACTCGCTGATGCGGCAGCCAGAGGACCCGGGACCAACCCTCACCTTGGGCAGGATTTGTGGAGCGGGTGCGTGGTGGGAAATGGGATGGAGGCTCCAGGGTCCCATGGGGGTGGGGGTGGGCTGCGCGCGGACATCCTCTTACCCCCTGAATTTCCATCTGGTCCAGCCCTCTCATCTTGTAGGTGAGGAAACCAAAGGCCTGAGGGAGAACTGACTTGCCAGGAACCCCTGTTAAGGAGAATTAACAAAGTGTGTTTATTAAAGAAGAACTAAGTTGGGAGTCAGACCTGGAGGCCTGCGCCCTTGGTTAAGACATTACACCACCTTGAGTCTGGCCTGTTGACTGAGGGTGAGCCACTCCATCCTCGTCTGATTGTGGGGTCTTGACCCCAAGGGGTTTCCTGCAGGAAGAAGCAAATGGGTTTGCTTTCCTAGCTCTGTCCAGTACCTTAGGGACTCTGAGGACTGAAGAGATTCTTGGAGAGCCATCTGGTGTATGTCATGGGTGGGCCTTTTTTGAAGGTCAGTCTACCCAGTGGGCTGGCTCAGCCCGAATGAACTGTCTTGAATCTTTGGAGTTGTCTGTGTACTTTTAAGGGCTTCTCAGCCTTGCACCAAAAGATCCCCCTGGAAATTAGGTGGGAAAACCTTAACTTTTGTGGGGCCTTGTGTTTGTCTTAAAAGTTCATGCACATGGCCAGGTGTGGTGGCTCCCACCTGTTATCCTGTCCTGGATCCCTTAAGTCAAGGAGTTTGAGACCAACCTGGACAATATAGTGAGACCCCATCTCTACAAAAAATAAAATATTAGCCAGGGGTGGTTGTGCGCATCTGTAGTCCCAGCTACTACTGTGGCTGAGGTGGGAGGAGCACTTGATCCTGCACTGAGCTGTGATCTCACCAGTGTACTCCAGCCTGGGCCACAGAGCAAGACCGTGACTCAAAAAAAAAAAAAAAAAAGACAAGAAAAATTCTTGAAGATTTTGCATTCTGTCCCACTATCTGTTGGTTTTCATGTCAAGATAATGTCAGAAATTCTTTACAATTGCTTCCAGAAGGAGTAGCCTTTTGATCTAGTGCACAGGTGTCCAGTCTTTTGGCTTCTCAGGGCCACATTGGAAGAAGAATGCTCCTGGGCCACACACAAAATACACTAATGCTGACAACAGCTGATGAGCTTAAAAAAAAAAAAAGGTTTATGCATAATTTTCATGATACCCACCACCACAGATAGGCAGAAAAGTCCTTGTAGTCAAAGGGTTGGACACAGCTGATCTAGTATCTTGTCGTCCGTTTTGCTTTCTCCCTGATTCCAGAATGCAGGTAGAGATGTAGAGACATGCTCTCAGGACAGTTGTTGAGATAAAAAAATTCGTTGTCATTTATTCCCAAGCACAACTGGTTCTCATTGCATTGAAAAATTCTCCGTTCAAACTGCTGTCACATATAAAATCTATTTATGTAAGTCTGTATTTTTCTGTTGTCTTGGTCTTTGTAGGCAGTAGTGTGTTTTAACCGAGCAAACTGTCCTTCCAAATAATGAAGCCGAAGTCAGCCTACCTGCTTGCCATTTTTCTTCCCCTTCCATTTTTGTAACCTCAGAATAATTGTAAGAATGAATTAAGATTTGTGTTTAAGGCCAGGCACAGTGTCTCAGGCCTGTAATCTCAGCACTTTGGGAGGCGGAGACGGATGTACCGCTTGAGCTCAGGAGTTGAAGACCAGCCTGGGCAACATACTGAGACTCCGTCTTGTATAATTTAATTAAAATTTAAAAAAAGAAGAGAAAAAGACCTGTGTTTAAAATTTAAAAAAAGGGGGGAAAGTGTAATGCAAAATGTGGACTATGCCAGCTATGATTGGGAAAACTAGTTTCTCATACAGCATTATCTGTAGACTTGTATTAGCAGCATACTGGTCATAAGCGTTTTGCTTTCCTCAAATATGATGAGGTAAGCTAATTTAAAGTGTGTTGAGGCTTTCTGCCGCGTGGCTCCTGGAGGTGTTGAGTCCCAATTTAGCCAATTAATTTGGGTTTAGTTTTGATATGGATAAGGGAGACCAGCTTCATTCATGGTGTACACACAGTTTTGCCAATAAGGAAAAAAAAAGCCACCTGAATATTCCTACTCATTAGATGCTAGCTGGAGAGCTCCTACCCCACCCCCACCAAGGCCCGGGCCATTAAAAAGACTCAATGCAGCCTTTCTGTATCTCATACTGTATTCTGCAAGATACTCCTGTGAAAGAAAGTTGTGCTGCATCAGCCATCTCCCTCCTGAAGATCCCTGCGGATGAGGATTTGTGTTTTGAAGGTTCTGAGAATTCCTGCAACAACAATTCTCAAACTTATTTGTCCAGGGGATCTTTTCTTCCACTGAATGTAGTTGGGGAGACACGGCCTTAAGCCTTGAGCAGAGAAAGAGACGAGAAACTGTTGGCTCACTTACAACCAAGTGTTGTGTTTATGTTTTAGGTTTTTATGAAACTGAGGTGCTGTTTGAGGTTCTAAGTGAAATTGGGTGGTTGAAGAGAGGCTGGTATCCCTGTAGACTTAGCCAGCCATGAGAAGTTGCCTTTTGTTGAAGGAGGTGTTTTACAAAGGGAAATAGGGTGTCTCCTGGGCATTGCATTAGCACTTAAATACATGTATCACTGAAATGAAATGAAATGATGAAATGATGAAATGAAGAAATGAAATGATGAAATGAAGAAATGAAATATGAGATGAAATGATGAAAGGATGAAATGAAATGAAATGATGAAATGGAATGATGAAATGAAATGATGAAATGATGACATGAAATGGTGAAATGAAATGAAATTGAAATAATGAAATGAAATGATGAAATGATGAAATGAAATGAAAAGATGAAATGATGAATTGAGGAAATGATATGAAATGATGAAATGAAATGATGAAATGAAGTGAATGATGAAATGATGAAATAATGAAATGAAATGATGAATTGATGAAATGAAATGATGAAATGAGATGAAAAGGTGAAATGAAATGAAATGATTAAATGAAATGAGGACATGAAAAGATGAAATGAAATGATGAGATGAAATGAAATCACGAGATGAAATGATGAAATGAAATCATGAGATGAAATGATGAGATGAAGTGAAATGATGAAATGAAATGATGAGATGAAATGAAATAATGCAATGAAAGATGAAATGATGAGATGAAGTGAAATGATGAAATGATGAAATGTAATGAAATGATGAAATGGAATGATGAAATGAAATGATGAAATGAAATGGTGAAATGAAATGAAATGAAAAGATCAAATGGTGAAATGAAGAAATGATATGAAATGATGAAATGGAATGATGAAATGAAGTGAAATGATTAAATGATGAAATAATGAAATGAAATGATGAAATGATGAATTGATGAAATGAAATGATCAAATGAAATGACGAGATGAAAAGATGAAATGAAATGAAATGATGAAATGAAATGACGAGATGAAAAGATGAAATGAGATGAAATGATAAGATGAAATGAAATCATGAGATGATGAAATGATGAGATGAAGTGAAATGATGAAATGAAATGACAAAATGCAACAATGAGAAGAAATGATGAAATGAAATAATGAAATGAAAGGATGAAATGATGAGATGAAATGAAAGGATGAAATGAAATGATGAAATGAGGAAATGAAATGAAGTGAAATGATGAAATGATGGAATAAAAGATGAAATGATGAAATGATATGAAATGATGAAATGATGACATGAAGTTAAATGATGAAATGATGAAATAAATGAAATGAGATGAAAAGATGAAATGATGAAATGATGAGATGAAATGAAATGAGATGGAATCATGAGATGAAATGATGAAATGACGAAATGAAATGTTGAGATGAAGTGATGAAATGAAATGATGAAATGATGAAATGAAATGTTGAGATGAAGTGATGAAATGAAATGAAACAATGAAATGAAGTGAAATGAAATGAGATGAAATGATGAATTGATGAAATGAAATGAGATGAAAAGACGAAATGATGAAATGATGAGATGAAAAGATGAAATGATGAGATGAAATGAAATCATGAGATGAAATGATGAGATGAAGTGAAATGATGAAATGAAACGAAATGTTGAGATGAAATGATGAAATGAAATGAAAGAATGAAATGAAATGATAAAATGATGAGATGAAATGATGAAATGAAAGGATGAAATGAAATGATAAAACGAGGAAATGAGATGAAATGATGAAATGAAAGGATGAAATCAAATGATGAAATGAGGAAATGAAATGAAACGAGGAAATGAAATGAAATAATGAAATGAAATGATGAAATAGATGAACCAAAAATACTTATTCATTTTTTTTCTTTGCATCCTTCTAAGAGTATTTTAGTGAGGTTAATTTCTAAAAATAAATTGCTATTCAATGACTATACAGTTGGCCTTTGCACCACAGGGGTTTGAACTGTGCACGTCCACTTAGCAAAACCAACAATTCTACATCCTTCTCCACACCCTGCCCATGAAAAGGATGAGGATGAAGACCTGTTTGATCATCTACTTCCATTTAATAACTAGTAAATATATTTTCCTTATGATTTTCTTTTTTCTTTTCTCTGGCATGTTTGTTAAGAATACAGTATATAAGACATATAACATATTAAATATGTGTTAATTGACTGTGTTATTTGTAAGGCTTACAGTAGGCTATTAGTAGTTAAGTTTTGGGGGAGTCAAAGTTATAGTGGACTTTCTACTGTGCAGGGGGGCCAGCACCCCAACCTCCATGTTGCTTAAGGGTCAACTGTACATGTTATTTCCTTTCCTGTAAGAGAAAAATGATGAGAAGGTCTTTTCTCCAATAAGTGTATTCAAAATGTAGCAGATTTGAAATGTGTTGGCGCCACCATTTTGCGTCTCACTTTGAAAACTTATTATTTAAAATCATACTAAAGCCTACCTAACTTTTCCAACCTTAGAAAAAATGTTACAAAGAAAAGGGGTGAAACCATGCTAGTTTGCCCTGAAATTTGAAATTATCTTTTAAAAATATATTTTTACATTAATTACTTCCAAAATAGAGATCAGTTGCATACAAATGGCAGGTCACCCTAATCCACCCTATGACTGCACTTAGATCCATGAGGAATTGTGCCATCTAGAAAGGGCAGAGAAGAGGAATAGAGTGCTCTGCGTCTTGAAATATAAACATGCGCATAGCCACATGCTTAGATTCTGTTGTCACTGTGTACTTACTGCTAGGAAGAGGGCATGTTTGTGTATTTTTATGCTAATTATTATCCAAGTTGTTAATGATTTGCGCTTTCAGAACCATATAAAGATTTTTTTCCTTTCAGATATAAACTATCTTGCATTGTTCTTCTGATCATATGAGGGATAAATTTGCCTAAATATTCTTCAGACCATAATAGTATGTCCATATAAATGCCAGTAGCAAGAGTAGAATCAACCACAACTGCCTTTGTAATTATTTAAAGCATGTCTGCCTATAAGTAATTGGCATTTTATATAATCAAGAATCTTTGATATAATAATCTCTCAACTATTTGAAACATGGCTCACATGTATTAATTTTTTATGCAAATATATATATAATATCAGTGTATATGAAACTAAATTTTGGACTTTAGAACAGCTTCTTAGAATCCTGACTTAAATGTCTACAGTAATAGTTGGCTTACAAAAATTTAGCACACTGTCACTATGATGAAAAAAATTACTATAAATTTATTTTAAAAATTGTTCCACCCTAACATTTAGAATATTCTCACATTTGTGGTTAGATGTGATTGTTCTTAGAATTTAGATAAAAAATGTTCCAGAAAGTTTGAAGAGAAGCACTTTAGTCAATTTTTAGTTGTTGAAGCATGAAGAAATGGCATTTCATTGACATTTTAAAAATTATTCAGATTCCCTCTTTGAATTCAAGTGTTTCAAAGATATCTTATTTTAAAATACCAAAATAGGAATAGAATATGAAGGGCTGGTTATGAGTAATATGATACACTTTTATGAGAGGATGAGATTACAATAACAATACCTCCTCTCATAGAATAGCCAGCAAGTCTCCACTAAATAAGAGTGCCTTGATTTTATAGATGTTTAATCATGGATATTGAGTTAATGTGAACCATTTGTAGACACGGGAGTTTATTAAAGAATTATATAATATCTTTCAAGTATTTAGAATAGTGTTGAAATTAAGCCTGCATCCCCATGATTTTCAGCGGTGCTGATGCCTAATAAACTCAACCCCTTGCATGCCAAAATTGGCTTAAAGCCCATCTGTTACCCAAGCTACACTTCAAGCATCAAGGTTCAAAAATGTGATTTTAAATATGCAAGAGTTTGAGGAATTCACTACTCACACTTTCTTGAACAGTCTATCCAAGTGCATCAAGCAAAACGTAAGTAAAGAAATTTTGACCAAAGGATTGATAGTAATGTTGAATACATTTAATAGTAGATCTAAGATTAAAAGGTGAAATTGAGGGTGAGAAGAGTGTATGAATGCTTTGTGTTCTGACAAAGAGAATGTAGCACCCAGGTCCTACCTGCTTGGATGCATTGCCAGTGCCCACGGTAGGCCATTTTATCCAGGTTTTTAGGTTTTGATTTGTTTTGTTTTGTTTTGTTTTTTTCTTTTCAGGATAGTTAGTCCAAGACCAATAACTCCATAACTGGTAGATTTGGAAGACTTTAATAGTGCTTAACATTTTGTACATAGCTTTATAACAGTTTTCTTTTTCTTTTTTTCTGAGAGATTCTTTTCAATATACCCCATCATGGTTGAACTCAAAAATCATTGCTTATTTAAAATCTACAACTGCTGACGTTTTGTAACGTTCGCATTCCAGGTAATTGGTTTTTTGTGCATTTTCTGTATTTTTCTCCATCAGTCTACCTAGATATTTGTTAGATTTAATATTTTAATATTTTTCTGAAAAAGTGAGCTTTTGCCTTTTTAAATATATACCCAGTTGCTTTAATTTTGCTTTTTCGTGTACTATTTCCTCGTTTTTTGTTTTTTGTTTTTTGTTTTTTTTTGACAAGAAGTCTTGCTCTGTCGCCCAAGCTGGAGTGCAGTCACGTGATCTCTACTTACTGCAACTTCCACCCCCACGTTCAAGCAATTCTCTCACCTCAGCCTCCCGAGTAGCTGGGATTACAGATGCATGCCACCATGCCAGGCTAATTTTTGTATATTTAGTAGAGAGTGGGTTTCACCATGTTATACCAGGCTGGTCTCGAACTCCTGACCTCAGGTGATCCACCTGCCTCAGCCTCCCAAAGTGCTGGGATTACAGGCATGAACAATGGCGCCTGGCTATCTCCTTCATTCTTTATGTTTATTTTACTGGTTTTATCTCTCTCTCTCTCACTGTTTCTCTCCTTCTCACATTCACTTTGCAGTTGTCAAATAGCCCAGGTGATGTTACAGATTTACTCCTTATAAAAGGAGGCATTACACATTACACATGCATCTTAGTGGCCTTACAAAAGTGTTTGGTTTATTTGTATTGACTATTCACCTTTAAAATATTTCAATATTCATTAAAATAGCTTCCAACCAATATTATTAGACTTATGTTTCTAGCTTTCATTTTTGTATTGATATCTGCCTTCATTGCTGTTTGTTTAGGAAATATATTCTGTGTCACGTTATTTCCGTGAAAATTGTTTGAATTTGTGGCATGGTCTAGAAAATGTTAATTTTTGTAAGTATTCTGTATGAACATGAAAATAACATGAATTATAATATTCATGTTCCTTATATAATATTTGCCCTTTTTAAAATCCACTAGCTTCTTTTAAAACTTACTCTTTTAATTTTTTCTTTTATCTATTACTCAAAGATGTGTGTTTGAAATGTCTATAATATTTGGGGGCTTATCCATTTCTACTTACTTTCTGATATTTTTGCTTTATATAATTTGACTCTCTCTCTAAATACCTGTGTGTCTATGTGTGTGTGAGAGAGTGTGTGGTTTGTGTGTATACATATATGTATGTATCAGGCTAATGCACATTTAAGTCATCACATCTTCTTAATAACTTAAAACTTTTATCACACTGGTTAGACTTATTTTAATAAATGTTTCTAACATTCTATTTTGTCTACATAGCAACTTTTTAAAAGATTATATTCATGTAGTATGTTTGTATGTATATCATATATACACAGTATCTGTATTGTTTGAACTTCAAAGTTTCTGTAAATTTATATATTAGTTGCCTCTCTTGTAACTATGATAGAGACGGATGTTTTAAATTTTGCCAATCTTTGTATTTTAACAAAAACGTTGTCTACTTAGGTTTAAGTTAATCTTTGATCATTTACACTTAATTTTGTATTATTAATTTGTTGTGTATATATATATATAATGTCTCATTTTCTCCTATCAGTTTCTGTCTTCTTGTTTTAAAATTATGACTTTTATTTTTATTGTTTTCATAGACGCAACAGAGAAATGCATAATGTCCAGTCAATTTATTAAAGTTCCAAAGTCGGTCGCGTGCGGTGGCTCACGCCTGTAATCTCAACACTTCGGGAGGCCGAGGCGTGTGGATCACGAGGTCAGGAGTTGGAGACTAGCCTGACCAACATGGTGAAACCCCGTCTCTACTAAAAATACAAAAATTAGCCAGGCATGGTTGCACGCGGCTGTAATCCCCGCTACTCAGGAGGCTGAGGCAGGAGAATTGCTTGAACCAGGGACGCAGAGGTTGCAGTGAGCAGAGATGGCGCCACCACACTCCAGCCTGGGAGAAAGAGTGAGACTGCTTCTCAAAAAAAGAAAAAGTTGCAAAGTCATACCTTTCTGCTCTTGTCAGGCAATTAAGGGGTTTTTGAATACTTCAGCCCTAACAATTTGCTTCCTAACATACATATTGCAGTGCTTATCTAATTTTAAATATCTTTTTGTTTCAACACCTAATTTTTTATTTAGATCTATCTGTATGTTTACAATATATTTTGCTCTGTGTTCATTCTTTGATTTCAGAACTTCAATCTTTCTGAAGCATGTTTTCAGAGTTTCTTTTTAGTTTCATTAGTGGAATTCTGCTGGTGGCGTTTTGTTTTTTGTCTCTAAATATGTTATTTAGCCATAGGTTGATGAATATTTTTCTTGGTTGAGAATTTCAGAATGGCATTATTATTCTTAACAAATAATATTGTTTATTTTACCTTTCATGCTTTCAGATTTCAATATGATTAAAGGTAATTTGATTTTTCTAGTGCTCATTGAAATATTTTTCCCTTCCTGATTGTTTACTATTTCTCTACGAGATATGTAGATGTAGGTTTATCTCCATTGTAGCTTGCTTAGCATGCATAGAATTTTTGAATACACGGATTAGTGTCTTACAAAAGTCTAGAGAAATTTCAGCCAAAATACCATCACATATTGTCCCTTCCCGGTTCCCTTCTTCTATGAGAACACTCACTAAACACATGCTACACTTTCTCACTGTATCTTCCATGTCTCTTCATGATTCTGTCCACATTGTGCATTTTTAAAAATTTTCTGTAATGCATTCTGAAATATTTATGAACTCTCACCATGGCCATGTCTAATCTGATGAGTTCATTTTTGAGTTTTTAATTTAAAATACTATATACAAACTACTTTTCAAATTTGCAACATCAATTTTTTAGTCTCCTAAAAATATATTCATTTTTTAAAAAATTTTTTGAAAGCAAATGTGCTTTATAATCTAACAGTGATATTTCTACTAATGAACCTTTGTGGATCTGTTTGTACTCTTTTTCTATTTTCCTTTCAAATGGTGGAATATCATTTCCTTGTGTACTTAGATGCCTTTGAATGACAAAGATTTATTTTTCTCTGAAAATTATTATTGTGCACTTTTGCATATTAGTAAGAAGAAAATTTGCCAAAGAGAATTTGAATTTTTTGTGAGTCTACTAAAGGCACCACCATTCTGGGACCACATTATATTAATTCTTGGCCTAAAGGTGTTTGGACGTATGTTTGGACAGCACATTTAAACAATTTTTAAATTAATTGCTGTAAATCATTAATGATTGAGTTTCTTTAAATCTGTCCAATCTCAAGTCATTTTTATTTGCCATTTCCAGGGAATGTGAAATCGGACTAATTTACCTCTGATTCTTCTTTATACTGAGGATGTAAATTTTGGTCCTAGCTTTAGGGAGGAGCTCCTGTGTGATGCCCTATCTTGGGAAAAACTATGTATTTCTTTACTGTCCTATGTGATGTATGACAGTAGGAATCTGCACTCATTCATTTTGCTACATGTCCCTAGGGCAAAATCAGTTTCAGTGTTTAGGTGTATTTTGTCTGCTCCCTGCATTCCCATGGTTTTGACCTTATATTTTACTTTTTTTTTTTGTGAACATATCACTGCTTCAACTTTTTCCAGTAATATAATCAATTATACTATAAGAAAGAGAAAAATTTTGATAAAACACAAATTTCATGTTTTCCTACTCTAAATGGCTTTTACGTAAAAATACAGGTAAAATTTATTTGTGCTTTTTTGCTATTTCTGTTTTGCTATTCTCTGTTTGTCTATGTCTTCGCCACATAGACACAATTAGGGAATTTTGTACACTCTTGTGCCAACTGCTTTGATAGTAACAAAATGTATTTCTCGAACTCCTAGGTATAAAACTCAAGTATCCACAATTTAAATACTTTTTTGCTCACTTCTATTATGTTTCCAGTCTCAATAGAAATCGATGCCAATCCAGAAATACAAGCATTATTCTAATACTTCTCACACATTACTGATATAGATTAAATTTTCTAGATCTCCTTAAATACTATCATTTTTCACTTATTGTATCTTAACTGTTAAGTTCAACATTTTCTATAATATTAATATATGTGAAAATTTCCTTACTTTCTTATTTGTCCCAGGTTCAATGTTTTGCAGTCTCTACCTCACCCTGTGAAGCATAAACATTGTACATGCTGTACAAATAATACATCGTTCATGTACTTAGAGATTGCACAATTTTTATTTGGTTGACAATAGCTAATGTTTTCTTCTTCATTTTCTATTTCCTGATTTTTCTTTATTTAGTATATACTACACTATCATAAAAATAAGGACGTTTTACAAACTAAAGCAATAGCAACCCTAGGAATAAAATGCACAAATAAAATATATAAACATACATTTAGATGTACCACGTAACCTTGTAATTTATTTAGACATTTAATTTTAGTAAAATTTTAATTAAAGTCTGTGTATTATGTGTCATCGTCTTAGTATTTTTTATATAACAAATTTTGTAAATCAAAAAGTCTCAATGTCATTATAAACTATCTTGGCAGAGGATGATCTCAAAGGAATAATTTCTCTCCCAAATTACGCCAATCAGAATTTCAGTCTACCATAATTCTTTTAATCAGTTTCAGAGGAATAATAAATTTCAAAATTGTTCAAGGTACTTCTTTTATTTCAAGTACCTTTTGACTTGTAAATTCTACAGGTGTAAAACTGTAGACAGACTGATACAAACATATTCTAATTCACTCAAAATTATATGGACCTATTTTAAAATCTAGATTTTAAAATGTCGTGTCAACATACACATGTTCTCCTTGTGAAATAATTGCTTTTTATTCTCTGGATAGAATAATTTAATCTTTAAACAATTCACTGTTAGAAATGAAATATTACATAAGGATATGCTTATAAAAATAATTCCCAACTAGCTTTTCAATTCAGAAATATATGTGAAAAATCGTCAAACATCTAATGGATTTCAAGGAGAAATGGGTTAGTAATTTATTCCATATGTCTCAATTTTTCCTAGACTCAAGGCTTCCTTTAAAATAATTGTAGGCATTTAAGAAACCATGTAAACTAAGAAGAAATTGTGACACTGCCGCTTAGGCTTTTTAAATCTTTGGACATGATTCAATATATTTTTTAAATTGTATCTTAATTAGACATGGTGAGTTCACCATCTTCCTGTCAGTATAGCATCCAAGCTGATTATGATAGATTAGAAGTTCAACTATCAACTGTGTTCTGAGAGTCTAAAAAAATAAATGAACATATTTGTTTGGGTATTCTTAAAGCAGGAGTGAGGACACAGTGAAAGTGAGACAAGGAAAAGAGAACAAAATAAAACAGGAAAGATAGAAAAGCCAATAACACACGTGTTAAGAGGTAAGTTCCTGTGTTAGATATCTGGGCTTAATTGTATGGGAAGCTATGTGAAGCATGCCTCAGAATTACATCACTGAATCCAGGGAGATTCTTCTTATTTACCCTCACCTTTTCTTCACACTTCATGCCCAGTAACAAGCTCCCGTGCTGCTAGAGAAAGTCCTCAGCTAGAAACTGGTGCAAATTCTGGAGATGAGACCTTGTAGAGTGTTAAGAATGGTTTTCTTCCCAGCAGCTACAGGTAAGGAATAGGGGCTGGGCTATTAATACATCTGCTACAAACCAATAAAGCCCTTATGCTCCTTTTGGTGATCGACAATGTATTTAAAAATATTAGATGATCAAGAAGGGCTGCAGAAAAGAGGAAACAGAAACAAACAGCACACCTCTTGGTTTATTTTTATTCATTTCATCAGTTTCAAGGAAAATGTGTTGGGAGTTCCTGGCATAGACAATGTCACAAAGACATATTTTCAATAGTAGTGCTATCCCTAGGGCAGAGAAGACCCAGAGAAAGCCCAAGTGGCTGCTGGAACAAAGTCAGACACCGTGCCACCTGTCCACACTCCTTGGCTCTGCCATCATACTGAAGATCGCTTTAAAGGACTGGCTTCCCTCCCCCCAAAATTAAACGAGCACAGACTGAGAAACTGAATGTAGGAGACAGCAGTGGATTATGCTGTTCTCAGGGGTCACCTCAGGTTTGGAAGCATTCTTTCAAATTAACCCATCTCAGGCCATCTGCAGAGAAGAAAGGTGGTACCTAACTTTTTTTCTTGTCAGCATTTGGTAGGGGTGTTTTATTGACCAAATATGTTCCCACAACTTAGTTTTTTGTGACTAACTAAATATGGTAGATTTTTAAATTTTATCATCAAAATCTATAGACCATTTTTGATTAAAATAGACTTCATATCTATGTCCTGCTTTTCTTCTTCTTATTAATTACATTGCTGTATAAAGGAACAAGACTTCAGAATCAAGAATATCTTGTCTCTTGGCATTGAATTTATACAAGGTGCTCTTTCTTTAATGCTGTCTCAAAGGACATATTTTTACTCATTAAAAAGGAAGATCGGAATCTAGTTGTATGCACTGCTCCAACATATTAATAATTAAAATTAGGAGGTAAATGTGGTCAAAGCTATAGAAAGACTGAGATGTCATTTATATTGATTACTGTATAGCACTCTACAAACAGAAATTGTTAAATAATAGTTTATATAAATATTTTGTAGCATTTCAAATATTTGAGTGCTTGAAGTTTCTCCTCTTATATAGTTCAAATTATCAATTTAAAGACTTACTCCGCTAGTTAATATGTTTTTAGTCTCGTTTGAGTGATTATATAAAAGCAATTTTCAGTTAAATGTGTTCCGCTTACATAAAACATTACAAATTATTGAGGATTTAATTATTCATGTTCCTGTAATGTCTTTAGAAGATTTTCTTATTATTACCTATCAATATATGTATGCTTTGTCAAAGAAAAATCAAACATATATATCATTGAAATTGAAACTTTTTAAAAGTACTTATTAACTCTATTGAAAAACCACATCCATAGGAACAATTACAATATAATATTGTGAACATGTAAACATATACCCTATGTCTATTTTATGTATAAGCATATATGATTAAAAATATAGTTAAGAATTTTTAAACCTAGTATTATAAAGTAAAAATTAGTTAACTTCTGATGATTATTTGTTAATTAAGATAAAATTATTTTGATTTGTGTGATTTTAAATAAAGAAAAATATTAAATTACATGACAAAAATTATTTAGAAGTGTTTATGATTTTTACATTGGTTTTATCACTTTATTCCACTACTTTATTTTAAGATGACCTGCCTTGTTTAAAACACTGTATTCATCTTAATTAAATTAAATTCCATTTATAAAAAAATTAACAAATGATTTGCTCTATTGTACAGTGCGGTTATAAACTGAGTCAGTCTCTCAAGATTTGATCCCCATTATCATCATGTGTGGCCCTATTTGTTTTATAAATGTATTGTCTTTTTCCTTGCCTGTCACATCTCTATTGCTCTTTCATTTTTCTCTTTGTCCCTTATAGGGAGCATTGCCTATCTCTAGATTAAGCAAAAGTTGCATCGTAAAAAAGCACAATAACCTGCTCAATCTTTCTCATACAGAGAAATGTTTGTAAAGTAATTAAAGTGTAGATGATGATACAAAAAGCTTGATTAAATTAGATGCCAGAGTACCCTTGTGATTCAGAATATGAAAGGTATTTAATTTCCTTGAAATCATTAATTGCTGAGTGACATTAATTAATGCCAATATTCCAGAAGTTGTTCTAGTTAGTGAAATGTATGCAACATGCAAAAGATTTAGAACTCTGAAGGGCAACATTATTCTATAATTAAGAATTAAGAATTAATTCACATTAATTATTGGGGAGAAATAATTATTAAAAATTAATGACTGAGAAAATGTTTTTATTTTTTATTTAGAAAATTATTTTGTGCATGAGCATTACCGCAAGTTTTGCAAGAAACATAAATTTAAAGAAACAATTATGTGCACAAGATGAATTTAATAACATCTTGATATTTTCCACGATTACAGTTTTATTTGGTAAATATTTAAATGCACATCATCTACAGATAATAAATGAATCTTGGAAATCTTGTAGGTAAGGGTAAATATTAGGATGCATCCAGTTACATTTACACACACATACAGTTACATTTACACACACATACATGCATACAGACTGATACCCGTGTGTATATATATATATGAATTTACTAATTGATTTTAACTAATATTTATGAGAGCCAGTTGGATTGATATATATTGTTGAACCTGAAAAATATTATATATGTGTTTAAAATACACACAGAAATAAATAGTAATTGCACTAGGCATTTGAAACTGTACTAAAATATAAGCTGTGAATATTTTGTGATCATTACAAATTCTTACACTGAATATTTTTATTTTTACAATATTAATATGTTTGATACCTGTGTACATTTTTTACAATGTGTTATTTTATTTTTTGTCATACATTCATGTCATGCATAATAACATTTCTGTCAAAGATGGATTACATATACAAAAGTGGTCCCATGAGATTATAATACATATTTACATACTTTTCTACGTTTAAGTATGTGTAGATACATAACCTCTTACCACTGTGTTCTTATTGCCTGCAGTATTCAGTACAGTAATGTAGTACACAGGTTTGTAGCCTGGGAGAGAGAGGATCTACCATATAACCTAGACGTGGTAGGCTGTACAATCTAGATGTTTGTAATATTCTCTGTGATGTTTGCAAAATGATGAAATTGCCTCTGGATACATCTGTTAGAACGTATCCCTATCATTCAGTGATGTGTGACTGTACTAAAATGCTCAATGTAAGTTTCAATGCCCTCCATAAAATTGTTGTACTGTGAAATACAAATCTCTCACCCATGGCCTGAATATGTTTGCAAACTAAGCAGATCATGGGAAGAAGAATGTGCTGGCATCGCTGGGATGATTTTCTCACACTACATGAATAATATCTACAGACTTCGTGAATATGAGCCACTTGCATAGAGTTAAAGTAGGCATCTCTTTGCTGGGAAATTTATCAAATGGGAGTATGAAGTGTTTTTAAAAGATACTTGTTTGTTTGTAGCTGGTAGGTCTACAGTGGCTCATGGCAATGGTTGAGGTTGCTAAGATTTGGTGGAAGAAGGCAAAATGAAATGGCCACTTATATGGTATATGGTATATGGATCACTTGTTTCTGTTGAGTTACAGACTCAGCTGGCTATTTCTCCCAATGTTAGTTATTTGGAGAAAAAAATGTGATGGTAATTTTGGGGTAACAAATACAATATTTGATGAAAGCAAATTTATTGAGGGTTAGACAAACTACAAGATACTTTAGGCTGCAAAGTCAACACGAGACTTCTGGCCCAAATTGTGCAGAGTTTGCGTCCAGCTGCAAAGTTCAAAGGAAGAGGCCATATAAGATGATTCTCACTTCTGACACCAACTGCCAGTTCAGGGTTTTCCCCCTGAACACCCTCAGTTTCAAGAATTTACTAGAAAGACTCACCGAACTCATTGAATGCCATTGTACTCATGGTTTATAATAGAGAAAGGTAGAAATTAGGACCAATTGAAGAGACATATCATATAAGGTGGAATCTAGGAGATTTTGAATGTTAAGTTTCCATTGTCTTCAGGACATATTACCTGTCATTGTTGTACAGCAATAAACATGGAGTACTACCAACCTGGGGAGCTCACCTGATGCTAAAAAGACACTATTTTGAAAATGAAAAGACAAATGAAAGGATGAGATAAGATGACCTTCCACATTAAGGCACTGGAAATAATAGCAAACTAAACCTAAAGCAAGCAGAAGGAAGAAAATAAAAATTTGAGAAATTAATAATTTATAATAATAATATTTGTTAGTATTGAATAATTGATATTAATTCTTGACTAGCTTTTTTAAAAAAGAGAAATATTCACTTCCCAATTTATTCTGTGGGGCCAGTGTTACCTTGATACAAAAATTAGTCCAAATAGCATAGAAAAATAAATGCAAAATTCCTTAAAAAATACTAACAAATCGGATCTAGCAACATATAAAAGAATTATACACTATGACAAAGTTAAATTTATACAGGTAATCCCAGGTTGGTTTAACAGCCCAAAATCCATTAAGGTAATACATCTTATCCATAGAATAAGAAACGAGAATTGCATGATCATCTCGATAGATTTGGAAAAGACATTTAACAGAATCCAAATTCTTTAATGATTAAAAATAAAAATAAAAACTCAATGAACCAGGAATAGAGAACTTTCTACACCAGATACATGGCACCTGTGAAAAGCCAACAGCAAGCATGCAACTTAATGGTAAAGGATGCTTTCCTGCTATGGTCAGAGATAAGAATAGGATATATACTTTGACCTCTTCTAGTCAACACTGTACTAAAGATTGTATGCAGGGCAAATCAGCAACTAAAAAAATAAGAGTCATCCATATTGAACAGGAAGAAATAAAACTTTATTTGAAAATAACATTCTTGTATATAGAAAATTTTAAGGAATCCACTGAACGATAGAACTAGTAAATTATTTCAGCAATATTACAGCATACAAGATAAATTTACAAAAATCAATTGCGGACATCTACAATGAAAACCCCAAAATGAAATTAAGAAAACACTTCAATTTAAAATAGCATCAAAAAAAGAAATAATAATTAATTTGGAAAATGTGATACAAGAGTTTACTCTGAAAATTAAAAATTATTGTTTAGAGAATATCTAAATAATTAGCAAACATCTAACAGCCATGAATTGGAAGATTTAATATTGTAGTACTTTACAATTTAAACTACAGATTTGATGAAATCCCTGCAAGTATCCCAACAGACTTCTGTCTAGAAACTGACAAGCTGATTCTAAAATACACATGGACTTGTAAAGGACTCAAAATAGCCAAAATAATCTTGAAAAAAGAAAACATATTAGGATAATTCACACCCCCATGATCCAAACCTTACTGAAAAGTATCAGTAATCAAGACAACCCAATACTGATGAAGGAAAAATATACACATTGATGGAAGAGAATTGAGAGTCCATATATAAAACTATGTGTCTATAGTCAATGGATTCTTACAGTGGTGCCATGTGCAATTCAATGAGGAAGAGACAGTCTTTGAACAAACTGGGTCAACAACGTACACGTGGATCACCACTTGCAAAATAATAAATTCGAACCCTTACCCCAAAGCATACAAAAATATTAACTCAAATGAATTAAAGACACACATGCGAGAGCTAGAATAAAGCATATGGGAAAATCTTCAGGATTTTGGATCTAGCAAAGAAATAGCTGTAACGCCGAAAACATGAGCAACAAAATAAAAATTAGATATTTAAAATTTCTTAAAAATTAAAGACATTGGTGTTTCAAAGGACAACCAAGCAAGTCAAAAGGCAGCTCAAAAATTGTGAGAAGATATTTGAAAAACACGTATCTATATGTCTGTGTATATATATATATATATATATATATATATATATCTTGAATATAGAAAAATTGCTTCAACTCAGTAACAAATATCCCAACTCAAAACTGATAAATGAGAGGAATAGATGTGTTTCCCAAGAAGATACACGAACGGTCAATAATCCCATAAAAAGATACTCAATAGCATCACTCATCAGGCAACTACAAATCAAAACCACAGTTAGATACTCTATGGCTAGAACTGGCCACTTTGGAAAATAATTTGATGGCTTCTAAATATATTAAACATAGAGTTGTCATATGACCCAGAAATTTATTCCTAGGTATACACCCAGATTATTGGAAAGAGGTGTTCAAACACAAATTGTACACAAGTATTTTTAGCAGCAGTATTGAAAATAGCCAAAGGCTGAACACAACTCAAATGTCAATAAAAATATTATTGGATAAACAAAATGTTTTATCCATGAAATTGAATGTTATACAGTTATAAAAAGAAGTAAAGTACCAATACGTACATGAACCTTGATAGCATTATGCCAACTGAAAGAAGCCAGGCAGAAAAGGCCACCTATTGTATGATTCTATTTAGATGAAAACAGAATAGGAAAATCTACAGAGACAGAAAACAGATTTGTGGTTGCTTAGGATTGAGTAGGGGATGGGTGCATAGGAGGTTAACAGCTAGAGAAGGTGGGGTTTCTTTTTGAAGTGATGAAAATGCTCTAAAATTCATTGTGATGATGGCTCCACTTATCTATGCATATACTAAAAGCCACTGACTTGTAGATATTAATGTGTGCACTCTACACTATGTAAATTATATCTCAATAAATCCTTTCAAAAATATACAGAAGAGTAAGGGGTTTTGGAATGTTGCTACGGGGAGGCAGTTTGAAATACTGAATAGGCCTCATCGAGAATGTGAAGTTTCAGTAAAGACTTGAAGTTGAATGAGCTGATGAATGGATATATGGAGGGCTATCTTTCCAAGCCAAGAAATTAACTAGAGTCTTGGTCATAAGGCAGCAGCCTGTTAGCATGTCCAGAGGACAGTGAGGTGGCCAGGACCACTGGTAAGATCAAGGGTGAAGACATAAAAGAATTTTGGCGGTTAACATGCGGCAGATCATAATGGGCTTGCAGACCATTGTAAGAATTGTTGTTTTTAGTGTACATGACATGGGGAGACAAGTCATTATCCCATTATCAATATTTTAATAAATTGGATCCATGAACCAAATCCAATGAGATTAAATCAATTAATAATAATATGCAAATTTGTATTAAAATTATAAGAATTACTTTCACATTTGAGAACAGGAGAGTCATGATTGTTTATCAGCAATAATAAACATTATTAATTTTAATTGTGATCAGCTAATTGAGATTAGTTGCAATATATCATGCTTTATAATGTGACTGTCAAAAGGAAAATATGATTGTAATCTTACATTACATCTATCAATGTCTTTGATTCATAAGACTATAGAGTAAGCCCCTACTTTTCAAAGCCAACTTATGAGGCAGTGACATCTTATGCAAGTTTGCTGCTTTCTGCCACAGTGATCCTTTGTCAGCTGGCACAAATTGTTTCACAAACGCCCCTAGGTCTAAAAATAGTTTGGATCGCAATGATCACAGAAACACCTTCATCCCTTCAGAAATACCTATCAATTACTTCCAATACAGAATGAAAAATTGACAAAGGAAATATGTGGATTGTAAAAACACCAGTTAGCTTGCATCTACATGAAAGAAAAATGCCATTTTTATTATATTAGATCACTGTTTTACATGAGTTTTGGCACAGCACAATGTTGAACCAAGGGCAAAGAGAGATGAATTAATGAAGTCTTAAGATATCAAGAATTTGAAAGAAAAGGCAGGTCATCTTTGAAGGTTAGTGACATAGCATTCATCTTCTGTTGTCACCTTTTCCGTCATTCCCTGTATGCCTGAGGGACAGGTTTCACTCAAGTTCAGAGAACAGCATGAAAAATTAGATACCAATTAATCTTTATGAAGTGAGCTGCATTTCTAGCCAGACTGAGCTTGCGTTTTAGCAGGAAGCATTTTTGGGAAATGTTTATGTTAGAGTTTGCCCTTCTTGACAAGGTGATACATAAATGTCTACTTTATAGACATGAATTAAGATGGGAAGATATTTGGGGGAATCATTTACTCAAACGCTAAATAATAAAGGTACACAAAGGGCAAATTATACTAGATTTCTTTCCCACTTGTTTTCTATGTCTCATGCAATTCACCTTGATTCACTTCAGTTTCTGTTTAATGTAGAAAGTGGCATTTTCATTATTTTAAGCTTCTAGCACAATGAAAGAATTTCTCTTTTTCATGAACAGGATCATAAATGAAAGGGAGGAAGAGTGTCCTATATCATATTTATTGTTCAACAAAACACTGCTCCACGGCTTAAATTCAGTTTAAAAAAGAGAATTTATTGAACATCTAACACATACATAAAAGGCAGTAAAGACAAATCAGAAGAGGGCAGGATATTGAAGTATACAGACTTCAATGCTGAGTTTTATATCTTAGAAAGTTACTCCACCTTACAGAGGCTCAATTTCCCCTGATTTAGGAAGGCGATGCTAATGGGTATTGCATAGGTGCAAGCATAAAAGTGTTGTATTTAAGAGAATCCCACAAGCTTGGTATAAGGCAGAAAATAAATAGATGTGACATGAATAAGTAGTTTATTACATTTGTATGCTACCTGCGGACTAGAGGAAGCAAGAAACACAGCCACTATGCTTGATTAGCATTACAGAGATGGTACAATGATGGTTGCCAGAAGCTGGGGGTAGGAAGAAATGGGGAAGTATTGTTTAATGGGTATAGAGTTTCAGTTTTACAAGATGAAATGAATTATGGAGATGGATAGTAGGGACGGCTGCACAATGTTATGACTATGTTTAGTACCACTGAACTGTACACTTAAAGTGGTTAACAGGGTACATTTTATGTTATGTGTATTTTACCACAATAAAAAAATAAAATACCTTAGGAACATTTTCATGAAAAATCCCACATAAAATTCATTTTAATGCACGTGTTTATGCATAGCTTTCTATTTTTCTCTTTTCTCTTTATATTCCAAATTCTAATCAGAGAAGGGAAACCCCTCTGTACCTCCAGGATATTCAGTAAAGACCACTGGAGGTTCATGCCCTAGTGACAGTGCTCATTTAGCTCCAAATTACAGATTGCTCTAAACAAACTCCACAAAGTTTAAAGAGAAGATTTAAAACAACAACAGACAAATACTCATCCTGAATTTACTGAACTGCCTGCCATAACATTGTTCAAAGGTAGTCAATAAAATCTAGATATTCAATAGCATAAAATCAAAATACCAAAAAAAAACTCTGACATGCAAAGAAGCCGTAAGATATATATAATTAAGATATACATTAACAGGATAAAAATAAGTCATTTATAAATGACAGAAAAGAAGGAAATTTCAAGGTCCTTAAAGTAAATATATTTTATAAATACATATAGATAAATACATACATATGTCAAGGTACTTAAATGAAAATTGAACATAGGAGAAAAATAGAAGTTATAAAATGAAAAATGTGACATGTATAGATGAAAAATAAATATTTGAAATAAAAATTCCATGAGATAGAATAAGTCATGGATTTTACCCTAACATCAGAAAATTTATAGAAAAAAATAGAAGCTTTACAAACTAAAGGACAAAGGGTAAACTAAAATAAGAAAGCCAGAAACTCACCGATACATCAGACAATATGCAGCAGTGTAACATACATGTAATTAATATCTCAAAGAGGATGGGTGGGGGAATTATAGGTGAATAAAGAATGGTACACTCATTCCTGAGGGCACCGAGGAGGGAGGATAGCTTTAGATTTCTAAGGGAGGGTATTATCCATTCATGAAGGTCCAACCCATGACCAAACACCTCCCAGTAAGCCCCACCTGCAACATTGGGGATCAAATTTTAACATGAGATTGGAAGGGGCAAGCATTCAAACCATAGCAAGAGTTAAATTTCCTTTTTAAAAAAATCACTGATATGATTCCATTTCACCATAGATAAAAGCTAGTATTTCAGCCTACCATCGAGTGTGCTTATAGCTCACCAAATGGGCACTCTGTCTCGGGAATACAGATTTGCCTAGAGGTATCCTAGTGCAGTCAAAGAAAGAGCAATGAGGGATAGAAAAGGTTAGTGATGGAGACACCAGCGCTGCATTTTGCAACAAACAATGTAAAAATTTTATGGATTGGTTCTGCTAACTTACTACAGTTTACTTTCCTCTCAGGTGGGAGAATTGTTGCGTTTTTTCTCAAGATAGAAAAGCAATTCAGATAATCTGAAATCTCCACAAGAAGGATAAGAAGCATAGCAGAAATTATTCTAGGCAGGAAGTCAATCCTTTCAACTGTCTGTGCTCCATAGAAACAATTGTCTGCACTGGGAGTCATATGAGGTACAGACAACAGCCAGACCTCTGATCCTCTCATTAGTGATTTCAGAAGAAATTACCAGTCAACTGAGTAATTCACTGAGTAAAGTAAACCTTTGGCACTGAAAGAGGTTAGACGGATAACTATTTGTATCACCATATTCATGAAGCTGGAATATTTTCCATTACTGGTATCACATCCGAATGGAAGATGTTAAAAGGTCTCTCATCTTGTAAGATGGATATGAAAGAACATTTTCTGAGAAATGAAATTATTAATACACCAGCGAGGTGGATGGAAGAGAAAAAAAAGAATAATCAGCTTGAGTTCTTCTCCTTGATAAGACAACTCACTAAAAACATAAAGAGAAAAATACAAGTTTAAAATAATTAACCAGAAGACGACTCTAGAGTTTTTAAATTGCTTATAAGATTTTAATTTGCTCCAAGTTGAAAATAATTATATTGCTTGTGTTTTAAGGCACATAATGAGCAAGTATATCACACATGATAGTTTCAGCAGTAAAATGTTATCCGTTAACAGCTGGAACTCATAAAAGCATAGCACAATGTGAAGACGGAATTTGCTAAAATAAACCATCTGCTGAAAACTACTATTCTGCAAATTTAAAAATAAAGTTTAAATGTTATTTGTCTTATTTAATAGGTCTGTGAAAAAAATGCGCTCTTTGAAAAGTAGCTGCTACCTTAATTAATTCTTTATGTTAGACGGCTGGTTACAGTAATGCACAGTAAGGTGCTACATAGATATATTGCTAAATTTTCTGCATGTGCTATGTATTTGGCTTAAATGATTTGAAATTTTATAGATAAAATAACAAATGTATATTTAAATGTTTTGACACAAATTGCAAATATACCTTTAAAAAGCGTCTTACACTCTAAATATTATTTGTCACCTATATATTTGTCTTTTCTCTATAGGAAAGTTTAAATTTTTCCCTTGAAGCTTTAATTATTTGAGTCTATAAAACAAACTGATAATGTACAAATTAACAGGAAAAAAAGGTTTACACATATGTGCACAAGTATGCACTTGGAGTTTACATAATATATATAAACATACCTATACAAATATTTGTATATTATAAATAGATATACAAATATATACTATATATATAAAAAATCCAGGAAAGGCAAGGTAGTCAAGACGCCTATGCTGTCTTGAAGTTACAGAAAACACAGAGCTGTAGGTTGGTAAATCAGGCTTTGTGGAAGACAGGTGACGAAAAGGAAGAAAGAGGAGCCTGGCAGCAGAGGTGGTCTTGTTACATGGATGAAAGCTCACAGGGAGCAGCCCTCCTCTTGGGAAGTATAGATAGGAAATGGTTTTTAGAAATGTAAACGTGCCAGGTTCAGTTAATTTTTCCTAAACCCAGACAAGGGAGTATCTCAGGGAAAGCCTGTCTATATCAATGCAGATTTTCTCTACAAATGCAAATCTCCCCAACTAACACAGCTTTTCAGCTATTCTTGTAGAAGAAGCTACCTCCAGTCTTCCGAGTAGCCATCTTGAAATATGTCAAAAAGCTGCCCAGGCACACGCCTGTAATCCCAGCACTTTGGGAGGCTGAAGTGGGTAGATCACCTGAAGTCAGGAGTTGGAGACCAGCCTGATCAACATGGTGAAACCCCGTCTCTACTAAATACAAAAAATTAGCCGAGTGTGGTGGTGCATGCCTGTAATCTCAGCTACTTGGGAGGCTGAGCTAGGAGAATTACTTGAACCTGGGAGGCTGAGGTTGCAGTGAGCCAAGATTGTGGCATTGCACTCTAGCCTGGGCAATAAAAGCAAAACTCCATCTCAAAAAAAAATGTATTTTAGGGTAATATTTTGAGTATCTTTACCTCCATATGTACAATAAATATGATTGTGCTTTTTAATCTTTTCTGTGGAGAAAACACAGGTGTGATTTCTAGTGTAGCTGAACATCGTTTATTTGACAATATTGCACTTGTGTGTGGGTGTGTGCGTGTGTAGCTACTCTTTAATTTTGTTCTCACATAATGATTAGATATTAACAATTAATACAGTAAAATGTATGTTTTGCAATATTTCTCCATGTTATCATGCTTTAAATTAGTTTAATCATGCCCCTATAATGTGTACATTTTAACCTTTGACTATAGATCTCAATCTTACTTTGGTTCCTGAATTTGAATTTATGCTAATAAAGTCCTACAGCTAAAAAAGATTATATAAACTTATCTACATTTTTACTAGTATTCTGGTGTCATTTTAAATTATGTAATGAAATCAAATTTTAATTTGGATTATTGTTATCTGAGTTAAGGATATAAATTTTTAATTTTCTTATAAATATTACATAATTATTTCTGAACCATATATTGACTAATCTTCCCTTTATATGATGTGCATTATAAGAGCTTGGGATTTTTTCATTTGCAAAGATGAATGCTTGAGAAGTAGATATTTAATCATAACATTTAAAAATCTACTGGATAACCTAGAATTGAAAAATAGCCTATAGGTTGAAATACTCCTGTAGTGAAGAAAGGAAATAACTAATATACAGTGATAATATAAATATTATAAGTATTTATTTTATTATCGCCCTGAAATTTGACAATACAAACATGTAATATCTACTTATCATCCATATATCAGGTCATAAAAAATCAATACGTTCTTCAAAAATTTAGCATAACAGAAAATGCACTCTCTTTCCTTGATGGAATTAAGTTACAAATAAAAGTAAAAATAAGTAGATAAGTAGATGGAAGTAGATGTTTAAAAACAAAGTATTTGTTTTGGATAACATAAAATCTCAATTGACAATTCCAATATTTCCAGAACTTTGCCTGTCAACTGGTGGAGAGTTTTCCCCAGGAGACATTTGTCAATGTCTAGGGTTATTGTGGGGATGTCAAGACTGGTGGAGGTGTGAAATTTAGAGGTCAAACGAAACACCTAGTATTGCTAGGGCAGCCTCCCACAACAAAGAATCCTCTGGTCCTAAAGGTAAGTAGCACCAAGGTTGAGAAACCATAATCTAGACAGTAAACACTACGTAGCTATTCCAAGTGCTCAGGAAAACACATCAGTGCCCTCGAGGGGAAAAGTGTAAACATTTTAATTGCTGTACATGGTGACACAAATCCATGTTGTTAATCTAAGTGGAAGGGGCTGAAGCACAAAACGTAATTCAAAGAGTTTACTTGAGCCAAAATGAGGACAGCTGCCTGGAAGAAACAGACGCAAGTATCCTTGGATATGAACTCCCTTTGGAGCTTTGCAACAAGCAGTTTCTTAAAGGCAAAAACGAGTCCAGAAGTGGGATGATGCAAAGAGGTTTGTCAGAAATTCTCATTGGCTTATGGAAATAACATTTATTAGTGACTGGCTATACACTGTTACACTATTATTGGGTGTGGATTATAGTGTCTGGTGTGGCATTATTGGTTAATTTATAGCTACTGTGGCAACAGCAAGCAGCCTAGATGAACACACAGCTCAAAGAGGAGCAGGACAGAACTGCTGTCTCATTTGAATATCTCTCTGGGCCTGATTATTTAAAAGGACTTGCATTTCTCACATGAAAGTTATTTTCTTTTCTCAATGTCCATAAATGAGAATAAATAGATGTAAAATAGATCTTTTCGAGGATGAAGTAAATGGAATGAAAAACAAAACCCAAGCTGACCAGAAATCATAGAGGGAAAGAAAAGGTTATAAATATATGGATTTTTCAAAGTGCTTTTAAGCTATCAGGAATCAGTTAAATGTTAGGGGATTTTGTCTGAGAATGGGCTAAAGGAGAATGTCCCTTTTGCCTTCTGAAGTTTCCCTGAAAATCACTAATAGGAGGCAGATAAATAGTAGAAAAGGCATACAGGTTTCTGCAATGTGTGTACACTGGAGCCCTTAGAACAAAGATCCAGACACACGATGCGTGCAGAAGCTTATCTACCACATGAAGTTTACAGAAAGAATGGGGTCTTGGTTCACAGGGGGAAAAAAAAAGGTTATGAGAGAAAACGACCCTGGCTAGCAACAGTGGACTTATTACATAGGTGGAACCTCACTGGGAGCAGTCCTCAGAGAGAATAGACAGAAAATGTTTCTTTCAGACCTTTGGAGACCTCAGACTCTCAGTTAACCTTTCCTATATCCAGACAAGGGAGCAGACCTCAGAGAAAGCCTTGCTGCATCAAGGCAGATTCTCTACCGATGCAAATCTCCCCAAGAAAGATTTGCAGCTAAGTTTGCGTTTCCAGCCCTTCTCAATAGCCATTTTGAAATATATGAAGGAAATATATTTAGGGGTAAAATATATTAGTTTCCTTCATACAGCTATAAAACATACAGGAATAATTTTTGTCAATCTCTACTACAAATCCAATATAGCAGTAATTATAAAACCCAACAGATATTGAAGAAAAAACATGTAGAGTACATCAATTACAAATGTTGATACTAAAATGCCAAATAAAATAAAAATAATATCTAACAATGTTTGAAACAGTAAGACAAGAAATTGGCAAAAAAAATAAAACAAATATCCACCTTGGGGATGGAAGTGTGTTTCCAAATTTGGTAATCCAATAATATTAATAATCATATTGATTAGCCCAAATTAAAAATAAATAGGGGATTCTCAGTACATGCTAAAATATATTTGTTAAAAGGCAATATTCATGTCTTTAAAGATTTTAAATGCTATAAAGAGTCTGATATTCTATATGCAAACATGTGTATGTCCATTAGAAGAAGAGAGGCCTGATTTTCATATGTTACTACATAGAGATAGAGAAGTGGGTAGATTAATTTGCATATGCATAGAGAAAGCATAAAATAGAAATTTACTATCATATTAAAGGAACTTTAATTCAACAATAAAATAATTCAAAGGTAAAATTTTAAATATTTTTAACAGGTACATTATTAATATTAGATAATATTTATAATAATTGTGAAAATATTCAATGCTAAAATAAGATAGAATGTCTAAACATCAGCACTAAAACTAGTATAAATATTTGCTTGTTTATACAAGGAAAATTCAAGCTCGACCTAAAATTATATAAGAAATAAAAGAAAAATTTTAAGGGAGATCTTTAATAACATAAACATATATATACACACACACACACACATATAACATGTATATATGTTATATGGGATATAGATTTAACATGTTATATCTATATTTGTATCTATAACTACAGCTGTACGTATCTACATTTCTATATATTTACTCAGTGATATAAATATAGACTGGAATAAATATAGAGACACATATGATTCTTGGATAAAAAGGATTTAGGATCATAAAGACAAATTCTTTCCAAATTCACTTATGAATTCACAACAATATACAGTTTCATTAGTATAATTTAAAATTTTTAAATAAATTCCAAGATTCATTTAAAGGAATATAAATGTATACAAGCAGTCAAGAAAGAAGCAACAGTGCACTAAACTAACTTGCTATTAAAATACATTTTTAAACTTAGTAACTGAAACTGAGTAGTACTGATTTGGAGTACTGGAATTTAGGTATATGGAATCTCAAAAGCACAGAGCTCAAAGCAGACCCCTGTATGCACGAGAGCTTAGGATGTGCTTTAGAAGGCATTACCAAACCACGGGCAAAGTTACTTCAGTGTCTTAGTCTTACTAGGTTTGAAAAGCCAGAGAAAAGACTCAAGGCCACCATATAAGAGCAAAACAAAAGGACAGGGAAAGAACGTGAAGATACTGAAACATTTTACATAAAGTTGTATAAAACACCCTTTAAAGAAAATATAAAGTTTAGGATATACATCAAAATCAGCAGAGCCACTAAATAAATAAATAGGCATTGTAAAATAGCAAGAGAAAATTTAAATGGATTTCTAAAAAATATTGACACCTATGATTTTTAAAATATGTTTAAGAAATCCCGTATTTCACAGGGCAGCCTTTCACAACACAGATATGTTAGGACATAAAGGTCCTTCTGTTTTTAATTTATTAGTGTTTATAGGGTTACAAATGTCTTCTACCCTTGTCTTTTGTCTGATGGTGCAAAAAATTTTCATAAGCATGTATTTCTGAATGCCTGATGGATTGACATATAAAATATGCTGCTAGTATTAAAATATGTGACGGAAAACGCATCCAATCTTCTCACTGTTTACATAAATTCTAGGTTTCTATTTACCTCAAGCACGTATGGAGCGAATTCTTACCTTTTAATATTGCCATGGCATTCACATTGAACATAAGTTGAACTCTCTCATATGGTAGCTGGGTTCAGATTCTCTTGACAATTTCCAGTTCTAACCCTCACAGTTCCTCAGTGTGGCTGGCCCAGATATTGACCCTACACAGTTGCCTCCTCCTGGTGACTACCAGCTATGGAACCGTTGGATACAACCTACCTGACTCACCCCACAGACCTCACAGTGCACATGGACAGCCCCCACACGCCAGAGTGACCTGCTCGGTTGCAGCGGGAGTCAAGAAATGTGCCTGCTGGCACTCACCCCACCGACTAGTGCCCCGTGGAAAACTTATTTGGGTAATGTTCTGGGCCCAATAAAGGCTGGAGTCCCACAGACCCCTTTTCTCTCTCCTGCTCCCCACTCATCTTCCCCATTTTGTTCAGCCCTATGAGGTGTGCTACTGTATTAGTCCGTTTTCACACCGCCGGTAAAGACATGCCCAAGACTGGGTAATTTCCAGAAGAAAGAGGTTTAATAGATGCACAGTTCCACATGGCTGGGTAGGCCTCACAATCATGGTGCAAGGTGAAAGGCACGTCTCACATGGCAGCAGACAAGAGAGCTTGTGCAGGGAAACTCCCCTTTATAAAACCATCAGATATTGTGAGACTTATTCACTATCAGAAGAACAGCATGGGAAAGACCTGCCCCCATGATTCAATTACCTCCCACCTGTTCCCTCCCACAACATGTGGGAATTCAAAATGAGATTTGGCTGGGGACACAGCTAAACCCTCTTCTCAGCTACCCTCTTCTCTCTGGATCTGTGAGTAATAAACTTACTTCTGTGATTTCCCATGTTTGGTTCTGTGGCCTCCATGGGTCTGAGCTGATCTACACTGGAACCTAACTCTCCTCCTGGCCAGGGTCTCTGAGAGTGGCTCTTGTCAGAAATACACAGGACACAGGTCAGGCAACATTCACCAGGCGTCTCCTAGTCTCAACAGATGTTCTGTGAGAGGGAGGCCTGGTCGTGGGATGCACACCTGGCCACTGCTGGGGTAAGGAAGTGTACTGTGAAAGGCACATGTTAAGCATCCACAACCCCCTGACCAGAACCCCAGAAAGGCAGGGCTCCAATTGACAGTCACTCTCCAGAGACAAACCTCAAGCCCTAACTGGAGGAAAAGAAAACAATGTAAAAAGTTGAATTTATCTTACTATTTCAATGATCCAGTAAAGACATTCTATGCCTGTACACCACATATTTTCTTCGACTGTGGATTTATTTTAGATAGAATTTTATGTCTGGCTTTTGCTTTAGCCTGGTCCCTACCTCAAGCATAAGGTAAAGATTTTCCATGGGTTCTTTTCTGGTACTACTACCTGCCAGGGTGGGGTCATGTCCTAGTCTATCTTGAGGGAATCCCCCTGTTCATTATTGTCAGAGTGAGAATGTTAAGTCTTGATTTCCCTGGACAACTTCACTGCATGACTTTTAATATGATTTTTTAATACACCCTTTACTGGACAATAAATTATATAGTTATCTGAGTAAGAGATATGGTCTGGAAAAGGCATTGCCTCATTCAGCTTTTCTCTTTGGTGAACTCGCATATGTTCTCCTCACCCGCCAGTCACCTCTAAATCGTATTGTTCCAAGACAACAAACAGAACTCGAGTCTGTATCTTTCACCACTGGATTTGTGTTTGCTCCATAAATCTTCATGCTTAATAGGGTTTCTGTTAGCATTTTCTCTATTTATTTTCCCATAAAATATCACAGGCCTTCTTCATATGGAATTATGGGTGATTTCCTTCAATCTGCATCATATCAAGTTGAGGTTCATGTTGATGAAAAGTAAAACATACGTTGAAAATATCAGTAATGATGTTTTCCCCTCCTTTTTAGCATCTGTGCTTGTGATACAAGCACATTTTAATACAATTGTAGTCTCATGCTTTGATCATTCCTATGATGAAAATAACATTTTTAGATAAAATATCTGAGTTTTATGAGGCCTTTAGTATGTGATGTGATAGAATATCAGAAGACCATACTTTTCTCTAGTTTTCCATGCAATTCTACCATTGTTTCATCTTTACTCCTACGAGAGTAATTTTCCAAAATAGATATCTTGTCACTCTTCCTGTTGTTATCAGTAAATAAGTGAAATGAAAAGTTAGATTATATAATTTATGTAGAAAAAGAAAGTAGAATTGAATCTATATTCATTAATGAGACTAACCAGTCAATTTCACAGATAGGCATTTTACATTTTGAAGATCATATGGACCCATTGTCAGAAATATTATTATTTATGTCTATATGGACATCACCTGTGCATATTTACATAGAAATCAATGAGAGCTGATTTTAATTTTTATTATATGTATTTTTTGAGATAGGGTCTTGCTTTGTTGCCCAGGCTGGAGTGCAGTGGTGCAATCACTGCTCACTGCAGCCTCAGCCTCCCAAGCTCAAGCGATCCTTCCACCTTGGCCTCCCAAATAGCTAGGACAACAGGTGCACATCACCATGCCTACTTTTTTTTTTAAACTTTTGGTAGAGACTGGGTCTTGCTATGTTGCCCAGGTTGCTTTTGAACTCCTGGGCTCAAGGAATCCTCTCATTTCAGCCTCTTCAACTGCTGGTATTACAAGCATGAACCACCATATGGGCTGGAAGCTGATTTTTAAAATACTGAGATAATATAGATGACAGCACCTGAAAAATAGACAACACCAATCTTTATGTTAAAAGGTGTGAGGGTATCAATATTGTTGTGGCTATTGGGGAGGAAAACATTAGTAAAACCAGTAAGTTAAAGCTCTTGCTTTAAACTTTGGCTTTAATTTAACAAATGTTCTACGGAGTGACAGTATGTATGTAACCATGCTATGCCCATTCACAGATGCAGTAGAGGGAAGAATTTCTCAAAGACAACTGTTCTAAGACTCAAATTAAACCGTACTGGGTTTGAAAAGAGAAAGTCCAGGAACTACCAAATATTTTAGATATCAGATACAAGAGAATGCCAGGTATGCGATGATAATCAGCAATGGTTGTTCACACAATACATCAAATCAGTATTTGAATTAGCTTTTGAATTACAAGGACAAATGGATCAACTCTAGACTCTTTAGTAGATAAATCTTATTAGGCTGAGATATGTTTTCCCCTGGTTTTCCACAAGGAGATTACAAATTTGCAAACCTCAGCTGCTCTCATTTTATGCTCTCACCAAGCCAAAAGCTGAAGTTCATCAATCAGTGTGTCTAAGTGTTCACTGGTTATATACCATTTTGTAGTTTCAGCTCTCTTTCCAGCTTCCTAAATCATCACCTTCATTTGATCTTGTTTTTTTACACTATCACTTCTTTATTGACCATATAAAGAATATAAGTAAGTTCTTATTTTGTTATTGTTCATTCTAGTCTAATTTCATCAAAATATCACAATGTTTTAATTTCATTTTAATTTCAAATATTAAATGAAACCTACATAGAAATGTGTGTAAGATTTGCATTTGCATTACTTTGGCATCAATTTGCTATCCTCCCTCATGCACATAGAGATCATTTCCATGTACGTGATTTCAAACATCCAAGTGCAGTATTAAAAGCAGTTGTAAATTATGGTTCTCATTTTCATGATACAATTACAATATAAACTTCCTCTTACTGCTGTAACCAATTACCACAAACTTCATATCTTACAATAAAGTGACCGTTAATCCTACAGTTCTGTAGTTCAGAAGCCTTAAATGAAACTCACAGGGCTAACATCAAGTTTTGGGCTGGGCTGCAGTCTTTCTGAGGGCTATGTGGCAGAATCTATTACTTGATTTTTTTCAGCATCCAGAGGCCACCTTTATTCTTTGGAACATGACCTCATTCTTATATCCTATTTTTCTTATTTTTTTTTTTTTGATATGGAGTCTCCTTCTGTCACCCAGGCTGGAGTGCAGTGGCACGATCTCAGCTCACTGCAACCTCTGCCTCCCGGGTTCAAGTGATTCATCTGCCTCAGTTTCCTGAGTAGCTTGGACTACAGGCACTTGCCACCATGCCCAGTTAATTTTTTGTATTTTTAGTAGGGATGGGGTTTCACCATGTTAGCCAGGATGGTCTCGATCTCCTGACCTCGTGATAAACCCACCCCAGCCTCCCAAAGTGCTGGGATTAGGCGTGAGCCATCGCGCTGGGTCCTCATTCTTGTATCTTAAAAGTCAGTGATGTTGAGTAATTTCTCATGCCACCACCTCCAAGGTTGCCTTTCTTCTGCCTTCTTCTTTCCCTTATAAGGAAGTTTGTCATTTCATTGATCCCACCCATTTAAGACAATCTCTCTATCATTTTTCCGCAACCTTAATTTCACTTGAAATCTAATTTCACACTGCCGTGCAACCTAACATATTTGTATGTTAGACTCTGGGAATTAGGACATGAAAATTTTGGGGAGGCCATTCTTTTGCCTACAGCAGACATAATCTATTTACCTGCAGATTAAAGCATTCTTTATTTTTCTGTCTCCCTCTCTTAATTTTTCTTGAAATAATATGAATTGTAGTAAAGAGAAAGAAAGAAAAGAAAACAAAGAAAGAAAAAGAAGGAAGGAAAGAAGGAAGGAAGGAAGGAAAGAAGAAAGAAAAGAAGGAGGAAATGAGGGAAGGAAGGGAGGGAGGGAGGGAGGAAGGGAGAAAGGCAGGAAGGGAGAAAAAAGAAAGCATGAACACAAGAAAGAAGGAAAGAAAGAATGAAAGAAAGAGAAAGAAGAGAGAAACAGAGAAAGAAAGAAAGGAGGAAGGGAGGAAGGAAAGGAGGAAGAGAGAATGGTAAAAGGGAGGAAGGCAAAGAAACAAAGAAAATAAAGAAGCGAAGGAAGGAAGGAAAAAGAGGAAAGGAAGGGAGGGAGGAAGGAAGAAAAGGAGGGCAGGAGGAAGGGAGAAAAAAGGATAGAAAGCAAGAACGTGAGAAAGAAAGAATACGAGAAAAGAAGGAAGAAAAGGGAGGGAGAAAGAAGGGAGGGAGGAGGGAAGGAAGAATAAGGGGAAAGAAAGAAAGAAGGAAAGAAGGAAGGAAGGAGAAAAAAGAAAGAATAGAAAGAAAGGAAAGAAAAAAGAAAAGGAAGAGGAAAAGAAGAAAGGAAGGAAGAAGGCAAGGGAAGGGAAGAGAAGAGAAGAGAAAGGAAGATGGAAAGAAGGAAGGAATAACGCAAATATTAGAAATTCTGGGTTTGTTAGAGAATATGCCATACTGTTTTTTTTTTTCACTTGAAAGGAAAGAGTATCTGCCATTGAAGATCGGATGTCTTGTTGGTGATATTGCTTTTCTTATCTTCCACATGATTACTGAGTTTGTGCCTAGTCTTTCCATTACTAAGACAAAAGTGTTGAAGCCTGCAAATATAATTTTGGATTTTTCTAGTTCACCTTTGATTTCCTTCATGTTTTACCTCATGTATTTGGAGGTTCTGTTGTTAGCTGCATATCCTAATTAGTAGGATGTTTACATATTCTTGAGAATTGATTATTCTATTATCTATCATCTCTCATCTCTGATACTATTTCTTGTTCCGAACTCTGTTGTGTCTAATATCAATGTAGTCCTTCCACAGCCTTATTTTACTGTTTCCATGATATGGCTTTCTCCATATCTTGATGATAACCTATTTATATCTCTATATATTTGGAGCAAGATATAAAATTTAGACTTGGTTTTTTAAAGATTTTTCAAGATGGAATTGTTATTTCTTTTTGTTCTATTTGACATTCTCTGAGTTTCCTATATTTGAAGTTTGATTTTCTGTCACTTATTTTAGAATATTTTTGGCAGTTATTTTGAAAAATATTTCTTTTGCTCCATTATATTTCCCTCTTTTCTTTTTGGGATTTCAATCATAACTAGAGTAGGTAATTTCATCTCAGTCTTATGCAGGTACTTTTTCTCAGGGTCTCAGGAATGTAGCCTTCTCACACTTCTGTTCTTCTCCTGGCTGTGTTGGTGAGCTCAGTGATATTCCTCCTTCACCTTCAAGAGCAGTTTTGTTTTGTTTTTCCTGTTTTCATACTTCCAGCATCAGGAGTATTCTAAGTGTGGCAGTTTTTGTTGCCTTCCCCTACATATTAAGTGGAATATCTTGGTCTATTTGGACTCTTATAACAAAATAACATAAACCGCGTGACTAAAAAACAACAGATATTTCTTTTTTCACACTTCTTGAGGCTGTAAGATCTCAGGTCAAGATGCTCACAAATTCAGTGTTGATGAGAGCCCATTTCATGATTCATAGATGGTGCGTTCTTTCTATGTCCTCACATAGTGGAAGGCACACAAGAACTCCATTGAGCTTCTTTTATAAAGGCACTAATCCCATTCATAAGGGCTCGGCCCCCAAGACCTGGTCACCTCCCAAGTGTTCTGCTCTCCCTGATCTGTGTCATATACAGACTCTCTTAGATTCCTTACCAATTGCTTGAGAGATCGCAGTGGGTTTGTGGGGAAAAAGTTTTCAAGATGATGGATCTTTCCCAACTTCTGCAGCTGTCAGCAGTCTCCCAATCTCACAAGCCCCACTTTGTCTTTAGAAATTTATTGATTATTCCAGCTTTACTTGTCATAGTGGCGTCTATTTGCATCTGTCCTATGTAAGTGCATCTGTCTTCTTTCTCCTTGCAGGTGCTTGTTTTCCCTCACATTTTGACTCAGTTCTTGGCATCGTCGTTGCTATAAAAATAAAATCATGACTTTGAAGTTAGTTTGGTTCTTTCATTGTTGTCAGGTTAGGAACCCTATTCTATCCCAGATCTCCAAAACCCAGACTTTTTGGGGGGTTGAAATTTTAGGCTTTCTCTTTGAATTGTAGTTTTATCTTCTTTCAGTTACCATTTGCATTTTCATAATGATTAATGAGACTAAGGTTTTTTTGCATAGTTGACTGTACCTTTGGATTTTTTTCCCAAATACCTTTTTATTTCTTCTTTTCTTTATGGTTTTAGAAAATGTAGTTTATGTAATTGCAGCTTGATTTTTTACTCAGTTAATGGCATGCTTAATGGAGAGAAAAAATATTAAATATATTTCCCTTTTTAATTACTGTGCTTTTTTCTTTTTTAAGGAAATGTTTCATTATGTTCAATTTCAGTGTTATTCTACTTAGCTATTCCTTAAATATTATAGTATTTTGGATTTCACATGTACATTTATAACATATCTTGAGTTTATTATGTATAGAGTAAGACTATTTTCTCTTTTTTGTTTTTTAAGGTAAAAATCACATAATATAAAATTAATAACAGCCATTTTAAAGCATACAGTGCACTTGCTTTTAGTATATTCACAATGTTCCAGGGCAATTTCATCATGTCCCTTGCAAAAACCCATTATGCATAAAGTTGTTACACCCTATTCTTCTTCCCTGAGCCCTAATGACCACTAATCTGATTTATATCCCAATTGATTTGCCAGTTCCTGATGTTTCATGTGAATAAAATCAAGTAATATTTGTCCTTTTGTGCACTTAACATAATGCTTTCAAATTTCACCAATATTATACCATATATAGGTACTTCATTCTTTGTTATAGCTGAAAAGTGGGTGTCCATTTATGAGTCAACAAGCATATGGATTGTTTACACTTTTTGACTGTATGAATATTACTGCTGTAAATATTCATGCACGTTTATTTTTTGAGCACCTATGTTTTGTAAGATTAACAGCTGACTTAAGAGAAACAATGGAAGGCAAGAGGCAGTAGAATAATATATTCAAAAGATGCAAAGAAAAAAAAACTCTCAGTCACAAATTCCTTATCCAGCAATTATTTTTCATAAATGAAGATAACACAAAGACTTACCCAGATAAACAGAAATACTAACTGAAGTTGTTGCTGGCAGACCTACCATATAAAAAAAAACTCTAAAACAAATTCCTAAGGCTAAAAGGAAGTTACAGAAGACAGTCACTTGAATCCACATTTTTAAGAAAGCACTGGTATAGGTAATATTGACATTATAAAAGGCAGTAAAAATGCATTTTTTCTCTTTATCATAAATTGTTTATTAAATAACATGTGTATAATGGCCGGGCACGATGGCTCACACCTGTAATCTCAGCACTTTGGGAGGCCAAGGCAGGCATATTACGAGGCCAGGAGATCGAGACCATCCTGGCTAACACAGTGAATCCCCGTTTCTACTAAAAATACAAAAAATGAGCCGGGCATGATGGCGGGTGCCTGTAGTCCCAGCTACTCGGGAGGCTGAAGCAGAAAAATGGCATGAAGCCGGGAGATGGAGCTTGCAGTGAGCGGAGATTGTGCCACTGCACTCCAGCCAAGGTGACAGAGGGAGAGTCCATCTCAATGATAATAATAATATGTGCATAATGTATTGCTGAGTATTTGACATGTAGAAATGTAATACGTCTATAACATATTTTCCAGTAACATCAAAAAGGAGGTAGTTGGAAGAAAAATGTATTGTGATAAGGTAATAACTCTAGATGGTAAAGTAATAATTACTAAAATGTATTGTTGGCTTTGTAACTTTAATAGATGTAATGTGTAAAGTGATAATACTTTAAAATGGAGGAAATAAGAGAGATTTATATAAGAATGATGTTTCTATGTATTACTAAAAGTTTACTAGTATAAATTAGAAGATGATTTGAATAATTAATTTTCCACATACCTATATGGTAAACTTACAACAACAAAAATTCTCAAAAATATATAATAAAATAATTCATTAGTAATCTAAAGTTCCCTATTTTAGAAAATATTCTTTCATTGCAAAATAAAGCAATAAAGAAAAATATTTGAGAAATATATAAAACAAATGGTAAAATGGCAGACATAAATAGAATTATACCAATTATAATCTTAAATGTGAGCAGATTAAAATCCATTCCAGAGGCAGAGATTGTCAGACTGGATTAAAACAAGTGATCCCAATATACGCTGAGATGCAAGGATACTAATGGATTGAAAGTAAAAAGATGACAAAAAATATCATGCAAAGAGCAATCATAAGGACACTGAACTCATTATACTCATAACACACAATATCGACTATTAAAAATGTGAATAGGATTTTAAAAATTTATATTGTAGTAAAAAGGGGGTCAACGCTTTAGGAAGACATAGCTATTACAATCATGTATGCACAGATATGAGCTAAATTGTTTCCTCTATATAGATGCTGAAATTCTAACCACTGAATATGACCTCATTAGGAAATAGGTTCTTTGCAGCTGATCAAGTTAAGATACAATCAGATGAGCCTGAATTCAATATGACTGATGTCCTTATTAAAAGAAGAAATTTGAGTAGAGGGAGACATACACACAGGGAGAGTACCATGTGATTATGAGGGCAGAGATTAGCCAAGGAATGCCAAAGACTGCCACTAAACCACCAGAAGCGAGAAACAAGGCAGAGAACAGGCTTTCTCTCATAGCCCTTGAAGGGACCATCCCTGCTGACACCTCAATCTCAGACTTTTAGCTTCCAGGACTATAAGACTATAAATGTATGTAGTTCAAGGCACCCAGTTTGTGTTACTTGGTTATGGCAGCCCTAGAAAACTAATGCATGAACTAATGACAAAGCATAATAACATGAAGCAAAAATTCACAAAAGAGGAGCATCAGCAAAATGGCAGTGGAGACAGCTGCAATCTTTCATTTCCCCACAGAAACATCACACATCTAAGAGAAACTGTCCGAAAAAAGTTTGCCAAAACTCTGGAAAATGGTCAAAAGATTACAACAACCAAGTGAAAGCAGACTCAAGAAAAAGACAACTTGAAAACTTTATGACATTTTTAACCTGCCTTTGCCCCAGCAAATTGGCAGTTTTGAAGTGTCAGAGGCCCACGTTCCCAGTGAGGAAGCCTCGTCCATGGTCCAAAGGAACAGGAGAAGATCTTACCCGCAAATTATTCTGTGTCTGTTCTGACTAGTCTGGGGGATACCTAAAGGACTCATGAAAGGCTTCTTTTTTCTGTGTTGCTAGAATACAGAACAGATAAGGAATGGACATTATTAAGAAACTCTGCAAGGAGACCTAACAAACCACAGATGCTTAGGGCAAAAATTAAAGTTTACACATATAGTAGATCACCCTCAGCACAGCAAGAAAAGTTGGAGAAGAGTATTTCAAAAAGTAAGACATACAAAATCATTCACGTACGTGGGACGGTCTAGAAAGTCACATGTATTCATAGGTTAAGCCACATGCTGACAAATGTCATAAGAAGACCCTACACTTTTACCTTGGCTGATCCCTTCCCTCAGTGCAAGCTCTGTGCAAGAGTCAACTTGAACTTCACTCAGTGCAAGAGTGAACACACACTTTGTCCCGGCTTTAAAGAACCCAGCACAAAGCCAGTCTGCATGGCCTAGAGACATATTTTGCTGGACAATGATTACTTTTTTTTCTTTTTGTTTTTCTTGTATTTGCCTGTTTGATTGGTTCCTGACATACAAGAAAATCACTGTCAAAATATTAGCTTAACATTTGTTAAGGAAACAAAAAGACTTCGGTGACCACACCTTATAAAGCAAACAGTTTTGTAAATCACTTTGGAAAATTTCACTCAAAAAAAAAAAATCCTTAACAATATAATAAATAAAGAAAATTTAAAACCACAAAACATTACTGTGTTTGTAGGGGGGGTCTGATTTACCAAGTAACCACATAGTAATTATAATTATTAGAATGTCCAGTTTTCAAAAAACGTTACAAGGCATACAAAGAATGGGAAAGTGTGGCTCATTCAAAGGAACAAAACAAATTGACAGAAAATATCCCTAAGGAAACCCAGACATCAAACTTACTAGACAAAGACTTTAAAACAACTCTCTTCATTATACTTAAATGTCAAAAGGAAAACATAAACAAAGAAATAAAGGAATCAGAAAAAATATTAAAAAGTAGGAATATCAGCAAAGAGATAACAGAAATTCTGGAGTGGAAAACTATAATGATAAAAATTTAAAAATCACCAGAGGGATTTAAGAGTATATTTGCACACACAGAAGAAGCCATGAACTTGAAGAGAAGAAAATGGAAAATACTGACTCTGAGAAACAGAAAGAATAAAAAATAAACAAGGAGCAGAGACTAATGAATCTGTGGGACATCATCAAATAGACCAAAATTCATATTCTAGAAGGATAAATTATGTTGTTAAAAAGTTTACCATTCTTTCTTTTCACCTTTCTTCCTTCCTCCTTCCCCCTCCTCCTCTTTTACTTTTCTTCCTCTTCCTTTCTCTTCTTTCTCTCCTTCATTATCCCTTCCACTGTTTCTCTTTCTCTCTTTCTCTTTTTTCTTTTCTTTCAATTTTCTCAATTACTAAGAGATGTTTAAGTACCCTTACCATATTAGTAGATACGGTTATTTCTCACTTTAGTTCTATTTTGAGATTTATAGTCACTCTAAGTAAAGAGATAACCCAAACATAAGCGTCACAAACAGGCTTTCATACCATTCTTAATTTGGTCCTGTCATTCTTCATTGCTGTATTAACTTTCTGATGCTTTTAAGGATGTTTTTATAACAAATTGTTTAGTTTTTTCCAATGGAATGTTTATTCTGAATTATCTAATTCATATTGTAAGTATAGAGGGAGTTTAATATAAAATTATTAAACTAATATTTGTGAAAGAATGTATTTGTGCATTTAACAAATATGTTAATCCTCAGACTGTTATTGGGCAGCTGCGCATACAGGAATAAAAATAACATAATTTTTATGTGTACAATATTTATGGAATACGTTACTGGACCAAATAAATAATTTAGTTAATAACATGACAAAGAACAGAAATTGTATACACTATAGAGCATAGTAATGGAATAATGAATGATTAAAGTTATTAATATTAGGTAGATAATGAAGGGTATCTTTGAGAGCAGAACTCAAGGAAGCAAGCAATTCGCCTTATGAGGAAAGAGTTACCTGTGGATAAAGGAGAAACTGAAAAATTTACAAGTCAAGACTTTTTGAGCAAAAACAAAAATATGACTATTAGTCACCAATTCAGTACAGTGAAAAAAAAGTTGAAGAGATATCTTGGAAGTAAACCATGTTGTGGAAGAGCATGTAGGGTTTTGATAATCATGGGATGATTCTGAAGTAATTTTAAATGCGATAGGAATATATGAGATAATTTCACCAGAGAATAACATGATAGTGTTTCCATTTCAAAGGGGTGTATCTGGTGCACTGTGTAGAATAAATAGGTTATGTGAGCAAATAAATGGGGACGCTACTCTAATCCAGAGAAAAAAGGTAGTGACTTAGGTGAGAATGCTGTCAGGATGAGTGGTAGTAGTGGTGAGAAGTCATTAGGCCATGGATGTATTTCATAGGACTGGACAAGAGAACTGCAGCTAAATTGGAGTGTAGGGAGTGAAATGGAGAACTCAAAGATGACTCTCAGCACTGGAAGGTGACAGCTGTCACTGAAGCATGCTGATGCCTCTTATTAAGAGAGTTAGTTGGGAATGGCAAGATCAAAACTTCTCACTTTCAAATTTATGAAAAATATTGTTTTCAGAACGAATGACTTTGGGATCAGAAAGCCACCATTCTAATTGATGGTTCCACAACTACACGGGCTCACACGCCCAAGAGCAAAAGTAAATCATCACAAAGGTGCTTCTTGATAATTCTAGAGAATGGAGAATTACTGTAACATCTTTCTGATTTTAGGAGAGGCAGCAGTTCCCTTTTTAGCCTAAACACTATTTTTTTAAAAGCTCAGCCAAGAGACTCCATTATAATTTTCAAATGTGTGTAACTTAAATTCTCATAAGAAATACCACTATGCTTAAATTAGTCAAAACATTTTCCCCATCTACAACTCTATCTTGTCATTGCAATCATTTTCACAAAAGTGACTGCAGCTCACAGACCCTAAAAGGAGAAAATCCAGGGTAGGTTATCTGATCTAGTTAGTTTCAAAGACAGGATCTAGAGATTATTTAATATGAAATAGGTCACCTGAAATGAAGTGTTTACTGAAAACAGCTTGGATCAGCCCAGTTTTCTACCACTGAACCATGCATTTGGTTTAAAAAACACAACAACTCTGGGGAATATCGGCTGCTTCCAACTGTGTTGAAGGTGTTAAAGAAAAGAACATAAAATTAAAAATGATCATCTGAGGCCTTTATATTCTCTGCTCAAGAGACTAGAGTCTTCCATTTTTAACGAAACACCCAAATATCTTAATAATTGGGCAAAATCTAAATATCAGAGATAATTTTATCTTGAAGATTGTTACATTATAATGGTGATTCACTACCTCGCCACGTCTCTGAGTCAAAAATTAGGTCTTTGTTTAGGAATCAGTGGTACTCTGCAACTTGGAAATGGGAAGATTTTAGAAGACTCAAACTTTGACTTTCTTGTGTGCAAAAAAAAAGACGTATTGACATACGACAAGTCTTTCCTTGCAAGGATACCTCTAATGCTCATACACCACCTCCCCTAACATTAATACAGCTTCCAGGTCACTAACCAGTGTCAGAGAGCAGCCCATGCAACTAGAAATTCAAAAGATGTCGAACATAGGGTCAAGCCTAGAATAATAAGTCTTAGCTAATTAAGTATGCTTTTTTCCCAAAATTCATATTAACAAAAACTTGGATATGTCAGAGAATGCATTCTAAGTTCACTCAACCTAGAAGGGAGAAACATAATTTTAAATTAAGAGCTGAAGCATTCTTGTCCTAACAGAAAGCAAGGAAAACGAAATATCACACCACAGGAGGATTTCACAAATTAGTGTCAACATCAAAACCTTAAAATACGCAAGGAGAATGCAGATTCACAATGAACTCTTGTACTTGTTTTGTTCAGAGAAGAGAGGGTTCTGAGAGAATGACAGTGAACTAACCCCAGCTGGTTTAGTTGGTGCTTTCAACTGCTGCTTCTGATCAACTCCTTTAGCTAGAATAAATTGATGAGGATTTTGGCATGTGGTATTAGAGATGGTTATTAATTTTTTCCTCTTATTTGCATTGTTCAATGTAGTAAATACTAGCTGTATATGGCTACTTCAATTCAAATTAATTACAATGAAATATACTTCAATATTGAATTTTTTAGTCACTCTTGGTTCATTATTGAATATCTTCAGCTAAGATTTCCCATCTAAATACACTAAGAGGTGGCTTAGTTAACTGGTCGTCCACAAATATTGAAGCTGTTGTTAACTCCTGATATATTCTCTGCAAAGAGAATATTCATGAGCCTCCTCCTGAAATCAGCAGCCTAGAGATAGTTTCATAAATTGGATACAAGTTGGAAATCTATATACTCTTTAAGTTTTTGAAATATTAGCTTCCCAGGGAAGAAAATCAAATTCATAAGATATGTTAGGACAATTTAACTCCAGATGTTCAAAACTGAAATGACATATTCTACAATATGTGATAAAACCACCCCCTAACAACTTAAAGCAAAACAGGGATTGACCTTAAAGACCTGCCTTTTCCTCATCCCCCAGCCAATCAGTTTTCAAATCTTGCATTTTATTTTGAAAGGTCCTTAACCCCCTGGTCTCTTGTTTCTAGACTTGACACATATTGAAGTTTGTTACGTCTCTCTACTGACTTTTCTTTCTTCAAACAGTATCTATGCCTGCCAAATGTGAACATACAAAAAACAAATCAGAATGTGCCATTCTGATTTAAACTGCTTATTAGTTAATACCCTCAAGATAACATCTGGGTTCTTAGCTGCAATGAGTCAAGCCTACTTACATCTTTTTTTTGTCTTTGGCTGCACATTTCCCATCACATCACACTCCAGCAATGCCAAGCTGTGCCAGCCTTCTATCCCATCTCCACTATTTTGTCCGCCGCCGCCGCGGCTTTCTACCCGCCGCGGCATTTTGCCCCCACCCCGCCTCGGCTTTTTGCCCGCCACGGCTTTTTGACCCCTCGCCGCTGCGAATTTTGCCGCCGCAGCTTTTTGCCCCCCGCCCCCCCCGCCGTGGCTTTTTCCCCCCTGCCGCGGCTTCTTACCCGCCACGGCTTTTTGCCCCCCGCCGCCGCGACTTTTTACCCGCCGCCACCAGTGGCTTTTTGCCCCACCGCCGCCGCGGCTTTTTGCTCCCACCCTGACTAGGCTTTTTGCCCGCTGCGGGTTTGTGCCCCCGTCGCCGCCGCGGCTTTCTGCCCGCCCCCCCCCAACCCCCCCGCGGCCGCGGCTTTTTGCCTCCGCGGCTTTTCAGCCGCCGCGGCTTTTCGCCCCCCGCCGCCGCGACTTTTTGCCCGCTCAGGCTTTTGCCCCCCCGCCGCGGCTTTTTGCCCCCCGCCGCCGCTTTCCCCGCCGTGGCTTTTTACACCCTGCCCCCGCAGCTTTTTGCCCCCACCCCGCCTTGGCTTTTTCCCCGCCACGGTTTTTTGGCCCGCCGCCGCCGCCGCCGCCGCCGCCGCGACTTTTTATCCCCAGCCGCCGCGGCTTTTTGCCCCCACCCCGCCGCGGCTTTCTGCCCAGCCCCCGTCGCCGCGGCTTTTTGCCCCCCGCCGTCGCGACTTTTTACCAGCCGCGGCTTTTTGACCCCGCCGCCCTGGCTTGCCGGCCGCGGCTTTTTGCCCGCTCCGGCTTTTTGCCGCCCCGGCTTTTTGCCCGCCGCGGCTTTGCAGTCGCGGATTTTGGCCCGCTCTGGGTTTTTGCCACCCCGCCGCCGCGGCTTTTTACCCCCACCCCGACTCAGCTTTTTACCCCCGTGGCTTTTTGCTCCCCGCCGCCGCGGCTTTTTGCCCGCCTCGTCTTTTTGCCTCCCCGCCGCCGCGGCTTTTTGCCCCCTCCGCCACCGCCGCTTTATCCCCGCCGTGGCTTTTTGCCTCCCATCGCCCCGGATTTTTGCCCGCCCCGGCTTTTTGTCCCCCCGCCACCGCGGGTTGTTCCCCGCCCCGGCTTTTTGCCCCCCCTGCCGCCGCGGGTTTTTGCCCGTCGCAGCTTTTTGACCCCCTGCCACTGCGGCTTTTTGCCCCCCCGCCGCGGCTTTTTGCCCCCGCCGCTAAGGCTTTTTGGCGTCGCGTCTTTTTCCCCCCGCCGCCGCGGCTTTTTGTGGTTTTTTGCCCCAGCTCCCGCTGATTTTGCCCCCACCACCGCGGCTTTTTGCGGCTGTTTGCGCCCGCCACGGTGGCTTTTTGCCGCCGCGGCTTTTTGGCTCCGCCGCCGCGGCTTTTTGCAGGTTTTTGCCCCCGCCGTTGCGGCTGTTTTCCCCCCGTCAGCGAGGCTTTTTGTTGCCGCGGCTTTTTGCCCAGGCGTTTGCTGCCTCCTTATTTAATCAGAGCCTTAATTTGAACGTCAGGTCATCAAATCTGGAAGGTGATAACACCAAAAGAGAACACTGGAGCTGAGGGAGGGAACAACTGGGGAAAACAAGAGGACTCTACCCAGGAAAAGAGCAAGAACACGCAGACCAACATCTCATCTGGAGGAAGTTCAGAAACACTGGAAAGCTCACACCCAGACTCAGAATCACAATATGGACCCAGGAAAAGTCGCAAAATCTCCCTTTATTCTATTGCCTTCAACCAATTTCACTATTGTCAGTTAAATATAACATTTTAACCCACCTGAAGGAGCTGAAAGAGATTCTCTGGAGGAGGGAACAGGTGATGAGACAAAGCCAAGCAGGAAAGAAAAACAAGGTATCACTGGAGGATCTGAAGTCTCTGGTGGACACAGAACAGACTTCAACTCTGATGTCCACTGCAAAAGTAAATGTCAAATGTAGCTGTGAGAAGATTCACGGACATTTCCACAATAATTGCCTGGCGAAGATAAAGTGTGGTCAAATACAGGCAGAAAATGGATAAAATGAAATAAGCCAGTATTAACTGTCAAACCCAACATGTCTGGTTATCAACAACGATTATTATATATATTAATGAGAAATGCCAAAGTCACAATAAAGAAATAATCAGAAAGGGATTTATAAAAGATACAGGTATTATAACTAATTAAATAAGATATATAATGTAACTATAATTCATATGTAAAAATCTCTTGAAGAAACTGTGGACATAATGCAGGACTAGATAGGGAACTGAGAGATGAAAATACTAAGAAGTAATCAAATGGAAATGCATGAGAAATCAAAAGCAATGCAGTATAAACATTGAGCAATCTTTGGGCACACCCCTCATTAGAGCTGGCTCAGCTTTTAAATGAAACCATGCACTTAAAATGTCACTAGAAATTTAACAAGTAAATTGCAAAGGAAAAGAGTGAAGAAACTAAACAATATCAAAAGTGTAGTAAATGTATACTTTAATTCTGAAAAGTAGAAATTATAGATACAGAGAAAGTATTTGAAAAAATAATGGTTAAGAATGTTCCCAATTTTGTGAAACACACTGAACTACAGATCCCAGAATCACAGAGAACCTCAAGCAGAGTAAACACAGACACAGACACACACCGCACATCCAACATGGACAGCGTGGTTAAAGAAAAAGCGCTCACATCACACACCACACACATTTCATCAACCTTATTCCTTTTGCTTAGTTGTTTTAAATTTATTGGCATTTATAGTATTAAGTAGAAGTCTGTAATTAAAATATATTATTCTATGCATAAGTCTGTCTATGCTTACCATGATCAAATACACAGCTTGGTGCAAATGAGTGTAACTATGTTGTTAGGAATTTCACTATTTCAAATAAAAATGGTGTTTTTTCCAGGCTCTGTGTTGAATCACTTGTAATGTATGGCAATACAATCCTTTTTAATTAAAGGATTTTTTAGGTAGGCAGATAATGATTGTTTGTGTTTATGGGGTACAGTGTGATATTTCAATACATCTCTGCCATGTGGTTTGACCAAATCAGAACAATGAGAAAATTCATCAGCTCAGACATTAACATTTATTTGTGTTGGTAGCATACAAAATGTTCTCTTTTGGCTACTTGTAAACGTACAATATATTGTTAGCTGTAGTCACCGTACTGCGCTGTAGAACACTAGAGCATATCCCTCCTGTCTACCTGTAATTGTGCATTTGTTAACAAGCCTCTTCTTGTCTCTCAGTCTCCTCCCATTTGGAGCATCTCATAACCACTACTCTACTATTTACTTCTAGAAAATCAACTTTCTTAAACTTCCACATTAAATTGAGAAAATGTGGTATTTATTTTTCTATGTCTGTCTGCTTTCATTCAACATAAGGGTGTCCAGTTCCAACCATGTTGCTTCAAATGGCAGAATTTCATTTTTAAGGCTGAATAATATTTCATTGTGTAAATTTACCTCATTTTATTTATCCGTTCATCTGTTCATGGACACATATGTTGATTTCATAGCTTAGCTATTGCAATTAGTGCTGCAGTAAACATGGGTGTACAGGTATCTCTTCAATTTTAGTTTTTTCTTTTAATTATTTAAATAGATAAATACTCAGCAGTTGGATTGCTGAATTATATGGCAGTTCTATTTTTTTCCCATGATGGCTATACTAATTTACATTTCCACCAGTGGTCAATAAGAGTGTCCCCTTCTATGCAGCCTTGCTAGCTTTTGTTTTCCTTATTTTGGCTTTCTGTTAACAGACTTTCCAGCAAAGATGAAGGATGAAAAGATATCTCATTGTGAATTTGCATGTTCCTGAATATTAGTGCTGTCTAGCAACATATGTGTGCATATATACTTATCATCTATCTATTGATCCTTTCCACGTCTTCTTTTGACAGATGTTCATTCATGTTATTTGCCCATTATTATTCACATTATTAATTGCAGTTCAGTTAATTTTATATGCTTTATAGTAATCCCTTGTCAAATGAACAGTTTTCAGATATTGTCTATCATCTGCAGGTTCTCTCCTCACTCAACTGTTTCCTTTACTGGGCAGGAGCTAAAATTCCTTGATAGAACCTGGACAGGTGGGCTGTGGAGCTGTGGGACATTGGAGAAGAGATGGTCTCCACTTGCTGTAAGCTCACACTCTGTTCTTCGCTTGCTCTCTGAACCATTTTATGAGGGTAGTGATGAGCCCTCACTAAATTTAATTTAATTTTCAGTAAATGGAAATTAAATGGAAATTGTATATCTTCTCAGCATGAATCCCATGGGCAGTCATGAATTATTCTTCTGGTTATAGTAATTGATTTTTCTTGGCATGTTCATTACTAGTAATATTCAAAGTCATTTCATTTAAATCTTTGATGCTTAATTTTTTTGTTTTTACTATGACATTCTTTCTTCTATTGAATCTTCCCTTTAGCATTATAACATGATCTAGTATCCAGGCTCAGCTGTCATTAATAATAACCACATATGTCAAAAGCTATGTCTTCTTTCCACAGCAGACATGATTTTCTCTTTTCTGGGGATGAACACACACTGCTGAGCTACCCCCACTCACAAGAACATATGCACAGTTATGATATTTTCATTTATTTGACTAATAAGTTATATTATTCTCCCTTCAAGTTCTTCACCCCTCAGAAGTCCTGGACAAACTCTTCTGCATCTGGTCAAACTATAAACTCAGAAACCAAACCACATGGTGAGTAAAAGCTCACTTGGTTCTGGATATTGGGTCCAGCTCTTCCCCACTTATGTCCCACAGCACCTCAGCCCACCTGTCCAGGTTCTATCAAGAAACCAAAACTCAGGGGCGGTTCCAAAATGGCCGAATAGGAACAACTCCAGTCTACAGCTCACAGTGTGAGCGACACAGAAGATGAATGATTTCTGCATTTCCAACTGAGGTACTGGGTTCATCTCACCGGGGACTTTCGGACAGTGGGTGCAGGACAGTGGGTGCAGCGCACTGAGCATGAGCCGAAGCAGGGCGAGGAATTGCCTCACCCGGGAAGTGCAAGGGGTCAGGGAATTCCCTTTCCTAGCCAAGGAAAGGGGTGACAGACAGCACCCGGAAAATCGGGTCACTCCCACACTAATACTGTGCTTTTCTGACGATCTTAGCAAATAGCACACCAGGAGATTATATCCTGTGCATATCTTGGAGGGTCCTACGCCCACAGAGCCTCACTCATTGCTAGCACAGCAGTCTGAGATCAAACTGCAAGGCAACAGCGAGGCTGGGGAAGGGGGGCCCACCATTGCCAAGGCTTCAGTAAATAAACAAAGCGGCCAGGAAGCTCGAACTGGGTGGAGCCCACCGCAGCTCAAGGAGGCCTGCCTGCCTCTGTAGACTCCACCTCTGGGGGCAGGGCATAGCCAAATAAAAGGCAGCAGAAACCTCTGCAGACTTAAATGTCCCTGTTTGACAGCTTTGAAGACAGTAGTGGTTCTCCCAGCATGCAGCCTGAGATCTGAGAATGGACAGACTGCCTCCTCAAGTGGGTCCCTGACCCCCAGGTAGCCTAACTGGGAGGCACTCCCCAGTAGGGGTAGACTGACATCTCACATGGCTGGGTACTCCTCTGAGACAAAACCTCCAGAGGAAGGATCAGGCAGCAACATTTGCTGTTCACCAGTATTCACTGTTCTGCAGCCTCCACTGCTGATACCCAGGCAAACAGGGTCTGGAGTGGACCTCAGGCAAACTCCAACAGACCTGCAACTGAAGGTCCTGACTGTTAGAAGGAAAACTAACAAACAGAAAGGACATCCACACCAAAACCCCATCTGTACGTCACCATCATCAAAGACCAAAGGTAGATAAAACCACAAAGATGGGGAAAAAACAGAGCAGAAAAACTGAAAATTCTAAAAATCAGAGTGCCTCTCCTTCTCCAAAGGAATGCAGCTCCTCACCAGCAATGGAACAAAGCTGGATGGAGAATGACTTTGATGAGTTGAGAGAAGAAGGCTTCAGACTATCAAACTTCTCCAAGCTAAAGGAGGAAGCTCAAACCCATGGCAAACAAGTTAAAAACCTTGAAAAAAGATTAGACGAATAACTAACTAGAATAACCAATGCAGAGAAGTCCTTAAAGGATCTGAAGGAGCTGAAAACCATGGCACAAGAACTACGTGATGAATGCACAAGCTTCAGAAGCCGATTCGATCAACTGGAAGAAAGGTTATCCGTGATGAAAGATCAAATGAATGAAATGAAGTGAGAAAAGAAGTTTAGAGAAAAAGGAATAAAAAGAACAAATCCTCCAAGAAATATGGGACTATGTGAAAAGACCAAATCTACGTCTGATTGGTGTACCTGAAAGTGACAGGGAGAATGGAACCAAGTTGCAAAACACTCTGCAGGATATTATCCAGGAGAACTTCCCCAATCTAGAAAGGCAGGCCAACATTCCAATTCAGGAAATACAGAGAATGTCACAAAGATAATCCTCGAGAACAGCAACTCCAAGACACATAATTGTCAGATTCCCCAAAGTTGAAATGAAGGAAAAAATGTTAAGGGAAGCCAGAGAGAAAGGTTGGGTTACCCACAAAGGGAAGCCCATCGGACTAACAGTGGATCTCTCATCAGAAACTCTACAAGCCAGAAGAGAGTGGGGGCCAATATTCAACATTCTTAAAGAAAAGAATTTTCAACCCAGAATTTCATATCCAGCCAAACTAAGCTTCCTAAGTGAGGGAGAAATACAATCCTTTACAGATAAGCAAATGATGAGAGATTTTGTCACCACCAGGCCTGCCCTAAAAGAGCTCCTGAAGGAAGCACTAAACATGGAAAGGAACAATCGGTAACAGCCACTGCAAAAACATGCCAAATTGTAAAGACCACCAAAGCTAGGAAGAAACTGCATCAACTAATGAGCCAAATAACCAGCTAACATCACAATTACAGGATCAAATTCACACATAACAACATTAACCTTAAATGAAAATGGGCTCAGTACACCAATTAAAGACACAGACTGGGAAATTGGATAAAGAGTCAAGACCCATCAGTGTGCTGTATTCAGGAAACCCATCTCACATGCAGAGACACACACAGGCTCAAAATAAAGGGATGGGGGAAGATCTACCAAGCAAATGGAAAACAAAAAAAGTTAGGGGTTGCAATCCTAGTCTCCGATAAAACAGACTTTAAACCAACAAAGATCAGAAGAGACAAAGAAGGCCATTACAGAATGGTAAAGGGATCAATTCAACAAGAAGAGTTAACTATCCTAAATATATATGCACCAAATACAGGAGCACCCAGATTCATAAAGCAAGTCCTTAGAGACCTACAAAGAGACTTAGACTCCCACACAATAATAGTGGGAGACTTTAACACCCCACTGTCAACATTAGACAGATCAACGAGACAGAAAGTTAACAAGGATATCCAGGAATTGAACTCAGCTCTGCACCAAGCAGACATAATAGACATCTACAGAACTCTCTATGCCAAATCAACAGAATATACATTCTTTCAGCACCACACCGCACTTACTCCAAAACTGACCACATAGTTGGAAGTAAAGCTCTCCTCAGCAAATGTAAAAGAACAGAAATTATAACAAACTGTCTCTCAGACCACAGTGAAATCAAACTAGAACTCAGGATTAAGAAACTCACTCAAAACCGTTCAACTACATGGAAACTGAACAAACTGCTCCTGAATGACTACTGGGTACATAATGAAATGAAGGTGGAAATAAAGATGTTCTTTGAAACCAACGAGAACAAAGATACAACATACCAGAATCTCTGGGACACATTTAAAGCAGTGTGTAGAGGGAAATTTATAGCACTAAATGCCCACAAGAGAAAGGGAAAGATCTAAAATTGACACCCTAACATCACAATTAAATGAACTAGAGAAGCAAGAGCAAACACATTCAAAAGCTAGCAGAAGGCAAGAAATAACTAAGATCAGATCAGAACTGAAGGAGATAGACACACAAAAAGCCCTTCAAAAAATCAATGAATCCAGGAGATGGTTTTTTGAAAAGATCAACAAAATCGATAGACCGCTAACCAGAGTAATAAAGAAGAAAAGAGAGAAGAATCAAATAGATGCAATAAAAAATGATAAAGGAGATATCACCACCGATCCCACAGAAATACAAACTACCATCACAGAATAGTATAAACACCTCTGCGCAAATAAACTAGAAAATCTAGAAGAAATGGATAAATTCCTCGTCACATACACCCTCCCAAGACTAAACCAGGAAGAAGCTGAGTCCTTGAATAGACCAATAACAGGCTCTGAAATTGAGGCAATAATTAATAGCCTACCAACTAAAAAATGTCCAGGACCAGACGGATTCACAGCCGAATTTTACCAGAGGTCCAAGGAGGAGCTGGTACCATTCCTCCTGAAACTATTCCAATCTATAGAAAAAGAGGGAATCCTCCCTAACTCATTTTATGAGGCCAGCATCATCCTGATACCAAAGCCTGGCAGAGACACAACAAAAAAAAAAAGAGAATTTTAGACGAATAACCCTGATGAACATAGATGCAAAAATCCTCAATAAAATACTGGCCAACTGAATCCAGCAGCACATCAAAAAGCTTATCCACCGTGATCAAGTGGGCTTCATCCCTGGGATGCAAGGCTGGTTCAACATACGCAAATCAATAAATGCAATCCAGCATATAAATAGAACCAATGACAAAAACCACATGATTATCTCAATAGATGACGAAAAGGCCTTTGACAAAATTCAACAACCCTTCATGCTAAAAACTCTCAATAAGTTAGGTATTGATGGGACGTATTTCAAAATAATAAGAGCTATCTATGACAAACCCACAGCCAATATCATACTGAATGGGCAAAAACTGGAAGCATTCCCTTTGAAAACTGGTACAAGACAGGGATGCCCTCTCTCATCACTCCTATTCAACATAGTGTTGGAAGTTTTGGCCAGGGCAATCAGGCAGGAGAAGGAAATAAAGGGTATTCAATGAAGAAAAGAGGAAGTCAAATTGTCCCTGTTTGCAGATGACATGATTGTATATCTAGAAAACCCCATTGTCTCAGCCCAAAATCTCCTTAAGCTGATAAGCAACTTCAGCAAAGTCTCACGATACAAAATCAATGTGCAGAAATCACAAGCATTCTTATACACCAATAACAGACAGAGAGCCAAATCATGAGTGAACTCCCATTCACAATTGCTTCAAAGAGAATAAAATACCTAGGAATCCAACTTACAAGGGAGGTGAAGGACCTATTCAAGGAGAACTACAAACCACTGCTCAATGAAACAAAAGAAGATGATATAAACAAATGGAAGAACATTCCATGCTCATGGGTAGGAAGAATCAATATCGTGAAAATGGCCATACTGCCCAAGGTAATTTATAGATTCAATGCCATCCCCATCAAGCTACCAATGACTTTCTTCACAGAATTGGAAAAAACTACTTTAAAGTTCATATGGAATCAAAAAGGACCCCGCATTGCCAAGTCAATCCTAAGCCAAAAGAACAAAACTGGAGCCATCACACTACCTGACTTCAAACTATACTACAAGGCTACAGCAACCAAAACAGTATGGTACTGGTACCTAAACAGAGATATAGACTAATGGAACAGAACAGAGCCCTCAGAAATATTGCCACATATCTACAACTATCTGATCTTTGACAAACCTGACCAAAACAAAATATGGGGAAAAGATTCCCTATTTAATAAACGGTGCTGGGAAAACTGGCTAGCCATATGTAGAAAGCTGAAACTGGATCCCTTCCTTACACCTTATAAAAAAATTAAATTAAGATGGATCAAAGACTTAAACGTTAGATCTAAAACCATAAAAACCCTAGAAGAAAACCTAGGCAATACCATTCAGGACATAGGCTTGGGCAAGGACTTCATGTCGAAAACACAAGAAGCAATGGCAACAAAAGCCAAAATTGACAAATGGGATCTAATTAAACTAAAGAGCTTCTGCACAGCAAAAGAAACTACCATCAGAGTGAACAGGCAACCTACAGAATGGGAGAAAATTTTTGCAATCTACTCATCTGACAAAGGGCTAATATCCAGAATCTACAAAGAACCCAAACAAATTTACAAGAAAAAAACAAACAACCCCATCAACAAGTGGGTGAAGGATATGAACAGACACTTCTCAAAAGAAAACATTTGTGCAGCCAAAAGACACATGAAAAAATGCTCATCTTCACTGGCCATCAGAGAAATGCAAATCAAAACCACGATGAGATACCATCTCACACCAGTTAGAATGACGATCATTAAAAAGTCAGGAAACAACAGGTGCTGGAGAGGATGTGGAGAAATAGGAATACTTTCACACTGTTGGTGGGACTGTAAACTAGTTCAACCATTGTGGAAGTCAGTGTGGCAATTCCTTAGGGATCTAGAACTAGAAATACCATTTGACCCAGCCATCTCATTACTGTGTATATACCCAAAGGATTTTAAATCTTGCTGCTATAAAGACACATGCACATGTATGTTTATTGTGGCACTATTCACTGTAGCAAAGACTTGGAACCAACCCAAATGTCCAACAATGATAGACTGGATTAAGAAAATGTAGCACATATACACCATGGAATACTATGCAGCCATAAAAAATGAATGAGTTCATGTCCTTTGTAGGGACATGGATGAAGCTGGGAACCATCATTCTCAGCAAACTATCACCAGAACAAAAAACCAAACACCGCATGTTCTCACTCATAGGTGGGAATTGAACAATGAGAACACATGGACACAGGAAGGGGAACATCACACACCAGGGCCTGTTGTGGGGTGAGGGGGTGTGGGGGGGAGGGATAGCATTAGGAGATATACCTAATGTAAATGATGAGTTAATGGGTGCAACACACCAACATGGCACATGTATGCATATGTAACAAACCTGCACGTTGTGTACATGTACCCTAAAACTTAAAGTATAATTAAAAAAAGAAAAAAGCAATCAGCACAATTGGAAGGCTACTCCAACAGAGAGAATTTGGACCTATTTAATTAATAGACTGGAATTCACTCAAAGACACTCTCCTATGGGATCTCAAACTTAAGCAGATCTCTGTAAGCTGAGGAAGTTTCCTCAACAGATATTTTTCTCTAGACATCCAAAAATGCAAAAACCCATTTTGGATATTTGTGCATGAGTGATCTGTAGAAGGCCTTGGCCTATTAATGAAAGTTCATGGATATATGATAACTTCATCATTTACTGTGCACTCACACTTCACTGGTTTCAAAAATTCCTCACCTGTGTGATGGGGCAATGCAGGAGAAGACACAATAGTGCCATCTTCCTCATGAACACAACTCAGCTTTGATACTGATTGTCATGCTTTATTGTTGGTGGAGAAGGGTCAGACATAAAACTTGTGAGGTTCTATCTGACATTGATCTGGCCCAGCCTCTGTCTTGGCTGAGGTTAGGATTCCTGAGACTGTTCTCCTCAGGGAACCCCACTAAGGTTCCTGTCCCGAATGTGACTGGAGAAGATTCACCAGGTTACCCTCAGCTTCCTCAGGGCTGTGATCCTAGTGACCACTGGCAGAGAGATTGCTCTACATTTAGGGCGTGTGAGAAGGTTTCCTCCTGGTACAACAAAACTGTGGTATTTTAGAGATGTAGAGCTAGACACAGCATCATGAAATAAGAGAGGGTCCCTGGAGGAAACATGAAGATGGTGAGGCAACCCCAGACCCTGGCAGTAAACCAACCTCTCATCTCTACCCCCACCTGCTCTGGGGGTGGCCCTGTGCTTCCTGCAACCTGCTCTTCCCTGGTGGTCTTGAGTCCCCCCTGTGGTCCTGAGTCTTCCTGGCGGTCCTGAGTGCCCTGCCAGCAAGGTTTGTGTCAGGGCTCACAAGGACACCTCCTCATTGAGTCTTTCACAGTAATACTCAGCTGTGTCCTGGGCAGCCGTGGAGCTGAGCTTCACAGAGAACTGGCTCTTGGTTGAGTCATTGTTGATGGGGACATGGACCTGGGTGGAGGGAGCATGATGTGTATTCCTTGGTGATCGACTCTAGTAACTGTGCCCCAGCCATTCCAGCCTGTTGCCCAGGGGATGGTGGATTCAGCTCAAATAGTATCCATGGTAAAAAAGAATCCAGACACAGCACAGGTGGAGGGCAGTGTCTGAGGGCCTCATGGGTCCTGGACCTGACTCCTGCACCTGCACATGGGACAGGACACCTGCAATAAGAGGGAACATCCTGGTGAGTCACACAGAGAGCTCACTTGTCCCCATCAACCCTTTTTTAAATTCTAGATGTTCACCCTGCAAAGCTGTCAGCAAAGGAAGAAATATAAGTAGTTGATCTTCTTGAGAGAAAGAATAATGCCTTTCATGGGGAATTTGTTCCTTGGCTGATGACAGAGCGATATCTGGGGAGGAGAGAGGCTGACAACACCCAGCATTGTTGCTGGGGTATAAACAGAGTTTGAGGAGAACTGTGCATGTGCCAGGAGCCCCGCACACGGCCGACCTCTGTCTTGGAACCTCTTCCCAGGGATGATTTTCCTGCTCAGGGGTCAGATGACACAAACTCATTCCTCCTCTGAAAGAGCAGCCCTCTGCTGAGTGTCAAGGCATCCATTCTTACCCCAAGGGCAGGAAGGCAGGTGACAGAAACAAGCAGGTTTGCTGGACAGAGAGGAAAGGAAAGGGGTAGGAACTGGGGAAAAACCTTGTGCCAAAGACCTATGGCCTAAAGTCCCCCTGCTTCTTTTGGGGTCCCACCTGGAGCTGGAGATTCTCCATTGTGAACTTTCCTGGCACAGGAAAGTTCTTGAGGGAAAATTGAGAGAAATGCTGAGTGAGTTCTCCTCTTTGCTGAGCACAGAATTCTCACCCTCTGTTGTACATGGTGTTTTCCCTGCCCGGTTGAGTCACCGCTCCTGGTCCCCTCCCTGCTACTCCCCAGGTTTTGCTTCTTTGCTCATATGCTCATCCTTTTCTAGATTTCTCTTCATGGAGCCCCCATTGTAGTCTTGAGTGACAACATCACCCTAGTTCACAACACCTTAGCAGGCCTGAGGACTCCTTTTGTACCACTGTGAACACACACACACACACACACACACACACACGCACACCAGTTTCCCACATCCCCTTTCAATTTCATACAGGAAAACTCATGGCTGTGTTGGGGAAATCATTTGCATGGGCCATAGGAGCCACAATGAGGCATCATCTGTCTCTGAGAATACAGAATCTCCATGTCCAGGGAGGTGAGAGACTGCAGGTGCACAGAAGCCGAAGGTTTCAGGATCTGGGAGAGGAATCACAGGAGACCAAGTACAGCAGGACTGGGCAAGAGGACCAAAGCTCTGATGGTAGACTTTGAATGAGAAGGACAAGGTGCAGCCTGATCTTATGGCCTTTGTCCTTTCTGTTGATGTGATGTGTCACATTGATTGATTTCCATATGTTGGACCATCCTTGAATCACTGGGATAAACTGAACTTGGTCATGATGCATGATTTTTTTAATGTGTTGTTGAATTGTGTTTGCTAAGTTTTCCTTGAGGATTTTTGCATCTGTATTCATCAGAGATATTGGCCTGTAGTGTTTTTTATGTTTTTATTTGGTTTTCATTTCAGGGTAATACTGGTCTCATAGAGCAGGTTTGAAAGTACTCCCTCCTTCTCTACCTACTTTTTAATATTTTGAGGAGGATAGATATTGTTTCTTCTTTAAATGTTTGTCACAATTGTGCAATGAAGCCATTGAGTCCTGGGTTTTTTTTCTTTCCTGGAAGACCTTTTATTAATGCTTCAATTTTGTGACTTGTTATTGCCCTGTTCAGGGGTTAGTTTCCTGCTGGGCAACACCAGAGCCAAAGGGGATCTTGGGTCTAGGCTTTGTGCAGCCAGTATTGTGGCCTTTACCCACTTGTGTGTTTGATGGAATGGAAACAGAGGCCCAGTGTGGAGACATGCAATGACTACTGCCCCAAAGAAGGGCACCCTCCAGAAGTGTCTCTGGTCTCAAAGTTGTGACAGGCTATAGCATTTTGGCTAATGGGATGGGTGGTGGGCAAGGAGTACAGATTTTGCTCCGAATCTTGTGCAGTACAGATGCATGAATTCCTTCCAGCTCTCCAAGTTGAGCTCAGGGTTTGCAAGCCCTGTGAATTTATTTTGTAGTAAGGATTGTTGATATGTGTGATTGCAGTAGGGCCTGATGTGCTTCTTCTACTTAACTTTCCTCACCAGGGATAATTCCATGTGAATCTCGAGTATGAAGCTGCAGACACAGGGTGCTTTCACACAGCACTACTGGGCTTCTAATAACCACAGGGACCTCTCCTCTCCCCTGCTATCCTCTACATCTCCCTTTCATCAGCCCAGTCTAGTCTTAGCTGTTTATTCAATTCTGTCATTCTGTCATATGGGATTGACAAATGTCAGGCACATCTATTCAGCTGTCATGCTGATTTTTTTTTTAACTTTTACTTACATATTTATAGCTAACATGGACACTAAAATTGGTAATTCAAATTTATAACAAAATAGATTGAATTATGATTACCTTAGCATCAATAGTGCATACAAATCTGTGTCTCTACAGCTCTATCCATTTTCCCTTACTGTGTTATTACTATATATTAGTATTTTACAAATTATATGTATATTATTCACATGTATAATTAATATTATAGTACTTGATTTTCAAAATAATGGAGGAATGAAACATGAGACTCAGGGCAGAATAAAACGCTATTGGCGCTCACATACACAAATGTAATGACATTTCTGGGACACCTTCCTTGTTGCTGTTGTTCTTTTTAGGTGTAAGATTTTCTGCTCCTCTCCACTCTCCTTTCAGTTCTGTCTGTGGGACTCCATTTAGCATTTCTCATAAGGACTGTCTAGGTTTCATGAACTCCATCAGCGTTTGTTTATTTATATTCACCTTAATTTCTCCTTCACTTTTGAAGGTTTCTTAGAAAGTGTATAATTCTTGATTGACAGTGTATTTCAGCCTTTTGATATGCCACCTCAATGAGTTTTTGTCTTCATGAATTTGGTGAGAAATCAGTTGTTTATTTTATGAAGGTTTTATTATAGGCAACGCTTCTTTCTCAGGTTCTGACACTCAAACATACTTGGTATTTTCAGACATGTGACACTGAGGTCAAGAGATGAATCTCTGGCTAGGTGCGGTGGCTCATGCCTGTAATCCCAGCACTCTGGGAGGCCAAGGCGGGCAGATTACAAGGTCAAGAGATCAAGACCATCCTGGCCAACATGGTGAAATCCCATCTCTACTAAAAATACAAAAATTAGCTGGGCATGGTGGCACACACCTGTAGTCCCAGCTACTCAGGAGGCTGAGGCAGGAGAATCGCTTGAACCCCGGAGGCAGAGGTTGCAGTGAGCTGAGATCACGCCACTGCACTCCAGCCTGGCGACAGAGCAAGACTCCATTTAAAAATAAATAAATAAACAAAAGAGCCTGGGCACAGTGGTTCATGCCTGTAATCCCAGTACTTTGGTAGGCCAAGGCGGGAGGATCACCTGAGGTCAAGAGAGACCATCCTGGCCAGCATGGTGAAACCCCATCTCTAATAAAAGTACAAAAATTAGCTAGGCATGGTGGAACATGCCTGTAATCCCAGCTACTCAGGAGCCTGAGGTGGGAGAATAACTTGAACCAGAGAGGCAGAGGTTGCAGTGAGCTGAGATCATGACACTGCACTCCAGCCTGGGTAACAAGAGTGAAACTCCGCCTCAAAAAAAAAAAGTCTCTAAAAGCATGCATACTAACAATCCACATGCATATAAACATGCTCACAGACTCACACACACTGTCAACACCCTCATATGTAGAGTCACAGGTAATGACCCACACACACACACACGGGGCACACACTCACCAAGTAATGCAAAGAGCACACACACACTCAAATATTCCTGGTCACACTAGCATCAAATCAACTATATTCACTTCTGAAAGGTAAGTAAATCTTGGGACCCTAAGATCACACAGCTGAAGAGAAAAGTCAAGTTAGAAACTACTAGGGCAAACTTGTCTACTACTCTATTCAAAGTCATCCATCTGCTCACAGAGATAAAAGCATATCTGATTGAGTCTTTTGGAAAAGCTAATCAGAAACTCAAAAGAATGCAACCCTTTGTCTCTCACCTACATATGGAAACCCCCTTCAAGTTTTCACACCTTTCTGGAATGAATCAATGTATTTTTTTTCTTAAGACAGAGTCTTGCTCTGTCACCCAGTCTGGAGTGCAGTGGCACGATCTCGGCTCACTGCAATCTCCACCTCCCAGGTTCAAGCAATTCTCCTGCCTCAGCCTCCCAAGTAGCTGGGACTGCAGGCGTGCATCACCACACCCAGCTAATTTCTGTATTTTCAGTAGAGATGGGGTTTCACCATGTTGACCAGGCTGGTGTGGAATTCCTGACATCAAATGATCTGCCCACCTCGGCCTCCCAAAGTGCTGGGATTACAGGCATGAGCCACTGCACCAGGCCAACCAATGTACATCTTACACATATTGTTTGATGTCTCATGTCTTCCTAAAATGTATAAAACCAAGCTGTGTCCTGACCACCTTGGGCTCATGTCATCAGAACCTCCCGAGGCTGTGTCACAGGTGTGTGTCCTTAACTTTGGCAAAACAAACTTCCTAAATTGCCTGACACCTATCTCAGATACTTTGTATTCACCCAGTCAAGTATGCAACTCACACATACTCAGGAAAATTAACATTCATGCAAATTGATAGGCTCAAATATTGAAGAACGCACTCACACACACTCAAAATAGCATACGCTTTTACAAACTAACAGAAACACACAAACAAGTTCTCCCACACACTTGGTCGAAGATATAGTGTAACAATCACAAACTAAGTAACTCATTTTAATATAAAACACAGGCACACACAAGCTCACACCCTCACACACACACATTCACAAACACACAGACACAGTTGTATGCATCATCCCACTTACACACAATGTTCTACAGTGACACACAGACAAACATTGAGACTATTCCATGACCAGGGGCTTGAGACAGTAGCTGTCTCAGTCTCCATGGACATCACACTGTCTCAGAGGCTCAAGGTTTGCTTTCTACTACAGCAGGTAGCCCTGAAATTTCCCTAGATGTTAATGATTGTGTCTTCCCTTCCACCATCTAGATTCTCCTCAGAGATGGCCAGGACTCCAGAGTTCAGGTTCTCACATGTTGTGTGGCTTTTGGGCTAAAACACACCTGAAACACTGAGTGGCTGTTGTCCTTGATCACTTGATCATCATCTGCATTTTGGTTGATGCATTTTTTTACCTCATTTGAATAAAATAAAAGAAATTAATTGACTCTACCTGGGCCAAATGGACTTCTTTCTGTTTCTCTTGGTAGCTGCAAATGTAGCCCCAAATATGACAGGATCCAATAAACACTGCAGCTCTTAAAACACTTTCTTGGTCAGCTGGTCTAACAGCATAAGGACCTCAGGAGAACAATTATATTATGGGTCTAATTCTGTACCCACTGCAGACCAGTTTATTTTTATAGACCAGCAGCTCCAGTCTATCACAACCTATGATTATCCAGATGGAAGGAAACAGTCTTCAAATTTTTATGACAGATGCGGTAAGATAAACTGATATTTCTGTCATTTGTTTTCTAGGCCCAGGTCTTGTAGCTCCTGGCCATGGGGCACTGTGGTGCTCTCTGATTTGGGGCATTTGAAGGATACTGGAAAATAGTATTGTCCTCAAAACTGACTTTCTTTAGAGACTAATTTTTCTACTATGAAACAGTGGCATAAAACATCTGGTATAATACTCATATGGGACTGGAGAGACTGAAGTCAATTCTCCCATTGTTCTCCTGGGTCTCTGTCTGGGCAACTGTGAAAAGACAAAGCACTGCTGGATCCCTGCTCATGTTCTTACGATCACGTCTCCTATCCCTAACAACAGCTACATTCCTTTGTGTCAGATCATAATATGCAGTCTCTCATACTGGGAAATAAGATATCCAGAACTTGGACAGTGGCGTTAGCAGGTTCTCTATGGAAAAAAAAGAAACCACAAAACCTAAAAACATCCCATGTGAAGATAGGAGTCAGTTTCTCATTATAAATTACTACCTATCAAGTTTGGGCTTTATCTAAATTATTCAAATTGTCCCCATATGGCTGGTGGATATCCTTAAAGGGTGTCATTTTTTGTTAGACAAATGTGATATCTATCACTATCAGCTCAGGCACTCGCTGAGAGGTGCTAGGTTAGTCTGGTGGAAGGTATCTGTGCTGAGTCTTCATTGTACATGTTAGGGAAAGTTTTGATATAAAGAGAGAGGAGACTATAACTTGCGTAGCAGTATTAATTAAACTGAAGAAGATAATCATACTATGAGTTCCCCATACTCACTTACCCAGGATAATGGATTTCCCTTTTCTTCAGCTGTTGGCTTACTTACCTTAAATATTACTGCATTTACTTTTATTTACAATGTTTTTTTATCTTAGGTTATTGCCTGATTAAAGTAAGCACAAGTAAAATTTAAAATTAACAATCAATCACCTGTAGAAATAACATAAAATGGGCATGGTGAAATTTAAGGAGAGATGCCAGAATTAAACAAATAAAGAAACACATTGTGTAAGTTAGAGTGGTCAGTGAGGACTGAAATGATGAGAAGCTGGTGCTGAATGATATATGAAGAACGTCAAATATACTTGATATTCAGAATGCTGGTCACAACAGTGAAAAAATCTGTAGAGTGGTCTGCGCAGATAAGAAATTAGAAAGTGATAAAGTCACAAACTTGCAACACCAGGAGACATGCAATATATTCAGTATTCAGCTCTCTCTGTCCTCTAGGAAAAATAGGTTATAACTGCATGGAAAATGAGACAAGTAGTTTTTAAGATAATTCTCGAGAAAAATTGCTAATAAAGTGACTCAGATGATGTTCCGACACAGGATTGTGGAGGGGACGTTGACCTGTGGTGGTCACTGTCAGCTATACGGGATGGTCAACTTGGCGGTCTCCTTTGCCAATTTTTTGTCCACAAGAGAGATTACACTGTCATGTGCTATGTTGCAGATGAGTTTCTTAACCTCACACCATGAGAGGAACATGAGAACAAAGAAGATGAGAAAACTGAAGACCACACTACATCAACTACATTCCACTGATGAGCACTCGTCACACAGAGGCCCAGGGATGAGCAGGGAAGACGAAGGGGCTGGGAAATATCATCCGCAAAGGGACACCCTCCAGCCTGCTTGACCTCCCCATGCACGGAGGGGTGAAATGTTTGTTCTCAGCTAATGGTGGCTATGTCAGGACCTCCACAAGCTTTGAGAAATACAGATTTGTATGAACAAATGCCCATACTTTATTCGGAGGGAATTTTTTACTCATAATTTATTTCCTCTCCTTAGCAAGCACCGCAGAAGGATGTTTCCATGATTCTCCCTAATCCTTCCTCAGTTCCTGGTGCAGTTCCTGGAGGAAAAGCCTGCATCGGGGAGGGAGCCCTCCTCATGTGCAGCCCTGAGGCTGTCCCATCACCTCACCCACCATTGCCCTTCAGTCACTTTTTAAACATTCCAAACTAATTTTCCTGAAATGTGTAGTATTTGGCAGTGTCTTTCCCAGATAAGAAAATACTTAAGTTCTGTTTATCCCTGCAGGCGCATATCCATTTTTGGAGCTCAGGTTGTTTTTGAATGATTAGTAGTGGATAATTAGTGGGAGGAGGTTTGTGTGCATCTTGTCATCTTCCAGAGTGCACCCCAACATGGCATTGACACTGGCAAGCAAGCAGATGGGCTTGCTCAGCTGGAGAATGGCAGACATTATTATAACCTGTGACCCCAATGAGGCTCTCCCTCTACAAGCCCAATCAGGCTCATGCCTCTTGACAACGTGCAGCCAGCACAGGACACCAGTGTCCACCTCAGTGAGGGGCCTTCCAGGTGCCCACCTCCTTCCTAAGGGGGAGCTTTTGTCCCTGCCTGGATCCCATGCATGTGCTTGCATTTGCTGCAAAAAGGGATTCATCCATAAACATGCCCCATGAGCCTACAGTGTAGGTAATCCATCTACAGGGCCTCATACATGACATCTCTCATGGTCAAGGTCTCCACTTCTTATTAAAGAACATTCATTGTAGAATTCACTAGAACTTGCTGGACTTTTAGAGGCATGGATAGGAATACCCTTACCCACTTTCCCTCTAATATCATTCCTAGAAACCCTCTGAAAATACCTCTGGTGCTCCAAGATAATTTATGTTTGTTACACCACGGGATCACCAGGAAAAGAAAGAACCAAAGTGTCCATGTAGGTTCATCATTTGTAACTTGCTGATATGACTCTGGTGCAGGATGCAGATAGTGGAGAAGGCTGTGCCTGTGTTGGATGGGGATTCCTGGGAGCTCTGGTACTTTCTGTTCAAGTTCACTGTTATCCTAAAACCACTCTAAAATAAATTTTATGCAACAACAGTAGCAGAGACATTCTTGGAAGACATTTTGGACATTTTTCAGAATCATACTTAGTCTTACCATGTGATCAAATAATCTTGCTCAAATTATTCATCCATCTAATTTGAAAACTTGTTCACAATAATATATTCATGGGAATGTTTGTATCAGCTTTATTGATATGGTTTGACTGTATCCCCACCCAAATCTCATCTTGAGTTTTAATAATTCCCATGTGTCAAGGGTGGGGTCAGGTGGACGTAATTGAATCATGGGGGCGGTTTCCCCCATACTGTTCTCGTGGTAGTGAATATGTCTCATGAGATCTGACAGTTTTATAAACAGGAGTTCCCCTGGCACAAGGTGTCTCTTGCCTGCTGCCGTGTAAGACATCAGTTTACTCTTCCTTCATCTTCTTCCATGATTATGAGACCACCTCAGCCATGTGGAACTATGATTCCATTAAACCACTTTTCTTTATAAATTATTTGGTCTCAGGTATGTCTTTATTAGCAGCATGATAATGGACTAATACAGGGCCTTTCCTAATCTTTGAATTTTCTGTATACGGTGACTCTTGAATAAAATATTTATTATAAAATTAGAGTGTGTCCTTGTTTCTATTGATCCTTGTCCTCAGTTACTTGACCCATTTTCTAAACAACTTTAAACCTCATCTTCCCTGTCATCTCCTCTGCAGGAACACAGCTGCCTCCTCCCTGCAATTTCTGACACTCTCAGGATGTGGGTTTTCACATTGTGTCTCTCACACAGTAATACATGGCCGTGTCCTCAGATCTCAGGCTGCTTAGCTCCATGTAGGCTGTGCCCATGGATGTGTCCCTGGTTATGGTGACTCTGCCCTGGAACTTCTGTGCATAGCTTGTGCTGCCATCACTAGGGCACACCAATCCCATCCACTCAAGCCCTTGTGCATGGGCCTGGCACACCCAGTGCATACAGTAGCTGGTGAAGGTGTATCCAGAAGCCTTGCAGGAGATCCTCACTGAGGCCCCAGGCTTCTTCACCTCAGCCCCAGACTGCATCAGCTGTACCTGGGACTGGGCACCTGTGGAGAGGACACAGGAGTGGATAAAACCCCCTTTGACTGGACCCAGTCACCTTAGTCCTGGGGACTGAGAATTATCCTACCTGCAGCTATGACCACCAAAAACAGGATCCTCCAAGTCCAGCCCATGGTGAGGAGCTGTGCTCTCAGGGGCTTCTCTAGAGGACGTGTGTGGTTATTGGGTGATGCTCTCAGGGCGCAGACATATCTGTAGTGTTCACCTCAGGTGATTTGCATATTCACAAGAACTACTACTTCATAGCCTTACACTTGATCCAGCATGAGAAAGAGAAAATAGATCTCACATGAGCCACACAACTGTGGGATGCTGAGGTGCAAGTCCTCATTCTTATTTAATGTCGTGTTTCCCTTTATATGCCCAGAACTTTGTGAAGGGAGAACTTCTCCACTAAGAAGGTGACTCACACAGGACATAGCACATGGACAGCCTCCACTCTTTCTAGGTTTTGCTGTCTGCAGTCTTACTCTTGGGATCTATGTGTCTTCTGAAATGTGTACATTTTGATTTAATAAAATCATCCCTGTTCTTCATCTTTTTACTAGGAAAATATCTCAAACCTGTAATAATTTTGCCTTTTAAATGTGGTTCTCACTGAATTGTTGATTTATTTATTTCTAAATGTATAGAGATAATAGAAATAGTCTTTGCAAAATTCTAATTTTAACATGTTATAATTTTTTGATTTTCAATAAAACAACACTCAGTTCTCAGAGAAATCCCCTCTGCAGCCTCATGTGCACCAGCTCTGGGGCTGGAGCCTGCTCTGGGTGGGTCCTGGGTGCCCCCTGCAGCACTGCCTCTGCCCTGCATGGAGGTTTCCATCTGGGCTCACAGAGGATTTATCTCTCAGTGTTTCTAGGGCTATAGGAAGAGGTCATGCCCTAGTTTAAAATGCTCCTTCAGTGACACCATATGTTACTGACACCATCTTTTGAAAACATTGACCTTAGGAGACCCAGTGAACTCTAAGAAACCATCAGGGAGCCCCTCCCTGGAGCTCAGGATGCATTTAATCAGTGGACACATTGTAAGCACAAAAATTTTGAAGGGTTTTCGGGGATGCTTTATCTTGTTTGGTCTCCTGCAATTGAATATTACATCTAAGAATACCTGTAGGTATATATACTTGTGGATGAATGCCCACTCCATGTCTTCTTTTTCAATAACACACACACACACACACACACACACACACACATACAAACACACACAGAACTAGTTGATTTTTACAACAGTGGGCCTCTAACTTGCCATTTTTTCTAGTATCTTGCAAATGGGGAGCACCCCCTACATGGATACTAGACCTGAGTATATGACTTCCTTCTCCAAACAGAAGTAAGGAAAACAGTACAGAATTGGAGACGTAGCAAGTGTACATTCATCATGTTTGCATATTGTCACCTGAGAATACTGCAATTTCCCTAAGAGAAGTGACTCTGTGTCCACCAAGGGTTGAGTGACCCCGTTCATCAAGCTGTTGGTGTCAGAAGCTTCCAGTTGCTCTACTGTCCTTGAATTTTTTCTCCCATTGTCTTTACATTTCCCTATATAGAGTCTCTGCATTGCCACACTCATCTTCAATATAGATTAATTATGCTGATGAGAAGGTAATGTGTGAGGATTGTATTTTTTTTCTTTTCTTACAACTATAGGCTTTTTCATTCAGTTAAGAGGTAAACAGATTAACATTGGAGACTATTCCATTTAACTAGCCCAAGTTCCTATTCCACTTTATATATCCCTCCCACACTGCCATACATCTTGAAGAAATGACTGCCAAAAGACTTTGCTTCTAACTTCTTAGCAATAACCTTCAATGAATTGCTTTCAAATAAGTTATTCCTAACTTAAAATTTTATTGTGTTCAAAGAAACTCGTCCCTCTAAGAGGCTTCCACATATGCCAATAGAACGTTCCACCACTGACAGGAGGGCAGAGTACCAATTATTCTAATTACAGGAGCTACTCCAAGGAAAGCTTCAGTGATATTTGCGTTGTCAGATTCAGTGCTTGTTAGGGCAGAAGATGGTGAGACTAACAATGCAGAGCACACTCTGTCAAATGACTGCATGTTTGGCTGTTTTAAAAAAATCTTTGGTTATCTTTAGAGACAACATTTTAAACATAATGGAATTGAAGCCTGATACAAAATGTATAGAAACATGCACAGGAATAGACAGCCAAGAAGCAAAGTGGAACTCAGTGGAAACCTGGCTACATTACATAGCTCGTTTTGAACCTAACCATATTTATCACCAAACAACTGTAGCACAATAACACTTTCCTTCTCTGGCTCCCAAATTTAAGTAGACTCGTGTCAGCCTTCCCTAACACTGTAATCATTCTTTGAGAGGGCCGGAATATGTAAGGTAGTCCCAAACATTGACAAAAATGTTAATGTCAAACAGCTTCACACTGTGAGGATGACATACTTGAAGACAGCCAAGATGGCAGCACTGACAATTCCAGAAATAAAGACTGTGACAAACCAGGCTATACAATATCACGAAAGAGTCAAGTCAACAACTTTCTTGGATTAAAGCCAGGTACAAAGGAGCCCATGTTACAACGTGTTGTACTGATGGGGAGGCCGATATTTGATGCAATCACCATAGTGAGGGGGCAGGAGCCAGTCCAGTACCGAAGGCACGAGAGGGTGTTACAGTGTCAGATTCTTCCCCATGGCCTGAATCACTCTCCTCCAAACCCACAGACTAATGCAGATTCCAACACCACCAGAGAGCAGAAGCCATACTGGCATCACCACTCTTGAGGAAACATTTCCCATGTTATAAACCAGATACAAAGCCACGAGAGAATTTATTACATTGCTGATGTCATTACCACCATAGGGTAATGACCTCAATCAGGCAATAAGAAGTTGCAGGAACTGGAAGAGGAGAGATAGTTCAAGCTTATCTTGGCCATACAATTCTTCTCAAGAACCACTACTTCCTTTTCTCTCGCCTAGACCCATCTCCACCTTGATACTCATGATTATCTTCGATCCTGAGAAGGTCAGAGACAGCATTGTAGTAACCAGTGTAACTGTCCATTCAAAATTACTTCTTGGGGACTGCATTGGACCATGTAAGATTCTCCATTTCCTTACCCTTCTGAGGAACTTCTTTGGCATGAAATGAGTCTAGAAGTGTGCCACATATTGTCATGATATAGGAAAAACAGCTATTATTGCACCGTAAGTGTTTGCCACCAAATCTCCCATGCCGTCTTCCACTATGGCAATGTGCAACTTATAGAGAAGCTCTTGTACCAGAACCTTTAGGCATGGGGTAATATGCATAGTGGCCACTAAAGCCACCTGGCTGTTGATGGCTTGATTGAACTGGACCAAGTTTCTTAGAATTTCATCTCAGTGATTTTGTTATCTTCTGTTTCTTGGCTGTGACCTTTACAAGGAGTTTCCTCTAATAAAGCTGATATTTGTCTATTATGTCCTTCCCTGTCTGCAGCATCTCAGGACTATTTTTGCTCAATCTTACCCTACTGGCACATCCTTTTGTTCAATCTTACCATACTGGCAATCACTTGCCTAATAAAGGAAGGCTGGGAAGAGGGTTCTACAATGGCAGTGAAGTACCTTTCACCATGTAGATAAATTATTATAAATGTTCTTCCCGTGGGTGGTCTATCTGGAGAAGGTTCTGGGTAAAGGTGTTAGAGATTAGGTCTCTCAATGACTGACCCAACTCACAAGGAATTTATGTGAATTCTAAATTAAAAATGTGGAGGTTCATGGAGCAAATGAGGGGCACCCAGAATATCTCATCCTAATAATAGTACAAACCTGTCCTTTAAGTTATTTTAGTTTAGATTTATATATAACAAATCAAACAGCCAGGGTCATTTAAATAGTAACATGCTCAAACATATTAGGGCAACAGCTGAATATAATAATCAAATTGAAATCAAGCAAATCTGGGAGCAAACTAATGTTTTTCATAGTTCAGAACAGCTTTATTAACTCAATTAACTTGTAATCCCAGGAGTCTGGGAGGCCAACTTGGGCAGATCACCTGAGGTCAGGAGTTTGACACCAGCCTGACCAACATGGCAAAACACCGTCTCTACTAAAAAATACAAAAATTAACTGGGTGCCGTGGCATGCACCTGTAATCCCAGCTACTTGGGAGGCTAGGGTGGAGAATTGCTTGAACACAGGAGGTGGATATTGCAGAGCCAAGACCGCACCACTGCACTCCAGCCTGGGAGACAGAGCGAGACTCCATCTAAGAAATAAAAAATTTAAAAAAATTAATAAAAATGCTTCCAACACTGACCTTAATCCTGGTTATATTTACGGTTGTTGTTGTTTGTTGTTGTTGTTTTGTTTTTTCAAACAGAGCTAAAGCAAGCTCAGTACTCCTGGAGATTTGGAAAGTGTCTTCGCCTTGTTTTTGCCCGTTCTCACCTGGGAACCCTGTGGATGCCCCATGAGAGGTAAATCTAAGGCCATTGACAGAGGGGCCATGGCCTTGGTCCTGAAGCTGTTGGTCTCAGAAGCTTTAAACCGCTTCACTGTCCTTAACTTATCCTCTCCCTCTGCCTTTGGTTTTCCTAAGTTCTAGTCCTTGGACAGAGTCTGTGCATTGCCACACTTTTCTCTTTAATCCAGATTGATCATACTGGTGAAGAGGTAATGTCATGGGCAGGGGAGCAGTATATGTACTGGAAATTGAATTTCAATGTTTTCTTGATGTTTTTTCTCTAGACTGTGCCCTTTACAAGGAGTCTCTAGTGGTACAGCTGATTTTCCTCCATCATTCTACTCCCCCCTCCTGGCTGCAGCATCCACATATTATTGTCTTGAACTTGACCCCCAGTTGTTTTATTAATTTTGCCCCTTTTTATGACACAGGAAGACTAAGATGAAACTGCCTGGGATGGAAAAGAATACCTTCCCCTCACATAGAATAGAGATCTTGAAAAGCATTTTTTCTTTATAGGATCTGTCTGGAGGAAGTTCTGAGCATATTTATCAGAGAATAGCTCTCCTGATGACAGAGCCATGAGGGAATGTTTGGATTATCATCCTGAGAACCCAGAAGTTTCTGGAGGGAAATTCCATCAAAGTGTGGGGTGTGCAGCCCCCAGGAGTTCTTACCCTATCCCTGTCCACACCTGTCCACCAGAAATTTACTGAATTACCATGTAACTGTTCCCACCAGCTTGCACTTTCAACGGAAGAGTCACACAATTTATAAATTTAGAAAGGAGATTTTACTTCCGATAAATGATTGAAGCTGCAGGACAGCCATCTTAACAGGCTGGGAAGCAAAGCTTCCCACAGAGACAGTGAGCAGGCACTTCAAGAGAGGGAAAGAGGATAAATGAATTCATGCAAATGGATAAGCCAAGTGTACACATTCAGCAGACTATAGGAGGATCTATTGATATTCACATAGTGGGCAGGCTCTCATGTCTAATAAGCAAACACACGTTACATGCACTTAGTGTTTGCTTTGGGGGTGAGGACTTAAGAACTAAATGAATGAAAATTGGGCCCTGTTCATCAAAAGGGCTTTGTGCAGGGGCTGAAAGATACACACTGCACAGTCTCTGTAAATTGCCAAGACAAGTTCATGGTCAGTGGTCTCTTCTCAGAAGACAGTTACTGAAATCTGTCTCTTGTCCAATCAAAGCTCTATTTATGGCTTGTGGAACAGGGTCACAGTTACCACATGTTTGGAGTTCCATGAGCTGCAAATGTTTTAATATGCTTACCTCAGAACCAGTGCTTGTTTAGGTGCTACAGAAAACAAAAAAGCCCTGTGGAAGTTACAATATAGTCATTTTTTTAAGTGTAGGGGTGAGTGACTTAATCCATGACTTTAGGCCTTGTTTATAATTTGGTATCTTATTGCCACAGAACTTTGATCCATCAGTCTGATTATCTCTATTTTAATGTCTTTCTAGTTTTGGGGGTCCTGGTTTTCCCTGCAATTTCATTTCTTCAACAGATTCAAGAAATTATTGATAATCAATTTTCCAGGCTTTTATTATTGTAAGAAAGTGGGTGATGTTTGACATGCTTTTTACATATTGAAGCAGAAACCAGAAGCAGCTTCAGAGATCACCAGTGACCTGACACAAGCAGCAGGAATCTCATCTCATTAAGTGTAAGTGGCACCACACAGATATAGCTGAACATGCAGGGACACAGAAGACCCATTCCACAGGACACCCCCCAAAATTACAGTGAATCTAATGGAATTATAGAAAAACATACATGATGTGCATCATGACCAAGGTCTCCACTTCTCATCAAAGGACATTCCTTATGGGATTCACCAGAACTTGCTTTCTTTCCATAGACATGGATATACTGCTAAACACTTAGGGACCTTACCCTCTGGGAAGGGACATAGTAAATCAGGAGTCACAGAATGTATAGGAAAATATCCGTTTTATGAATCCTCTAAAAAACAGCCCAAATATGAATAGCCCCACCCACTTTTCCTCTGAACTGGCATCATTCCCAGGAACCCACTTGTAGTGTTATACCCAAACGAGTTAGAGAAAATGCAACACTTTGAGACGAATTAAGAGTCCTTTATTTAAGCTGGCGGCCAAAGAGACAGCTAACGCTCAGAATTCTCTCGGCCCTGAGGAAGGGGCTTGATTAACTTTTATATCTTGGTTTAGGAAGGGGAGGGGAACTCAAATACAATAATTCTATAGAAGTAAAAACATGCAAGAATCAAAAGAAGCAAATGGTTACAGAGTGATAAACAATTTAAAAGACAAATGGTTACAAAAAGCAACAGTACCAGGTGCAGGGCTCTAAATCCTTGATTTGAGTTATATATAGATGCTATGCTGGGCACGAACTCAAGGCTTTATGTTGTTATCTCTTTGAGAAAAATCCTGGTAACTTCATACATTGTTTGTTCCAGTACCTTATCAGTTAATTGGGCTCCTTTGAAATGCTGAGGATCTGTTTACATAGGTTAACTCCTTGAAGAAGGGGGTTGGATAAGGAGCCTTAATGTCTTGTAAATCAAAAGATCAAATGGAGTTTGTCCGGCTTTCCCAGCCAGGGAGAGTCTATTCATATGGGAAACGTGGCTGGCAATTAAGGAGACAAAAGAAGGGAAAACTTAAAGTAGCAAGCTAGAGTAAAAAACAAGGTTAGGCATTACAGCAGAACCTATGGTGCTTCAAGATAATTTGGGCTTGGTATGCCAAGAGACCACCAGAAGAGGAAAGAACAAATCTGCCCATGTAAGTTCATCCATTGTAACTTATTGATGACTCTGGGGCAGGATGGTGACAGTGGGGAAGGCTGTGCATGGTGAAGCAGGGGCACATGAGAACTCTCTGCACCTTCTGTTCAATTTTGCTGTGGTCTTAAAACTACTTTTTAATACATTTTATGTAAAAGGAGTGGCAGAGACAATTTGGAGTGCATTTTGGCCAGTTTTTAGGAATCATATTTAGTCTTAGCCATGTTACCAGCAATCTTGTTCCAAATTATTTATCTATCTGATTTTAAAACCTATGTCTGCACAAGGCCTCCATGGGATTCTTTGCATCAGCCTCACTGATTGCTGTCTTTACCACTCTGAATTTTGCATATAGGGTGACAGCTGAAAGAAACATTTCCTATATAGAGTGCATCCATGTTTCTATTACATTCCTCAGTTGCTCAGCTCATTTTCTAAACAACTTTAAACATTGTAAGCCCTGTAATCTCCTCAAATTCACTGCAGCTGCCTCCTCCCTGGGGTTTCTGACACCCTCAGGATGTGGGTTTTCACACTGTGTCTCTCGCACAGTAATACACGGCCATGTCGTCAGATCTCAGGCTGCTCAGCTCCATGTAGGCTGTGCTCGTGGATGTGTCTCTGGTCATGGTGACTCTGCCCTGGAGCTTCTGTGGGTAGTTTGTGTTACCATTGTAAGTGTTGATCCATCCCATCCACTCAAGCCCTTGTTCAGGGGCCTGTCACACCCAGTGCATATAGTAGCTGGTAAAGGTGTAACCAGAAGCCTTGCAGGAGACCTTCACTGAGGCTCTAGGCTTCTTCACCTCAGCTCCAGACTGCACCAGCTGCACCTGGGAGTGGGCACCTGTGGAGAAGACACAGGAGTGGGTGAAGTCTCACATGACTGGCCTGGTTTCTCCCTCAGCCCTGGGACTGGGGAGTCCCTTACCTGTTGCTGCTGCCACCAAGAAAAGGATGCTCCAGGTCCAGTCCATGGTGAGGAGCTGTGATCTAGGGGATTCTCCCAAGGAGGGGTGTGGTTGTTGTGTGATGCTCTCAGGGCACAGAGATATCTATATTCACCTCAGTTATTTGCATATTCATGAAGGATGCTATTTAATAGCCCAATTCCTGCCCCAGGATGAGAAAGAGCAAATACATGACACATGGACGACACAATTGTAGAAGCTGAGGGTTCAAGCCGTAATCCTGTTAGAGGCGATGCGACCCCTACACATCCCTGAACTCTGTGTTGACAGAGATTCCCCCACTGGAGAACAAGCTCCCCCAGGACACGCACCTCACTTTGAACCCACATTTGACTGTCTCATGGGCAACTTGAATCATTTCTAGACCTTAATATGTGAATGTGCTATTTTGGGAATGAGTGTGTTTCTCCAAAAATTGCACTTATTTATAAGAAAGGATCTCCTCCAGACCTCCAGCTGCTTACTATTAAGATGTCTAGGGGAGTTTGAAATCCTCATTGTAAAAGTGGTTCTCATTACAACATCGAGTTTCATAAATGCTGACAATTAAATAGGGTATTTATGTGAACATCAGCAGTCTTTCTGAAATACTTATTTTAGATTTTTTAAAGGAAGTCCCAGGCCCTAAGAGGAACCTCTCCCCAGCCTCCTGCGCTCCTGCTCTGGGGCGGAAGCCTGTGCTCGGTGTGTCCTGAGCGCCCCCTGCAGCCCCGCCCCGCCCCTGCAGGGAGGTTCCTGTCTGAGCTCACAGAGTATATTCCTACCAGTGTCTCCAGCCAAGTATAAAGTGGCTGTGCCCTGGCTCAGAATTCTCCTTTAGTGACAGCCTGTGCTTCTCACACCATTTTTTGAAATAGTGAATTGGCCTTAGGAAACCCAGAGAACTTTGCAGAGAGACCCCAAGTAAGATCTCATGCATCACCAGGGAGACCTTTCCTGGAGCTCAAGAGGCACTGAATCATTGGACACACGGTGAATCCAAAAAGTCTTCAGGGGTTTGGGGGGGCTCTTATTTCCTTTAGGGTCCTGAAGTTGATTATTGCACCTGAGAACACTGGCAGGTGCAGGTTGATAGAAGCCCACTCCAACTCTACTATTCAACTCACACGCGCGCACACACACACACACACACACAATGGCTAATTTTCACATTAATGGGCCCTATGTTTACCCTATTTTTCTGGTATCCGTGTTAAGGAAAGCACTCCCTACACTGGCACTAAGGCTGCATATGTGTCTACTTTCTGCAAATAGAAGTAAAGATATCAGAATGCAAGTGGACACTTCGGAAGTACATGCGCATTGAATTAATTTTTTTCACTTTGGAACCATGCAGATGCCACAGGAAAAGTAAATTTGAGGCCAATGAGGGTGAAATCATTTCCTTTGTGCTGAAGTTCCTGGTATCAGAGGCTTCGAATTCTTCTATTTTCCTTAACATATTTCTCCTATTTCCTCCTCAGAGTTTGTGCATTGCCACACTCTCGTATTTAATCCATGTTGACTAAACTGGTGAGACGTAATGTGTGGAACACGGAAGCATTACATGTTCTTACAGTTGAATCTTAATGCTGTGGTGGTCTTCTTCCTCTGGGCTGTGCCCTATACAGGAAGTCTCCAGAGGTGAAGCTGATTTTTGCTCTTTTCTGGCTGGAACATCACAGGAAATTTTCCTTAAATTTACATCTATTGGCTAATTTTACCCATTTTCATGATAAAGGAAGGCTGCTAGTATGGGCTTGTAATGGGGATGGATTACCTTTCCCCACATAGATGAGGATCTAAAAATGCCTTTCCCATGGTTTGTGGGTCTGAAGAAAGTCTGGGTGTATTTATTAGAGATTTGGTTTCCTGGAAATAGAGCCATGAAGGGATCTATGTGGATTCTCACCCTGAGAACTTGGAGGTTCCTGGAGGAAAGGGCGATAAGAGTATGGGGGTGGGGTTCCCAAGATCTCTCACCCTCATGCTAGTCCAGACATGCCTTTTATGTTTATTTAGTTCAGATTTTCATATAACAAACCACACAGCCAGGCTCATTTAAATTCCCCATACTCAGTCCATATTGGAGCAGGAGCTGAGTATAATAATTACGTTGAACTCAGACAAACCTGGGCCAAATCCAATTTTTCCTATAGCTCAGAGCAGCTTTCCTGACTCACTTAATTTGGAGATTATTTCTTCCCTGAAAGAACTGTAAGGGTTGCTGTGGAGCCTCTGTGGGTTTGGAATTTTTTGCATCAGCCTATCCTGTAGGGTATTCTGTACAATGTAGACCTTTATACTTAGATGGTAATTATTCCTAATGGCATGGAAATAGCTGGCAGCCCTCAATCCTGTTTCTTTCTTCTGTTCACCTGAATGTTTACAAGAATCCCATGAACCTCAGGACTCCCCTTCATGGATGACTCTGAAGATTGTAGACTCAGTGCTACAGACAGAGAGAGCTAAGGGAGGATACTCAGTTCACTGATATGTTTGGCCAGCAACATAGGATACATCCAAGAATGAATCACTTTTGTCAATGCCAATAAATAATAAATTCAAGAGTCATGACTTTCAGTATATCAGAGTTAAAATTTTCATGATTCTTGACAATGAGGCTCAAACTTGATGGTTTGCAGAAGAAATGAGCTCATCATTGTTAGAAAGAAGCCTTTTCCTAGGAAGCCAGTCTTTTAAACTAAAGTGCCAGAGAGTTTAGTTTCACAATAGATAAATTGTGAAAATTTATCTATTGGAGAAAAATAAAATCAGGAAAACTGGTCTCAAATAATTGAAAGAAAGCTTATAAGAAATTTTTATTAACACAGCCATGAAACTCCAGTTAGTCAAATTTTTTGGTTCATTTGTTACAACTCAAGAAGCAATTCAGAAGTCTACACAATTGGAAGCCTACTCCAACAGAGATAATTTTTCCTGATGTGAAAAACAGACCAGTATTTATAAAGAAAGAGTTCCCCATGAGATCTACAACTTACACAGATTTCTGTAACCTGAAGAAGTTTTGCTAAAAGGATTATCCTCTAGATATCTATGTATGCAAAAATATATTGCATATATTTGTATAAGATTAATCTGTACCAGCCCTTGGCACATTAAACAAACTTCATGTAGACATGATAACTTTATCACTTACTGTGCACTCACACTTTACTGGTTTCAGAAGTTCATCACCCTTGTGAGGCAGCAATAAGTTCCTTTGAGAATATGCTGTTGCTTCAAGTGAACATGTTCTAGATCCTCACTTGACTTCATCATTTCATATTGAGTGTAGGTGGGTCTATGACTGAAAACCCAACATTTTTATGCAACAGATTCTCCTCTTATGAGATCATCCTGAAACCTGCCAACAGCCTCCATCATGTATGCTTCCAATGTTTTGCTTTTAGGAAATAAGAGGTAAATTCATAATCCATCCAAGCTTTAAGGTGAGAATCCTTCCTGGCCTTCCATCATATTTAGTAGAAACTCTCATTGAGAGCCATAAGCAAATGCTGTTTATGGATCATAACTCAAAACCAAAACTGTTTTTCATAATGGCTATACCATTCTACATTTCCACAATTATGGAAAGCAACATAAAGCCTCCTAAATGAATTAAAACTGGAGATTTTATATGACCAGAAATCCTGTTTCTGGGAGCATACCCAAGTAGATGAAATTACCACCTTGTAAAGATATCTGCATCCTATGTTTATTGAAACACTATTAATAACAGCCAAGATATGGAAACTATCTGATGGTCAGCACATAGACAAATGAATAAAGACAATGTGGTATGTGTATACAATATAATACGGTTTAATGTTATAAAAGAAAGATGCTGCCATTTGCCACAACGGATCAATTTCCATAGCTACTAACAGTGCACACCATCCACTATAGCACTCCCTAGGGGATGGCAGATCCTTATTCAGTAGTAACCACTGGCTGTGGTGGGAAGGCAATTTTACGTACTGTTGAATTTTTCAGCATAAGACATCGATGTCTTAAAATATTCTGCGGTGTCTGCATGTGATAAAGTGGAGTCTAATATTGGAGGCAAAATTAAAAGTGCATGAGTCTTCTAGACACCAAGTCATAGAATGATCCTGGCTGTGTCCTTGAGGGAGTGGACCATATGTAATAGCATTTGGATTGGGGATTGGTGCATTTCCAGTTGTACGAATAAAGTTGTATTATATTAGGTGTAATTATGACTTTATTATTGTCTTTATTTGAAGATTATATATAATCTCAGGAGATGTGTATGGTTTCAAGTTGACAGGGTGGACTCGTAATGCTAAATACTGATTAGCATTGATTAGATTGCAGGGTGCAAAGTATTGATCCCGGGTGGGTCTGTGAGGGTGTTGCCAAAGGAGATTAACCTTTGAGCCAGTGGGCTGAAAAAGGGAGACACACTCTTAATCTGGGTGGTGCAATCTAATTAGCTGCCAGTGTGGCCAGAGGAAAAAAAAAAAAAGAAAAACAGAAGAACATGAAAAGATTAGACTGGCTAAGTTCTTCAGCTTTGGGACTCGGACTGCCTTCCATGCTCCTCAGCTTGCAGATGGCCTATTGTGGGACCTTGTGATCATATGAGTTAATACTCCTTAATAAACTCCGTGTGTGTGTGTGTGTGTGTGTGTGTGTGTGTGTGTGTCGTGTGTGTATATATATCCTGTTTGTTCTGCCCCTCTAGGGAACCCTGACTAATACAATCTTACTTGAAAAGAAATTTTTTTAAAAATAGGTGATTAGGAATTCCAGGATGGAATGCAGATAATATAGAAAATGTCTAATTCCATTACAAATGTATGAATTCAAAAGAGGTACTAAGTAGATTCAGAAATGGTGTAGGCAATAAGATTAAAGAAAAAAGAAACTGCACATCAGCATTGTACCCCAATTGATGATGTTCCACAAAAGAGCACAACTTACACATCTGGTTACACTCCACAGGAATCTTGGAATTGGACTACAAAGAGAATGGACGGTGTGTGGGGAAATGGGGTTCCTCATGGTTGGAGTGCAAGGTTAGTGACAGGCATAGAAGGAATGTGATAAACATTCATGTGGTATTAACTTAGAGTGGACATGTCATTTTATTTGCAAGTTTAGCATAATATAGGTACATATATTAGATAAAAATAGTTTAGATGTGTGTGCATATATGGGTTAATACACAACACACACTTCCTAGATTTTTTTACCTGAGAATTTCTACAAGAAATGAGTGCACATTAACAAAAAATACACCCAGAATCAAGATTTGAGTTTTTAATACTATTCTTCTATAAAAGAAACCAGTGACAGGGGGCAGTGGCTAACACCTGTAATTCCAGCAATTTAGGAGGCTGAGGTGGGCAGATCATTTGAGGTCAGGAGTTTGAGACCAGCCTGGCCCACATAGCGAAACCCCGTCTCTACTAAAAATACAAAAAGTAGCCAGGCATAGTGGCGCATGCCTGTAATCCCAGCTACTTGGGAGGCTGAGACAGGAGAATCGCTTGAACCCAGGAGGTGGAGGTTGCAGTGAGCCTGGACCCTGTCTCAAAAAAAAAAAAAAAAAAAAAGGAACCAGCATGTCTTTGAGAAATGGCTAATGCTAGGGCTTTGGAAGAGAATATAGGGATTAGTCTACAATTTCTAATCGTACCAGAAAATGAGAAAGGGTCTCAAAACAGATAATTGCTCCTTTTGCATTTTTCTTGTTTGTTGATAAATCTAGCTAACAGTGTAACAGTTCTGTTCATGTTTTATTTCTGTTTTTTTTCCGTAGAATCAGGGTGTACATGTGCAATTTTGTAACATGAATATATTTCATAAAGGTGAGGTTTGGGCTTCTGGTGTAACTATCGCCCACTAGTGAACATTGGAGCCAGTAGGTGATTTTTTAACCCTCACATTCCTCTCACCTTGCCCTCTTTTGCAGTTCCCAGTGCCTATTGTTTTTTATCTATGTATATGTGTACCCATTATTTACTTTCCGATTATAAAAGAGAAGATCTTTTTGAGTTATTTTATTTAGGCTAATGTCCTACAACTCTTCATGTTGCTGTGAAAGACACAATTTCAATTTTTATGGCTGCATAGTATTCCACAATTTACATCTATCATATTTTATCTATCTAATCATCCACTGATTGGCACTTAGATTACTTGACTTTTCTATTGAAAATAGTGTTGCAGTAAATATAGGAATGCAGGTGACTTTTTCTGATGTAAAATTTCCTTTTGGGAGGAATATACCCACTGGGAGGGATTACTGGGTCAAATGGTAATTCTAATATTAGTTCTTTGAGAAACTTCTGTATTGTTTTTCATAGAGGTTGTACTAATTTATATTTTCACCAAGCATATAAAAAGCATTATTTTTCCTATGCTTCTCTGCAAACACCTGCTGTTTTTTATTTGTAATAACAGCCATTGTGACTGGTGGAAGATGCTATATCATGTTGTTTGTAATTTACATTTATCAGATGATTGGTGATGCTGAGTATGTTTTCTTATTTGTTTTGGCCATGTCTGTGTCTTCTTTTGAGAAATGTCTGGTTTTTGCTCACTCTTTAATGAAATTGTTATTTCTTGTTGACTGATTTGAGTTCCTTGTAGATTCTATGTATTAGCCCTTTGATGAATAGATTGCAAATTTTTTTTTTTACTGTTCACAGGTTGTCTTTTCACTATGTTGGTTATTTCTTTTGCTGTGCAGACAATCTTTGTTTCAATTAATCCTGTTTGTCTAATTTTGTTTTCATTGCATTTGCTTTTGAAGTCAGTCTTAGTCATATTTTATTTGCTTAGGCGAATGTCTAGAGGATTTTTTTAGATTTTCTTCAAGCATTTTTATGAGTTTATAAATTTAAACATTGAATCCAATTCAGTTAATTTGTGTCTGTGATGATATAGAAGTCTCATTTTATTCGTCTACATAAGGCTATCCAATTCTCCCAGCACTACTTATTGAACAGAGAGTTGTTTCTCCAGTGTATATTTTTGTCAGTTTTGTCAAAGAACTGTTGGTTGTAGATATTTGGCTATATGTCTGGGCTCTTGATTTTTTTCTACCACTACCATGCTGCCTTTCTTATTATATTTGTGTTGTGTAGTTTGAAGTCAGGGAATGTGGTACTTCCAGCTTTGTTCTTTTTGCTTAAGATTGCTTTTGCTATTCAGACTCTTTTTTGGTTCTATATGAATTTTAGGATTTTTAAAAATATGTAATCAATTATATTAGTTACTTGATATAAATTGCATGGACTCTGTATATTGCTTTGAGCAGTGTATTAGTCTATTTTACATTGGTATAGATTAATACCTGAGGCCAAGTGATTTACAAAGACAAGAGGATTATTTGGCTTACAGATCTGCAGGTTGTGTGAGAAGCATGGCACCAGCATCCGCTTCTTGTGAGGGCCTCAGGAAGCTTACAGTCATGGTGGAATGCAAAGGGGGAGGAGGCTGTGTCATATGGTGAGGAGGGGGGACATGAGAGGGTAGGAGGGTTGCCAGACTCTTTTGAACAATCAAATCTCACAGTAGCTAATACAGCAAGAATTCACTAATTACCATGGGGTGGATGCCAACCCAGTCCTGAAAAATCTCCTCATGACCCAAAACCATCCAGTTGGCCCCACCTCCAACATTGTGGGTCACATTTCACCATGACATTTGGAGGGTAAAACCCTTAAATGATATCATTGCACTCTCGGACCCAAAGTTCTCATATTCTTCTTACATTGCAAAATATAATCACCTTTTTTTCAATAGTTCCCAAAATGTTAACTTGATCAACCTCCAACTCAAATGTCCAAAGTCTCATCTGAGTCTTAAGGCAATTTCCCTCCAGCTGTGAGCTTGCAAGTTTAAAAAATGAAAGTTGTTTACTTCCAAGGTGCAATGATGGTGCAGGCATTGGGTAAATAATTCCAACCCCAAAGGGATAAATTGGCCAGAGGAACAACCAACAGGCCCCACATGCATATAAAACCCAGCACTGCAGATATTAAATCCTAATGCTACAAAATAATCTCTCTTGACTTTATGTACTTCAACCAGGGCACACTGGAACAAGGATTGGGTCCCCAAAACCGCAGGCAGACAATCCCTATAGTTTGCTAGGCACAGACCATGGGGCTGCCTTCACAAGTGAGAGTCAAGTGCTGGAAGCTTTTCTAGGCTGAGGGTGCAAGTTGCCCATGGCCCTACCATTCTGGGGTCTTGAGGGTTGTGGTCACATTCCCACAACTTTACTATGAAGCACCCTAGTGGGGACTCTGAATGGGGGCTCCAACTCCATCTCTCCCCATCTTTGGTGCTGCCCTAGTAGAGGCTGTCAGTGGTGGCTCCACTCCTGCACCAGGCTTCTTCCTGGGCATGCAGGGCTCTCTACACATCTGAAATCTAGGTAGAAGTTGCACAGGCTCCTTCACTCTTGCATTCTGCATATCTGCCAGAATCCAGTTATCCCAGCACCATTTACTGAATACAGAGTTTTTTCCCCATTGCTTGTTTTTGTCAGCCTTGTCAAAGATCAACTGGTTGCAGGTGTGCAACTTTATTTCTGTTTTCTATTTTGATCTATTTTTTTTGCGTGTCTGCTCTCATACCAGTGCCAAGATGTGTTTGTTAGCAAGACTTTATGGTGTAGTTTAAGGTCAGTATCATGATGCCTCTAGCATTGTTCTTTATGCTTAGGATTGCTTTGACTATTCAGGGTCTTTTTTGGTTCCATATAAATTTTAGAATGTTTTTTTTTCTAATTCTGTGAATAATGATGATGATAGTTTTATGTAAATAGCATTGAATCTGTGAATTCCTTTGGGCAGTATGACAATTTTTACAATATTGGTTCTTCCAATCCATGAGCATGAAATGTTTTCCCATTTATTTTTGTCATTTATGATTTATTTCTGCTGTGTTTTGTAGTTCTCTTTGTAGGGATTTTTCACCTTGTTTGTTATCTGTGTTCCCAGGCATTTCATTTTCTTTGTGGATATTGTAAGTTGGAAAGGATTGTGTTCTTGATTATACTCTCAGCTTGGATGTGGTTGGGGTATAGAAATGCTGGTAATTTTTGTCTATCGATTTTGTATCCTAACACTTTACTAACGTTGTTTATTCTACAATTATTTTGGCAGAGTTTTTAGGATTTTCTAGCTATAAAATTGTATCATCAGTGAAGACGGATGGATGGACTTCCTTTCCTATTTAGATGCTGTCTTAGTCCATTCTCACACTGTAAAGAAACAACTGAGACTGGGTAATTTATAAAGACAAGTGTTTTAATTGGCTCATTTAATATGATGTTGACTGGGGGTTTGTCATAGATAGCTCTTATTATTCTGAGGTATGATTCTTTGATGTCTAGTCTGTTTAGGGTTTTTGTCATGAGTGGATGTTGGATCCTATCAGAAGCTTTCTCAGCATCTATTGACATAATCATATGGTTTTTGCATTTATTCTGTTTACATTGTGAATCACAGTTACTGTGGATATTGAATGAGCCTTGCGTCCCAGGGGCAATGCCCACTTAACCATGATGTATCACATTTTGAAGTGCTTCTGGATTCTATTTGCTAGTATTTTGTTGAGGACTTTCAGGTCTATGTTCATCAGGAATATTCATCTGATATTTTCTTTTGTCATTATGTCTCTTCCTGATTGTGTGTGCCAAGAACACACAGTAGAGAAAGTACAGTCTTTTCAATAATGGTGTAACAACCAGGCATCCATATGCAAAAGAAATAAAATTAGGCCTTCTCTAACTCCATATAAAAATCAACTAATAATGGGTATAATACCTGAAACCATAAACTCATAAATGACATGGAGGAAAAAAATCTTCCTACCATTGATTCAGAACTGATTTCTTTGAATTTAATACCAAAGCACAGGAAAAACTATGCGCAATTATGTATCTGACAAGAAGTTCTATCCAAATGTATAAATAACCCATATACCTCAATAGCAAATAACAAATGAACTGATTAAAAAAAGGGCAAAATCCTGGATAGATTTTTTTTTCAGAAGACCAACACATGGCTAACAGAAAATGCAAATGTTCTCAACATTCCTCATTATCAGGGGAATTCAAATCAAAAGCACAATGCGATATCACCTCACACAAGTTAATATGGCTATCATCAGAAAGGTAAAAGATGACAAATGTTGGCAAGAATGTGTGGAAAAGGGAATATTTTGTGGTGGGATTGGTTACTCCATAAGTTGAAAATAAAGCTATCATATAATCTGGTGATCCCACTTCTTGTTATACATCTAATGGAAATAAAATTATTTTGCCAAAGACATGTTCATTGCCAGATTATAAATAATTGTATAGATTTGTAAAATAACTTAATGACTGTAAGTGGATGAATGTATAAAGAAAATGTGTATACACAAAACTGAATTTTATTTGGCTTTGAAAAGAAGGAAATTCTGACATTTGCAACAACACGGATGGGCCTGGAGGACGTGATGCTAAGTGGAATAAGCCAGATGCAGAAAGACAAATGCTGCATGATCTCATTTACGTGTAGGATCTAAACTATCCCAGCTCTTGAAAGCAGAGAGTAGGATAGTGGGTCTCAGGACCTGAGAGGAGAGGGAAATTGGGTGACGTTGGCCAAAGGGTACAGAGTTTCAGTTGTGCAGGGTGATTGAGTCCTGGAGGTCTAATATATGGCAATGTTCCTATAGTTAATACTGTATTGTAAAAATGATATTTGCTAAAAAGGTAGATCTTAGGTGTTCTCATGGGACACACACACACACGCACACACAGACACACACGCAGTAAAAATAAAAATGGTAGCTCTGTGAGATGATAGATCTACAAATTACCCTACCATGATGAGCATTTTACAATGTATATCTGATTTGGTTTGGATCTGTGTCCTGGACCAAATCTCATGTATTATAATCCTCAATCCTGAATGTGGGATTTGGTGGGAGACAACTGGGTCATGGGGTGGGTCTTTCATGAATGGTTCAGCAACAACTCCTGGTGCTGTTCTCACTACAGTGCATGGGTTCTTACAAGATCTGGTTGTCTAACAGTGTGTAGACCTCCCCCGCCACTTCCTGTGGCTCCTGCTCTGGCCATGTGATGTGCCTGCTCCCCTTTGTCTTCTGCCATGATTCTAACTTTGCTGAGTCTCCCCACAAGGAGAAGCCACTGCATTTCCTGTACAGCCTGCAGAACTGTGAGCCAATTAAATATCCTTTTCTTAAAATTTCTGAGTCTCAGGCATTTCTTTTTAGCACTGTGAGAACAGACCAATAAAACATAAAAACATCAAGTGGAGCACTTTAAATATATACTTTTTAAAAATTTTCTATTATACCTCAATAAAAATGAAAAAAATTAAACTTACTCTTATAATAAAGAAATGCATACTTCATATTTTCTCAATAAAAATGAGAGAACATAGAAAAACTTATGTTAAGATATTTGCAACAGCTTTGCTTACAATATTTATAAACTGGAAACAAATTTAAAGTCCATCAACAGAAAAATAGATCAATATATTGTCATTTATTTACTTAATGGGCTGACTCAGACATAAAATCTCTGTCCTTTCTCTCTCTCTGTCTCCATATATACATGAAAACTTTGAGGTTTCATGTCAGAGTCAGTTCATTAATTGAATAAATGACAATATGTTGATCTAATTTTATACATTAAATAGCATGAATACACCTCAAATATAGCAAAAGTAGCCATTACCAAAAAAAGTCTATAATGTTAGATTTCATTTATGTGAAGTTCAAAGCAGAAAAACATGGATCTATGGTGTCAGAAATCAAAACATTTCCCCATGCAGGAGTTGACTGCAGGCACAGAGGAAGACCTATGTTGGGGGTGGACTTGCTCTTCAGCTACCTTAGGTGTTGGGGACAAGGGTATTCACCTTTGCCAGAAACTCTCTAGTGATACATTTTAGATCTATGCATTTCTTCTTATATGTAAATTTTATCTCATAAAACAAGAAATAAAAATGTATAAAATACTTTAAAATTCAGCAAATAATAAAAATAATATAAAACCCTTATATAAAATATGAACATTATTAAATGAATTAATAAAGTACACTCAAGTATACCTAGCAAATTAAATTCCTGAATCCAAAAAGATAAGGGTAACATCTGTAACATAAAAAATAAAAAGCACACATTTCATAGAGAAGACAAAAATAGGACATATGTGGAACATGTATTCTTTTTTCTAATCAAATGTCTTTAAATTATTTACACAATATTTTAATCTGTCATAAGTATAAATTACTAATATTCTGTTTGATATTACAACTATGAACAACTTTTAAAGAGAAAAGGATATTTTAGAACATGTGAAATAAATTGAATTTATTCTCAATGTTGGTACAATGATTACACCTAAAAGTTCTAATAATACCCGGGTTTTCAGTGGGTCTTTTGAAAATTAATTTTAAGAGATAAACTAATGCAAATCAAAACCACAATCAGATATCATCTCACACCAGTTAGAATGGCGAACATTAAAAAGTCAGGAAACAACAGATGCTGGAGAGGATGTGGAGAAATAGGAACACTTTTACACTGTTTGTGGGAGTGTAAATTAGTTCAACCATTGTGGGAGACAGTGTGACAATTCCTCAAGGATCTGGAACCAGAAATACCATTTGATCCAGCCATCCCATTACTGGGTATATACTCAAATGATTATAAATCACTCTACTGTAAAGACACATGCACACGTATATTTATTCCAGCACTATACACATTAGCAAAGACTTGGAACCAACACAAATGCCCATCAATGTTAGACTGGGTAAGAAAATGTGGCACATATACGCCATGGAATCCTATACAGCCATAAAAAAACAATGAGTTAATGTCCTTTGCAGGGACACAGATGAAGCTGGAAACCATCATCCTCAGCAAACTATCATAGAAACAGAAAACTAAACACCACATGTTCTCACTCATAAGTGGGAGTTGAACACTGAGAACATATGGGCACAGGGAGGGGAACATCAGACACCAGAGCCTGTTGGGGGTGGGGGGCAAGAGGAGGGATGGCATTAGGAGAAATACCTCATGTAGTTGATGGGATGATGGGTGCAGCAAACTGCCATGGCACATGTATACCTATGTAACAAACCTGCACGTTCTGCACATGTATCCCAGAACTTAAAGTATAACAATAAAAAAATACATAAAAGAATAATCTTTAATAAAGAGACATCAGCATTCCGTATCAGAAAGAAATTGAAAATATGTAATACATATAAAGTCCTGATAAGAAACCTTGAATCATAGGAAGAGTCTCGTGTATGGTAGGTTGTAATATGTTTATTGTTAAAATTATCATCTTTATGTTGTTTTGAAAAATTAAACCAAAGCATAATAAAAGGAAGTGTTTTTGTGTTTATTTGGTACAACAACAGCATGTTGAGAAAACTGAAGAGACCTGTAATCCTGAGGAGGAGGCCTAATCCAAGGAGAGAGATGCTCCTGGACCTGTGGACACACATGGTTTGCCTGATTCTACCCATCTAAGAGCTACTGAAGCCTTCGGGAGACATGAGAATGGATGAGTTCCTCAGGACGATTCAATCAGATCTGGACAGGGGGGAAAAATTCATGACCTAGGGTAGATTAACAAATATAATTAAATTTTCATTGAAAATTGAGAAATTTTTGTTGTATATATTTATGGCCTGCAAAGCTATGTTATGATTTGTGAATACAATATGGAATAATTGAATCAAGCTAATCGACATATATATTACCTCAAATCCACAAATCCCTATCACTTTTTGTGACAAGAATATTTGAAATTATTTCTTGGCTATTTTAAAATGACCAATACACTATGTTTAAGCTTACAAATAGACATCGATTTATGTGAATCATAGAGAATCATTGAAATCAATTATAGATTACTTTAATAATTTATATTTGTTTTTCATTAAGTTTGATTCTTTAGGACATATTTTAGAATTGTTCTGTTATAATGTTAAATATAAAAGACTATACATGTATGCATAGGTTTGTGTATTTAATCGTATGTCTAGGATGTAAATTAATGTCTCTATAGCTGTGGAGTAGCTGATATCAACAGACGTTAATAAAACTCTAGAAGAATAAGAGTAAATAATTAGGAAGAATTATTTCTTGAAGTTATGTATCTTTAAAAAATATCCCTACATATAAATTTTAAAATTACAATAACACAAATATCAATAAAAATACATCATAAATAAAAATAATAACATATCGCTAACTCATAAAACTCCAGAGTCCTGCAAAAACAAACCTGCCTCCTGCATCTGAGAAAGGAAACCGCCCCCTGCCCCTGCTCCTGGGACCTGTCCCTATCTCAGTGGTCCCGAGCGCTCCCTGGTGGCCCCGCACGCCCCTGCAGGGAGGTTTGTGTCTGGGCTCACGCTGACCTCCCCTCACTGTGTCTCTAGCACAGTAATACACGGCCAAGTCCTCGGTTTTCAGGTTGCTCATTTGCAGATACAGCGTGTTCTTTGAATCCTCTCTTGAGATGGTAAGTCTGCCTTTCACAGACGCAGCATATTCTGTCGTGTAACTGTTAGCTTTGTTTCTTATTAAACCTACCAACTCTAGCCCTTTCCCTTGAGCCTGGCGGACCCAGCTCATGTAGTGGTCACTGAAGGTGAATCCAGAGGCTGCACATGAGAGTCTCAGAGAACCCCCAGGCTGGACCAAGCCTCCCCCAGACTCCACCAGCTGCACCTCACACTGGACACCTGCAAACACAGAGACACCCTGGTCAGAAACTGCCACACAAATCCACTGTTTCTCTCACTCATGTCCCCTCACACTCAATCTCTCTATTTCTCCATGAATCACCTTTTAAAATAGCAACAAGGAAAACCCAGCTCAGCCCAAACTCCATGGTGAGCCCTCTGTGTTCAGTGCTGATCTCTGAATGGAAACACCTGGGAATCTCATGGCTGGGGCTCCTCTCCCAGAGCTGCAGGGTCAGGGCTGGGCTGGTTTTCATCAGCAATGGAAGGGGCCCATTTGCATGTCTCCTACTATATAGCGAGTTCTGGAAGGGATGCCTCAGAGTGGGCTGTGTCCCAGAGTGGATATGAGCGATTATATGTCATAAATAATTAATTATCATTAGCATGTCTACTTTTAGATGCACATGAATTATGCTCCGTGAGAGTCAAGTTTTCCTTCATTTACAAATGTGAACATAAACTCCCAAGCATGGAGGGGCCATGTGACGTGTCTACGAGCTCACATCTGGTAAGAGCCAGTCTCACTGTCTGGCCTGTGTTTCTCAGGACTGGATCCAACTGCTTCCTAAATTAACTCTAGGACAGAGCAAGAAATTCTGAGTGAGGTTTACAAAATCCTCTTAATATAATGATATCATATTATTTGGCTGTATCTTAGTGTTTTTCTAAATAATATAGAAAAACTGAGGATTCATTCGCATGTGTATTCAGAAGTCTAAGGCTTTTCTTGTACTATTTTTATCTCTCTCTTTATCTTTTTCTACCAAATTATACACTTTTATTTTTTATGAGATAATACTGAAAAATTGTAGTCTTCACCTAATATCTTCTCAGTTTGACAAATATTGACATAATCATCACCACTCACAGATAAAACAAATCAATTAGCCTCACAATTTTCTCTTTTTCTCCTGAAATTTCCCTTTCTACACCTTTCCTCCTCTTACCATGTAGAAGTCAGTTAGGTATCTTCATTATGTAACTTGCAATGAGTATTCGCTTTGTACATTTTATAAACTGGAGTCATATGTATGTGCTTTGACTCATTATACTTATCATGTGTACTTGTGAATTGAACCACACTGTTGATCATATCCAACATTAATTGATTGTAGTAATGGGTACTATTCCAATAAATGACTTTTCCACAATTTGTTTATTGATAAAGCTGCTGATTAATATTTGAATTTTCAGTTTCTGTGTATTTCAAATAAAGCTGCTGCTCAGCTCAGAGAAGTACACAGCTGAGAAACATGTTCTTAATCTTACAACAACATGAACAACTGCTAAACTGGTCAAGTTGCAAATGAATCAATTTGCTTTAATGTATCAGGTAATTAAAGTTATAGCACCCCGTGTGTTTGTCAGTGTATGTGAGAGAAAGAAAGAAAAAGGGAGGAAAGGAGACTGAAAAAGAAAGTGATTCCACAAAAATTTTAATTTATGAAGTCTTCAAATACAAGGACTTATTCCTAATGAATGGGGTCCACATAAGTTGAAGCTGAAGAGTCTAACATATGGCTATATATTTATAATATAAATATTATTCTCTAAACATATAAACACTCATACACATGAGACTAGATATAGTGGAGGGTGTCTAGTGGTGCAATGAGAATGTGGCACAAAACCCCATCTCCAGGGCCTTTCCCCACCTGCTGTACCTGCCCTGATGCTGAGCCTTGAGCCTGCCTGACCACTGAGCCCCACAATGCTCCTGAGCCCCCATGCGGCGCCAAGTGCCCCCTGGTTCTCCCTGCTGGTTCCTGAGTACTTGCTTCTGTCCTCAGCACCCTCAGCTGTCCTGTGAACCCCCACAGGGAGGTTTGTGTGTGGGCTCACACTGATGTCCCCTCACTGTTTTTTGCTTAAAAATACATGTGCGGTGGCTCACGTCTGTAATCCCAGCACTTTGGGAGGCCAAGGCGGGCGGATCAGGAGGTCAGGAGATCGAGACCATCCTGGCTAACACGGTGAAACACCAGCTCTACTAAAAATACAAAAAATTAGCCGGGTGTGGTGGCAGGTGCCTGTAGTCCCCAGGTACTCGGGAGGCTGAGGCAGGAGAATGGCGTGAACCCGGGAGGCAGAGCTTGCAGTGAGCTGAGATCGCGCCACTGCACTCCAGCCTGGGCGACAGAGCGAGACTCCACATCAAACAAACAAACAAACAAAAATACATGGTTGTGGCCAGGTGAGGTGGTTCACGCCTATAATCCCAGCAATTTGGGAGGCCAAGGCAGGCGGATCATCTGAGGTCAGGAGTTTGAGACCAGCCTGCGCAACATAATGAAACCCTGTCTCTACTAAAAATACCAAAAATTAGCCAGGCATAGTGGCGGGCACCTGTAATCCCAGCTACTCAGAGGCTGAGACAGGAGAATCGCTTGAACCCAGGAGGCGGGAGTTGCAGTGAGCAGAGATTGTGCCATTGCTCTCCAGCCTGAGCAACAAAAGTGAAACTCCTTCTCAAAAATAGATACGTACATACATACATGGTTGTGCACTTGTAGCTCAGCTGTAGGAAAAACTGTTTTTTGGACGTAGATCTGGAGGTGGTGACCAGACTCTTGAGGAGTGGGTTGGAATTTGTGCTCCCTTCATGACCTGTGCACCTGACCCACTCCACTCCCTTCCTTGGGGCTGATGGATGAAGCTCCAGCAGGAAGCACTGGTTCTGTTGGGGAATCCAGCATTTAAACCTAAATGTTATTGTTGTTGATTCACTAAACAAAATGTGGCACTCGTTTTTATTGAGTTGAGATACACAAAACATAAAATTTACCATTTTAGCCCTCATTAAGTGTATTGGTCAGTGATACTTTACACATTCGCAATGCTGTGCAACCATCACCACTGTTTGGTTTGGGAACATTTTCATCTCCTCAAAGAAAACTGCAGCTCCATTAAGCATTACTCTCCATTTCCCCTCCACTCACCTCCTGGGATCTGTCTCTAGGGATTTTCCTCCTCTGCATACTTCACGTCAATGGGACAATTCAGGGTGTGGACTTCTGTGTCTCCCTCAGTTCACTCACCCAATGTTTTCAAGGCTCATCCAAGTTGCAGCCTATGTCAGTGCTTCACTCCTCTTTAAAGCTGGGTTAGAGACACACAGACACACCGCAGCCTCTTCATCCCTGTGGGTTACCGACACTCAGACACACCATGACATCTTCATCCCAGTGGGTTACAGACACACAGACACACCGCGGCATCTTCATCCCTGTGGGTTACAGACACACAGACACACCACGGTGTCTTCAACCCTGTGAGTTACAGACCCACAGACGCACTGCAGCATCTTCATCCTTATGGCAGTCGATGGGCACTTGAGTTGTATTCTCCATTCGACTACTGTGAGTGGTGACACTAGGTACACTTGTATATGAGGTTTTCAGTGAAGACCATTTTCCAAAGTTGCTGTCCCATTTCAGTACCAACTGGCAATCCACAGCCATTCTAAATTCAGTATGTTTTTACCTACAAGTGATTATGTTTTTTCTATTTAGTTTTGAATACTTGTTTTCTCAGTGTGTGCAAGGCAGTAATCTATATGGAACTTAAATTAGCAGCATAAATCAAATAACCCCATTAAAAATGCGGAAGGGACGTGCACAGAAACTTCTCAAATACAGACACAGAAGTGGCCAACTAACATACAAAAATGCTCAGCATCCTCAATAATCAAATAAGTGCAAATCAAAACCAAATGAGATACTATCTAACACATGTCAGAACTGCTATCACTAAAAGATCAAAAATTAACAGATGCAGACAAGGCTATAGAGAAAAGCGCCACTTACATATGTTTGGTGAAAATGTAACTTGGCCAAAGCACTGTGGAAATCAATCTAGAGATTTCTCAAATAACTTAAAACAGACCTACAATTCCCCTCAGCAATCCAATTCCTGGGTATATGCCCCAAAGAAAACAAATTATTGTAACAAAGAAAACACATCCCCTCATGTGTGTATCACTGTGCAATTCACAGTACCATAGACATGGAATCAACCTAAATGTCCATCAGTTATAGACTGGATAAAGAAATCATGGTTCTTATACACAGTGGAATACTATGCAGCTATAAAAAAGAATGAAATCATGCTTATTTGCAGCTACTTGGATGCAGCTGGGGTCAAAAATTCGAAGCTAACTGACATAGAAACAGATGATAAGAGTCAATGGGAGAGGAAATGAACATTTTGGGTGTTGCTCTGTGTACAATTAAGAAAAGAAATCCCCGGGTGCATGAACACTTGAAATACAAAAGCCTGGAGACACTCATGTCCTGACTTCCATTTCATTAGGTTGTGCTTTCTCTCATTTTTTTTTTCAGTTAAAATTGCTTTCCTTCACTCTTGGCCAAGATAGCCACACATAATCATCGAGAGACATTACAATAAAAATAACACATCTGAACATTAGAACAAATGCTAACTTTTAGGTCAAAGTTATTGTGGATTCAGTGTGATAGACAGGAGACATGGCTGAATAGTAGCAGTGTGCTCACAGTAATTTTATCTAAATTATGAAAATTTGTTTACATCTGTTAGATTAGATTCCCATTGAAATCCTTGATCTAATATCATCTCTGATGCATTATACATCGGTAATGAAATGAGGTTATGCACTCAATTGAGTAGTGCAAACTTTCATTCAGCGTTTGTTCCTCTACGTGATGTAAAGTCAGCCCGGATGGCAGAATTTATTGCAGTCAACAGAGCTCATCAATAAGCCAAAGACAAGGATTAAACACATGTTCTAGAGGAGTACCTGACTTTGTGATGCTCTTCATGCAAAGAAATTTCTCACATCTTCTGGAACATGTAAAAATGCACAACAAAATAACACATTTTAGATGCACTCCTACATTTTAGAGACCTGACTAATATAACTTGGAAAGTAAAAACTGAAAGGAAAATGACATAGCATACCAACTAAAAGTATACATATTGTAGTGGGTTATCACACCAAGTAAGCAGTCTTATCAGTCAGGAGTTTATAATATTATCTAAATATGGAAGGCATTAGCATTATGTATACAACACAGCATCCGTCCCATCCACAATTTTCTGAAAATGTTGAAGAAAATTGTCATCCTTAAACTAAAATTGTCCAAACCTTAAGAAAATCTTGAACTTCCTTGGCCAAAGGTTCTCTCCCTAGCAAGACAGCCTTATAGTTAACACCCTCAGGGAGACATCAGTTGTTAGCCTATTATTTGGTAGCTGGAAGGCCCATACATTTACCCACACTATTCATCAACAGATTAAACCATCATTTCCCTACATCTTTTCAGTAACCTCTAATAAGATTAAAGAGGGGAATTATATCTATTGTAAGAAACATCAGGGTAGAATATTGCTCTTGAACCACTTTGGAAGGAATTTTACCAGGTACTTTTAACCACAACACAGCAGTGAAATTGCAGAAAGTCAATAGTTGGGTTCATATTTATAAACTGTAACCTAAAAATAAATCCCTAAAACCCACCACTGATTAAATAGTCCATCTCTTGGCCTAGGGAACCCCCTAAAAATCTAAAAACTTTTTCCAACCATGACTAAACAAGAGATCAGACACGCCTCGTTATACCTACTCCCCTTTGTGGTTTAGTCACAGCAGTGACCAACACTCATGTTAAAATAGAGATCTTAAGACTGACAGAAGAGTGGCAGTAAGATGTCAAATTATAAACAAGACCTAAGGCCTTGCCAGGCAAGGATTTTGCCACTCACTTCTACACTTAAAAGATAAACTATGTTTTAACTGCCAATAGGTTATTCCTTTTCTCTAGTGGCTCAGTAAGCACTGGCACTGAGACAAGCACTATGAAGACAATTGCAGCCCATCCCCTGATGAACTGACCCCCTGTTCCACAAGCCATAACCCCAGCTTTGATTGAACATTTGCTATCAGGATCTTTTTCCTGATCAGAGGCCACTGACCATGGCCTGGCTCTGGCCGTTTACAGAATGTGCACCCTGAGTGCCTTTGTGTCTCTGCTTCTGCTATTTGCACATAGGGCCTGACTGTAATGGATTTAAATGCTAAGTCACCACTGGTGAGTGAACAGGGCTCATAAGCTTCATGTGTGTTTGTTCAGTATGCGTGTGTCAGGACAACCTCCATGAACATCCATAGCCCCTCCTGTAACCTGTTGATTAAGTCTGTTTAGCCAAACAGTTCAGCATAAAGCTTCTGCCCAACCCCTTCTTCTTGGGAGTGCCTGTCTCTCATTTTTACCAAATCCATGCTTTCCAGTGTATAGGATGGCTGTAACCCTTGATAAAAATATAGTCTCAGTTTCCTAATTTGTAGATTGTGGTATTTTTAAATATTTAATACAACTGAATATTAAATTCAGAACTTCATCTAATTATTAGACTACTTTAGTAAAGTATGACAAACTGTGGATATCCTATAATAATTTTTATATACCCTATAAGGGCCTGTGATATTTTGAAGCAGGAAGCTGACCTGAGACCTTCAGAATAAACTGATCACTGTGGATAATGAAAAGGCCCCACCCAGGACATTGATTGAGCACCCCTGCCTGTCTCATTCCTTCTTCTCTTTCTTTTTATTATGTGCTTACCATAATAAAAATTTTTATTGTCTTTAGATCTGTTTGCTTTTCACACATAGTGGACTCATCTCTCTTTTTCACTCATTTTCTTAAACTGCTAGGGAGAATAAAGTGTCAGGTCCTATTTTGGTGCTCACTGCTGATGAATTAAGGTTTATTCTTCTTCGTCCTTGTCCCCCACATATGGGAAATCTAGTAAGAAATCGTAGAAGCTCCCTTATCTGATGCCAGTGTGAGGTTTAAATCACACAAGCTCCTTCTCCTGAGTAGAAACGTGCCCCTACCCCCAACCCCACCACCAAATCATTATAAAGCCCTGAGCCAGCCTCCTTTCCTCTTCCATTGAAGAAATTCCAGTTTGGAATTTCCTGAGAGGCCTGTGCTGCTCTCAGCAGACAATAATAGAGTTGGTAAATCTTTTCATAACCACCTGAGGTGTGAGTGTGGCACTATCAGACCTGACATCCACACTAACAATTGGTGGGCTCTCTCTTCTTTTGCATGGGGTCACCTACAATTGGAACTATGGGTTTGGAGTCCTGACAGTGACCACCACAGGGCCTTTCTTCTTTTGCACTGGATGCTAACTCCCTCTGCCCCAGTGCCCAGCATGCACTTTATCCTGCCTGCTGCTCACTGACCCTTGGAGTTCTGTTGAGCTGGGCTGCAGTGTTGAGTTAAACACCACACCTTTTATAGATTTAGCTGATTGAATTCAGAAGCATTGATAATTTATTCACATTGAGAAACAGGAGTGATTGTAGGTGACTCTGCCTTTGGTGCATGTGAGAAAATTTTTCTCTTGTCACCACAAATGTTTCTTCTTCAGGAAGAACAGGATAAGGAATCCAGAGAAGTGCCCCAGAGGAAACTGTTTCATGGAGAGGAAGCCACAGGGCTGACAGGAAACCAGACCTTAACCTCCCTCTGCACCTGCCCTGAGGCTGGCTTTTGTGCTCAGTGGGTCCTGAGTGCCCCCAGCTGGTCCTGTTCCCTCTTCAGGGAGGCTTGTTTCTGGGCTCATACTGACATTTTTTCTAATTGTGTTCCCCAAAATGGAGACAGAGTAAACCGTGAATCCATGCATCTCAGAGAACAGAGAACAGCAGAATTACACCCACTGATCCCCCCACACACATTTAGGTAAATCTTATTAAAACTGCTGAAAAGGAAAGACAAATAGAAATATACGCAGGCAAGTGGAGGTGAGCAGAGGGGGCATTCCTTCCAAAAGAACAGAAAAGATGATGACAGCATTCTTCTGGTTAAAACCTTACAAGCAAGAGGAAAGTTGATGGTATCTGTAAAGTGTTGGATGAAAAGTCAACCCATTATTTTATAACGCATGGGTGTTCTCTAAAAAGTGAAAAAAAATTCTATTTCTCTTTGACAGCATGAGGGTTTCAGTGAATCCAGGCCCTCATGAGACCAGTGAAAATTATTTTGAAAAATTACAGGGTTTGGAAAGGCTCTAACAACATAAAGCAAGTGAAGAAATATTTATTCAAGAAAATCTAGAAAACTCAGTAAGGCCAGTCATCATACTTGATCTAAGATGCTCTTCCTTCCTTCCACATCCCAGCTCAGCATGATGTAAACTCCACTGCGGACAGATGCAGCCAAGAAGACAGGTCACCTTCTACCAACTCCCACCAGAGGAAACTCTTCCCCAGGACCCAGTACGTTGGCCCTCTGACCCTGCACACAGCACATGATGCTGAGGTTCAGTGCTGAACAAGAGCTACTGAGAGCCAGAGACTCACTTCTTCCATGGAGCCCCACTCATGGATGGAGGCTCTGCCCCGGGTCCAGTGCCACTGGGAACACTGGGTCTCTGGTTTCTAGCTCTGTCCTATGGCAGAGGTTCCATCCCACAATAACCGAAGTGCTGAGAAGGTGGGAAGCTCCTGCCCGACCCTCCACTGAGAGCTCAGCTCCTAGGCTGAGGAATAAAACAGCTCAACTTTGTCTACACCTGCAGAACCTTGTTTAGGAGCTCTGTCCCAGGAGAGAGGGGGCAATGGAATTCAGTCATAAAATATGATCCTTAATTAGTCCTAAAAATCCTAACTTCAGTAACAACAGAATGTGGACAAATTGAAAGCCTGCCAGTGCTCTCAAAAACAGTGGATGGTGTGGTGGAAAGCCCTTGGAAGGAGACGGGTGGATGCATGAGAGATGCAGGCTACACTGCAGGGCTGCTGGCTTGCAGGAGAGAACCGAGGACGAGGGAGAGCTGGGGAAAGTTCTCTTGTGGTTGAAATAAATGCCAGACACTCTTCAATGGAGCCCATGTTTGTTTGGTTCAGTCTGTGAAGTAATTCAAACCTCAGTGCATGATTGAAAATAGTACAATTTTCCATCTGCAAGTGGCAGAGCTCAACATCTGGGTCTGGTCAGGAGAGAGACAGAGAGAGCCCAGCCCAAACCACTGACACCTGGGGTTGACAGTGCTGCTTACAGATGTGTTCCTTTGATCTTTGAGACTGGTTTCTCTCACTTAGCATAATGCCTGGAGTTCAACTGTAATGGTTTGTGAATCGATCATTTGATATTTTTTATTGCTGATGGATTCAATTTATAGATGCTTCCTAGTTTTTTCACCTACTCAAATTTTGAGACATTTATGTTATTTTTCATTTCTAACACACACACACATGTAATATCTTGAATATTTGAACAGAGGTTTTGTGTGAAAATAAGATTGTATTTCTCTGAAGCAAAATTCAAGAGTGGGATATTTAGGTCATGTGTTAAGGGCATGTTTGATTGCAGAAAAAACTAAAAATTATTTTCCCGAGTAGCTGTTTCATTTTGCATTCCCATTAACAATGTCGTAGACACTAGGAACTTGGTATGCTCATCAGCATTGGTATTACCTGTATTTCTTCTTAATTTCAGCCATTCTAAAAAGTGTATAGTGGTGTCTCATTGTGGGCTTGATTTGAATTCCTTTAATGGAAAATCCTGTTAACAGCCTGTTTATATGCTTATGTGTCATCTGCACATCTCATTTGATGAAATGTCTGCACAAACCTTTGCCTATTTTATCCATGGGTTGTTTCTTTCTTATTTCTTTTTCACAGTTGAGTCCTGAGAGTTCTTATTCTAATTAAATTGGTGGTTATGTGATTTGAAAATAGTTTCCCATCTGAAACTTGACATTCATGTTCTTATAGTTACTTGAGTAGAAAACGTCTTTAAATTTAATGAGTTTCAACTGATAGTAATTTCATTTATTGATCATTTTTTACATATTATTTTATTTTATTTTATTTTATTTTATTTGAGATGGCGTCTTGCTGTGTCACCCAGACTAGAGTGCAGTGGCACGATCTTGGCTCATTGCAAACTCTGCCTCCTGGGTTCAAGCAATTCTCCTGCCTCAGCCTCCCGAGTAGCTGGGATTACAGGTGCCTGCCACCACATCTGGTTAATTTTTGTATTTTTAGTAGATGGGGTTTCACCATGTTGGCCAGGCTGGTCTCAAACTCCTGACCTCATGATCCACCTGCTTCGACCTCCCAAAGTGCTGGGATTACAAGCGTGAGACACTATGCCCGGTCTAAATTTTAATTTTAAGATCATTGGTCAACTGTTAATTATTTTATATTTTTAACTTTTTTGTGTGTACATTTATTTGTATAAATTTAAGGGCTATGAGTGCAACTTTTGCACATGGATATATTCCATAGTGGTCTTGGCTTTTAGTGTAATATCACCCAAATAATGTACATTGTACCCACTAGGTAATGTCTCCTCATGCTCCCACCTTCCACCTCCCATCCTTCTAAGTCTCCGGTGTCCATCATTTCTCTCTCCATATCCTTGTGGACACATTGTTACCTCCCACTTACAAATAATAACGTGTGGCATATGACTTTCTGTTTGTGAGTTAGTTCACTAATTATATTGTCCCCAGTTCTAGGCATCTTGCTGCAAAAGACACAGTTTCATTTCTTATTGTGGTTGACTAGTATTGAATTGTGCATATGTGCTGTGTTCTTTTATAAAATCATCTGTTGGTGGACACTCAGGTTGACATGTGTGTTATTAAGAATAGTTTTGTGGTAAACATAGAAGCATGGATATCTTTTTGAAGTAATGATTTATTTTCCTTTGGGTAGTTACCCCGTAGTCAGATTGCTGGATCAAATGGCAGTTCTATTTCCAGTGTTTTGGGAAGACTCCATACCATTTTCCATAGAGGTTGTCCTCGTCCACATCCTCATCTACAGTGTCGATGAGTTCCTGTTACTTTCCATCCTCACCAACATCTGATACTTTTGAGTTTTTAATAATAGTCACTGTGGCTTTTGTAAGATAATACCTTACTGTAGTTTTAATTTGCATTTCCCTGATGGTTAGTGATGTTGAGCATTGTTTATATATTTATTATCCATTTGTATGTGTTCTTTGGAAATGTCTACTCACGTCCTTTGCTCATTTTAATAGGGTTATTTGGTTCTTCTTCCTGTTGTTGTATAGTCTAATTCCTTGTAAATTCTTCATGTTAGTTCCTTGTCACAGGCAAGGTGTGTGAAAATTTTCTGTCATTCTGCAACTTGCCTGTTCAGTCTGTTGCTGTGAAATACCTCTATAGTTTAATTCTCACTTGTCTATTTTTTTCTTGGGTGTGTTTTGTGGTGTTAGTCATAAATTCTTCACCTCGCCCAGTGCCCAGAAGAGTTGTCCTCGTATTTTATTTGAGTACATTTATAGTTTGAGGTCTCATATCTAAGTCTTTAATTCATTTTGTGTTGAGTATGTATGTGTTGAGGGTAGGGGTCTAGTTTTGTTCTTCTGCATGTTCATTTCCAATTTCCCCAGCACCATTTATTGAATGGGGTGTCCTTTTTCTGGTGTATGTTTTTGTTAAGTTTGTCAAAGGTCATTTGGCTATAGATTGTGTGGCTCAATTCTGGGTTCTGTAAAATGTACCCTAGAGCCTTGATTCTCCTGAGGCCTCAGTAGTGACCTGCTCACAGTTAGAACTCTGTTGACTCAGTGGTGTTTCTATGAGTGTAGTGATTCGTGGTCATGGGGTGGTTTTCCTAAAATTGTGGACAATTCTGTTTTGATGTTCAAGCATGTGCTAAAAATTTCACAATAAATGTGTCTGTGAATTTTCCATTTCATTTCCACATTACTCCTTGGACTTACTGAGATGTGTTTGTGATGTCAAGATGAGGTGTTTTTCTTTCCAGGTGTTGGATTTTTTACCTATCTGGGTATTTATGGGCTCCCTGGGTGGAAATAAGCCGCATCCATCACACCTACCTTATGGAATTTTTAGAAATTTATTTGTGCACTGCCACTGTGAGACACTCCATGATGATGACACATTTCATTTATGTTATTGTTTCATAAAATTACTAGTGTACCTTCCACTCTAGAAGAGAAGATGCTGTCTGGATTTTCATAATTCCTCCTGCTCTCTTATCTCCACATTCTTCTTTGACACCATATCTGCAGCTTAAGAATGACATACGCTACTGACATTTGTATTTGGTCCCTTAAAGTGATATGAACCTAAGGAACTGGTGGCCGCATATCAGTGATGCATCTGGCTCAGGTAATAGGAACCTTTCGTGCTGAATCTTGTCAAACTGGATACAGCCTCGGCTGTGTCCTGTTGAGTTAGGCATAGAATAGACAGCTTCATTGCCAAAGAAAAAAAGTAGGGGGTAAAATGGGTGGTATGTCTCCAGCAAATACAATGCATAGGAAAACAAATTGCCATATGCTTTAAGGCTCCGCTGCAATCATCTCTGAAACAATCTTTTTCCTTCTCAGCTTATTTGGGTGGCAGAGTCAGCTCCAAGGCTGCAGGCAGAGGCACCGCTCCTGAAGCACTGCTAGGCCCAGCTCCCATGTCAAAGGCCTCATGCAGCCCTACACACAGGGCTGGCTGGTTGCTCCCAAGCCCAAGCCTCTGTTGGGTGGTTTCTTCCTCAAGATTTTAGAAACAGGCTTTCTGGTCTGTTGAAATAAAGGCAGTGGTCTGATAGTTTCTAAATAAATTTAAAGCTTATTTTTTCTCCCTTCCAGAAGAATCATGTACATTTGCTGCCAAGTAGCTCTATTATTCCAGGCCATTAAATCTGAAAAATCTAACAGTTTTCATCAGATTTGTCTCAGGTCAATTCTCATTCTTTAAAACCTGAAATATTTCTTTTCATAGAGTATCTTAGGCTTCTTACTGAGTGATATTTCAGTCATATACTCAGTGTTCTTTGTAGAATACAGTTTCTGATTTTGGCAATATGGATAGGTTGAGAATTTTCTAAGTGCTCAGGTTTTTTATTCTTTTTCGTTTATATTTTTTTCTGATTTTAATTTATCTACCTCACTTGTTATAAGCACTCAGGAGGAACCAAGCAAAATATCTTCAACACTTTACTTAGAACTATTCTCAGCTACTCACAAGTTCTCACTACTCGCAACTTCTCTTTCACTAAATATTATATCACTGTCCAGCCAAGATTTTTTTAAAAACTTTATGATAAGGATGACTATTGCTCCATTTTCCAAAACCACTCTACTCATTTCTGTCTATCAGCATGACCCTCAACATACAAATTTCTTCATATATGTCAAAGGTACCCATCCTTTTACACATAACCCAATTCCAAGCTACTTTCACAATTTTCAAATAATTGTAACATCAGATTTCCACTTCCTAACCCCAAATTTTCTTTTGTCAGTTTAAGATGCCATTACAAACTATCATATTTGGTGACTCATGCAACATTAATTTTATTTCATTTATCAGTGCTGTGAACTCCAAGATCAAGATGCTGACAAGATAGGTTTTATTTTGAGGCTTCCACTTTTGGCTCAGAGCAGCCATCATATTGTTACTTTTTCATATGATCATTTCATTGTAGGGCATGTGTGTGTGTGTGCATGTGTGTGTGAGAGAGAGAGAGAGAGAGAAATAGAGAGAGAGAGAGGCTGTCTGGTGTCTTTACTTATGAGGTCAGTAATTTCATTCTGATGTTTCACCCTCATCATCTCCTTTAAAATTCAGTACTTTCTTTCTTATAGAAAGCAGCCCGACAGAAATTTGCAAACTTCCTTTGTGATTTTTATTATTATTATTTTTTAGCTCATCAGCTATTTTCAGTGTTAGTGTATTTTATGTGTGGCCCAAGTCAATTGTTCTTTCAATGTAGCCCAGGGAAGCCAAAAGATTGGACACCCTGCTCTACAGCTACAGTAGTTTAATATTAATATAAAGATATAGGCAGAACAACTGAACAGAATAAAGACTAGAAAAATATCTAAACATATTACTAATTATCTAAACATATTACTGATTTTCAGTAATGAAAATCAATTAACCACTGACATGTATTACCTATATGAATCTCACAAACAATGTTGAATGAAAGACTCAAGGCAGAGGTTGTACATTCCATTTCAAAATTTCAAAAACAGCAATCAAGACCAGTGTCAAAAGTTAGCATAGTGATTACTTCTGAATACTGTTAGAAGATAAACTCAGATAACTAGGAGATTAATGAGAAAAACAACCAAAAATGGCAGTAAGCATTGAATCTAATTACCTATAGGAGGCCAAGACTAATATAGGGATTTTGATTTGAAAATTAAATGTTGGAGTTGTAAACCTTGATAATAGAATAGATACATAACTACCTATATGTAGAGAGGCCGAGGTATGAGAATCACTTGAACCTGGGAGGCAGAGGCTGTGGTGAGCCGAAATTGTGCCGCTGCACTCCAGCCAGGGTGACAGAGCAAGAGTCTGTCTCAAAAAAAAAAGTTATGAATAACTGTGCACCAGGTAACAGAGCATCAGCATTCACAGAGAAGAGCTATAGGGGAAACAAGAAAAAATATAGAAAACACAGCATCTTAATTATTTAATTCATGTGTTTTAGTTCATTAAACATCAAGAGGACCAAAATTAAGCAAGACTAAAAAATACCTAAATATCGTAATTGATAAGGTAGAAATATGTGTGTGTATGTCTGAACATAACAACTCATTCTTTTTTAAGTGGCAATGAAACATTCATAAAATAAAAAAAAAGAAATTCCTTAATTGCTATAAAAGTATTCCTGGGGATGAGTAATTTATAAAAAATAAATTCTAATTTGGCTGACGGTTTTGAAGGCTGTACAGGAAGTGTGGTTCTGCTATCTGCTTCTGGTGAGGGCTTCAAAAACCTTATATTTATGGTAAAAGGCACAGGGGAAGAAGGAGTGTCACATGGTGAGCAGGGGGAAGAAGGAAAGGGGGAGATCCAAGTCTCTCTTAAAAAATCAGATCCTGAGTGATCTAACTATGTGAGAACTCACTCATTACCAAGTGGATGGCACTAAGCCATTCGTGAGGAATCTGGATTCTGGATTCCCATGGGGTGATGAGAGGAGAGCAGAGGGGAGGAGGGGCAGGGTTGGGTCCTGGGTAAGGCGGTGCTCGGGCTGGGGTCCCTGGAGAGAAGTTCTGGGTTCCTGGGGGCCAATCAGGCAGGCGTCTTTTCTGTCCACACCCCGAGGGTCCCAGCCGGAGCCAGGTGGGGAACCATAAGGAGAGGGCTTGTGTCCTGTCCTCCCCAGTCCTCTAGACAGGGTGGGGACTGAGGGGTCCACCCCAGGGCAGGGCCAGGCAGTGACTCTGATGTGGGGCCTGGTTTTCGTGGACTGGCCTGGGGGGTGCGGGGTGCAGAGCAGGAGGGGGCAGATTCTGTTGGGGGATGGTGCAGTCATCCCTGTGTTCAGGCCATTTCCTGCCCTGGTCACCTGCAGTGAACCCTGGCAAGGAGGGGGTGGCCTCCCAGACAGCAGCCTGCCTGGGATCTGCTCTGGCCCTGGAACTGGGGATGGAGCCATTCTGGAGGTCAGCAGCTGCCTAGGACAGCAGGGGACCAGGCCAGCCCCTAGCAGGGGAGGCAGTGGGGATTTTGGCAAGGACCGAATTGTTTGGGAGCCAGTGCCCCACTAGGCACAGTGACAGACACCCCAGCAGTATGTCCTGTCCCCACCAGACTGCCCACCCTATCTTAGGTGTGGCATGTGAGGGTGCCGTGCCCCTGGCAGGCCCAGCCCTTGACCTTCCATGCAGTCATGAGGCCCTGGGAAGCTGAGAACAGACCTCCCACTGAGGGAACCCTCCCCACAGAGGGCAGAGTGCAGACAACAGTGACCTTGAGAGCCCCAGGAGAAGCAGGTGAGCTGGAGGCCTGGGGCTGCATGGCAGTGGCTCATCTACTTGGCGTGGTTGCTGCTATGGGTGGCCCCACTGTGGTAATCGTAGACACTATATCCACCACAGTCTGACACCCCCTGACAATAACCACACCTGGAACTGGAGGCGGGGCTGTCAGGAGGAGCTTCCCAGGGAGCAAGGAGGGTCCAGACAGCTGTGCCAGGGGCCCCCAGGACTGGGGACGTGGGGGGCTGCTCAGGGACCAGACATGCACAGTGTCCCCCTGGAGAGGCCTCTGCAGCCTCCTGGGCTCTGGGACGGGCCTCCAGTCAGCAGGAGGCTGGGTGCTTCCTGACATGTGCTCTCCTGCCCTCACTGGTGAGCTCCTATGTGGCCCAGTGCAGGCCCAGCTCCAGCGTCCGCTCCTGTCAGCCTGGCCGAGGGTCTGGGCAGAACTGGGCATGGCTCCTTCTTAGATCCCTCGGGGACTGTCTCTACAGCTGTACCTGGGGCTGGGGGCTCCATGAGTGGTCTTTGCCATATGGGGACGTCAAAGGCAGGTGTTTCTCTAGTGGCAGGTGAGGGAGACTGTCCAGGGCCTGGCCCTACGAAACATAGTGGCCTCTCAGAGGAGGGTGTGTGGGAGTCCTGCCTATTGGGAGCCTGGCGGATGCTGCCCTCTTGATTCCAGCCAGGATGGGAATCCAGGCAATTGGCAGGAGCTGCTGGAACAAGGCTGGTGTCTACAGCAATTCCCGGCCCTAGGAATTGGCTGTTGGAACTGTGGCAGCTGTTGGGACAGGGTTCGGTGCAGCTGGCAGGCACCTGTGGTCATGAGTGAGGTCACCTCAGAGCCCTCTGAAGCCCTTGTTTGAAGGCAGATGAAGTGTGGGGCACCAGCCCATGGGCTTTCATGGCCAAGGTGTCCCTAGAGGCCGAGGGTCTGGGCAGAAATCCTTGGGCCTGGCTCTTCTTATCCTGGAGAACTCTGAGCCGAGAAGTGTGCATAAACCCTGGGAGTCCGGTCAGTTTTTGCTGCTGGGTTCATCACTGTGGTAGTTAGCACCATAGTCACATAGCAGGAGGGCCTTCACAAAAAGCCCCTCAGTGAGCCCAGAGGCATTTCCCACGCAGGTGCTGGTCCAGGCGTCTGGGGCCCCCATTGACAGTGGTGCTGCATCCTGGGGATCTCAGACCGGTCTGAATCTTCCCCGCCTGCCGTCGAGGGCAGGAGGGTCTGACTCACCCTCCAGGGCTCCTGTCCCCTCCAGGAGGGGCCGAGGTGACATCCGGTCAGAGCATGTGCAGGAGTCAGGCCTCCTGGATTTTTAGTCCTGGGGTAGGTGCAGGGGGTGGGACACCTTTTAGGGGTCTGGGAAGGGCTGGGCTGTGGGGCTGTCCCCATGGGCCATCTTGTGTTCTGGGTGCCGTCCTGATCCAGATGTGGGTTCCCGATGTGATATCACTGAGGACTGTCCTGGAAGAGGGTGCCCACTGGGGAGAGAGACAGGGATTTCTGGAAGGTTCTTTGTCTCTGACTGTGAGAGGTGAGTCCTCTGTTGGCTTCCCGGGTGAGGTTTGGAAAGGAGCAGGACTCAGGACGGCCAGGCAGGATGAGCGACTCCCAGCTCCGGCTGTCCCGGGAATGCCTTCTGTCTTGGAAATGACCCAGGAGAGGCTCAGGTGTCAGAGCCAGGCAGGCCAGGGACCACAGGGGCAGGGACAGCGCACAGGACCAGCCCCGCCCTCCTGCCCCTACTCGGACCTGGGGGGTTCTCAGGGTCCACACATGTGGCTCAGCCTTGAGGGAGGGGCTTCCGGGACTGCTGGGTGCCTGTCCCCATCTGGACTGGTACTGGAGGGCAGCAGCGATGCAGACCTGTTGGACTCAGGTCTGGCTGACCTATGGGATAATCCTGGCCATCTGTTTCATGGTCTCCGGGGCTGGCGGGCAGGAGCTCAGGGTGGTCACTCTTGGGCTTGTCCATTGTGCCTGCTGCCCTGTGTGTTTGGGACACAGGTTGCACTGCTGTGGTAGCCACTACACCCATGGTGCTGTGGCCTCGATCAAAATCCTAACGCGGCATGTGGTGGTCCACTGTGGGGAGGGCTATGGCAGAAGGCTCCCAGGGATGGGTTTTTGATGGACTCTGTGACACTGTGGGTATAATAACCAGTCCAAAAATCATAATACCACAGTGACACAGACCTCACCCCAAACCTACTGCCAGGTCCGGGGAAACTCGGGATGTCCAGGGCTGACCTGAGGAGGTAGCAGGGCACCGAGGGGAGGCTGTGGGCCCAGCGCTCTCAGGTCTGCTGCGGGGACACTCGGGTCTGCCCCTCGCTTAGGTGGACAGTGTCTGTGCCCACCTGTGTCCTGAGGCTCCATTTCAGGCTGATATCTGTCTGTACTGTCCCTACCCATTCCATAGCCATGTCCTTTTGGGTTTATAAATTGCCCCCAAATCACGCAGGCATCACTCAGGCTTTTTATATTCCCTGGGCCACCAGGTGCCTCCACCCAGAAAGGTGAGATGTGGGAGAGTTCCAGAGTCATTCTGCAACCCTGGATGAGCCCTTGCAGCCTCAGTGCTACTGAGGTTCCAGCAACACCTGGAGCAGGTGCAGGTGAGGCCCGAGGCCAGGTGAAGCCCAGGCCAGGTGAGATCCAGGCCAGTGATGCCCAGGTCAGATGAGGCCCAGGTCAGGTGAAGCCCAGGTCAGGTGAAACCCAGGTCAGGTGAGGCCCAGATCATGTGAGCTCGGGACAGGCAAGGTCCAAGTCAGGTGAGGCCGAGGTCAGGTGAAGCCCAGAGGTGAGGTCCAGGCCAGGTGAGGCTTAGGCCAGGTGAGGTCCAGGCCAAGTGAGGTCCAGGTCAGGTGTGGCCCAGGTCAGGCAAGGCTGAGGTAGATGTATGAGACTTCTGTAATTTTCAGTCGGTGCCAACCCTGCCTGGTGTCCCTGCCCCTCCTCCCAGCCCACGCTCTGTGCCTGCCAGATGGCAGCCCCTGCACAGGTGGTGCTGGCTGTGGAGGAGCTGGGCTCTGCTTCCCTGTGCATGGGCGTCCCTCTCAGGCTCTGGCCTGGGAGTGTGGCTCAGTTGCTTCTCTCTGGAATGTGCCGACTGTGCCATCCTTGGGGGTATATGTCCTCGGGGGGATACGGCTCTGTGCCTGCTCCACATCTGGCCCCAGGAGCTGCCAGCAGGTACCGGCCTGCCCTGCCACACAGTGAGCCTGCAGCCTGTCCGGGGATGCCCAGGGAGATGAGTGCTACCACACATCAGGCCTTTTCTCTTTAAAGTCATTTCTTTGGGGATACATCATCGATGTCTCATATACTGAATGTATGTCTGTATCACTGTGCAATTGCCTGTGTCATCGTTTATTTATCCAACCTGGGTTAATGTCTTTGCTATTATGAACAGTGCCGGAGTGAGAATTTTCTAAACACAGCTGTGTACATTTTCCTCTTCTTGCGATTTAGAAGTTTAACTGCTGTTTTCAAGGTACTGTAATGTATTTGTTCTGTTCTTGTTAGGAGACTTGCCAAACCTGTGTGTCTCTGTTCACACCCTCTTCCTTCCCCAGTAGAAGTAACCACAACTGTGTTTATGTGATCATCGTTTTCTTGATTTTCCTTATAGTTTTTCTAGTGGAAAGTTTATCCCTTAAGAAGATAGTTCATTTTGCCAGGTGTAAATTTTATTTAGAAGAAATCATATTGAAAGTATTTTTTGGAGTTTCCTTTGTTACTCCAATTACTCAGCATTGTCATGAACTCAACCACAGAGTTGCCCGTAACCCTGGTAACCCTGTACTGTTGTCCTCGTGGCTGTCTGGGTTTGCATTTCATGAACCTGCCATCGTTTATTTGCCTGTTTTCCTTCAGATGGATGTTTGCTTCATTCTCAGTTTAGGGCTATGACAAACATATGTTCTGCACATCTTTGCCCATGAGGTTCTCAGGGAGGGCTCTGGGGCTGGCATTGCCTGCAGGGCTCTGCTTTGTTGCAGGGAGTTCCTGCCAGGGCTTTTCAGAGTGTCTGTGCCCAGCAGCAATGCCTGAAGGTACACACTGTACTTTGCCCTTGCATCAGGCACTTTCTGTTTGCTTGCTTCTGTGTGGCTCCACATTCTGGAGAATTTATTCAGATCTGTGCTGCAAATCCTTCTCACTGATTCTCTCTTTAGCTGTGTCTACATCAGCTGTTAAGCATCCCATGATGCAGCAGTGTGGGCACAGGGCAAACTTTCGAAAGATGACAGTGTGGGATAGAGGCTGCTCCTCCTTCCCTGTGCCCTTCCCACACTGTCCTCCTGGGCTCACTCCCAGCCATTTATCTCGAACACCAGTTTATGGAATTCTCTGCCCAGGAAAGCAGAAACAGTAAAAGGCCCTGCTCAGGCTCTGCCTGCATCTTCTCTTGCACACCCACCAAAGCTCTTTCCTTGGGGCCTGTGCCAGCTTCCCCAGCTTGCTTCTCATTTTCTGTTTACTCTGCTCGCTGGCTGGTGGGGGTGATGTCTGGGGGGAAGTCTGGTGTGTTTTGGCATTGGTGGACACCCCTAGGCCCTACTTCCCAGACGCTCCCCCTCAGCTCCAGAAGTGGAAGCATTTACAGCAGGGCTTTGGGACTGGGGCTGTGTCACTGTGGGCATAGAAAGTAGTACTATTACAATATTCTCACAGTGACACAAGCCCCCACAAAATCCTCCTGTCCCCATGGGTGTCACGGAGTCCCCCCTTGCTGTCTCTGGCCAGTTCTCCTGCTGATACTGTGATTTCCAGGGGGTTTTTGTCTGAAACTCAGGGTGTCTTGGAGAGGACTCTGAGCCCAGTGCTGTACAGGGGGCTCCTCCTTTGTCCTGGGGGAGTTGCGTGGACCCTGTGTTTGGTTAAGGGAAGCATTTGCTGGTGAGGTAGACCTCCCCTCCTCTCTTTCTCAGGAGCCTCCTCTGATGATTTTGCCTGGTGTTTCTTGGGGCTGGTGCTCGGGGCTCAGCAGTCTCTGCCCTGGTCCAGCTGGGAATGTGGGTCCGTCCTGTTTCCATGAGTTTTCTGGGGCCACCAGTGAGGGGCTCGGGATGTCAGCGGCTGGTCTCGGTCCCTATGGTCTGGGCTCCGGCTCACTGCTCCCCTGCCCTCCAGGTCAGTCACTGACTCAGTTACTATGCAGCGGGCTCCATGGCTGTTTGGTGGTGGCTGCAGGTCTCTTCCCAGGAGAGGCCTGCAAGAGGGTTGGGATGTCTGGGAGCCCTGCATTCTCCCGTGATGTTGCTGCCTGGATCCCTCATCTTTAAAGGGAGTGCCGAGCCTCCCTGCAGGTGTGGGCAGTGAGAGACACAGGCGGATGTGCATCAGGGCGCTGGAGGCCGATTTCTTTCATTGCCTTCTGCCTGTGGAAGAGCTGAGCTCCCTGCTTCTGTGCACAGGAGATTTCCCTGTAAATGGGGAGTGAGGGCAAGGGTCTGTGTGGGGAAGACTTGGGTGAGCCTTCGTCCTGGAAATACCAGGGCCATGTCCAAGAGGGGAGTGGAGCCAAAGTGTCCAGGAGGAAGGTGAAGGCAGTGTGTGGGTGGGAGTGCACGGTCAGTGCCATGGCTCAGAGGCCCCAGGAGAGGAAGAGCTCAAGTTGTGGGCAGGAGGAGGCAGTGGGTAGGCACAGGGGGGAGAAACTGAGGCTCTGGCAGCAGAAGAGGGGAGGGCCTGCATGTGCAGGGTTGGCCTGGGAGGGGTGTCTGGAGGGAGAGACAGGGGTCTGGGTGGAGACCAGGGTGGTGACTGCAGGGACAGGACCCCAGGATTGTCTGGGTGGGCGGCAAGAGCAGCAGGGCAGAAAGGGCCCAAGGCAGGGTCCAGTCTTCTCAGGGTGTGGGCTGCAGGGATGGGACCCCAGGGTTGTCTGGATGGGCAGGAAGAGCAGCGGGGTAGAAAGGGCTGGAGGCAGGGTTGGGCGTCCCCAGGGTGTGGGGTGCAGGGAGGGGCTGCACAGGCTGTCCCCCTGAAGGAGGGAGGAGGGAAGGAGCACAGAGGTGCTGGGAGCAAATGGAGAGGGAAGTGGCAGCGACCCGCATGCCAGGCGGTCCCGGTTTGGGGTTGATCTGTGTGGAATAGCTCCCTGGCCCATGTGTAAGTGGTCAGGGGAGACATGGAGGTCTGGAGCTACAAGCGGTGGCAGGAAGGCAAGTCCTGGTCTTGGGGGTCTGGAGCTTATCTTCTTCCTGTGAACTGAGTGTGGGCGGCACCTATGGGTGGTGCCCTGGACCTGTGGTCTGGTGGAGTCCAGGCCTCCCAGGGATAGCAGGGCAGCCAGGGCTAGAGGAGCCTGAGGGGCCAGGTCAGGGTAGCCCTGGGGACACTGCCTCCACCTTTGACCAGTGCTGCTGCGGGGATCTGGTCATGAGACCCCTTCACCCAGGAGGGGAGGCACGTGAGTGTGACCCTAAGTCCGTACCCTATGGGGGGCTCTGACCCTCCTGCATAGGGCCTGGACAGGGGTGGGTGGCTGTGTGCAGGTGGGGAGTGGGGAGCCCAGACTCTCCCAGACACAGCCTGCTCTGCTCCAGAATGTGGGCTTGGGGACTGCAGGCTGGCTGGGTCTGGGCTGCCTGGTGTGCCTGTGGTGGCTGCATTCCCATATCTGGGACTGAGGCCTAGTGAGTACCAGGAGGAGCCTGAAGGGAGCTCCATGGAGGACCTGCCTCGGATGACACCCCTATTTTAAGAAGGACATGGTGTGTTCCAGCTGGGAGGAAGGGAAGTGGGCCACCTCCTGGGGGTCTTCCACCCCCACCACCTCAGCCTGGGGCTTCTGTGCTTCCTCCCTGCGCAGACCCCAAAGTCTGTGCCGCCACAGGGCAGGAAGGAAGGGCCTGTGTCCTGGTCGAGGTTGGGGCCACAGTGGTGTTCCCTAAGCCCCAGTCTGCTCTCAGGGCCCGCCCCGCAGCAGGTCCTGAGTGAGGGACAGAGACGGGGAGGGGTTTCTGATCCTGGTGGACTCTGGGGTGGACTCCAGTGGGGAGTCATCAGGGTCGGTGTCCCCCAGGGTATTGGGGTGAATGTGCTCCTGGAGTCTGCTCTGGATGTGGGGTTTATGCCTGTGCTGCCTGGGGTTGATGTTGGGGGGTGCCAGTGACCCGTTTCCCTGAGGGACTCTTGTCGGTGGTAGGGTCAGTTCTGGCCAGGGGCACGGGGCCATAGCAGTAGGATGGGGTCCAGCCCCTTCCATGACCCCCTGGAGCCCTGGTCCCCATCCTCACCATTCAGTGGGGACTCCGTTGTGCTCTGGCTGCTGGGGGTCATGTGAGCTGAGCAGGACCTAGGTTCGGGGCGGCTGTTCCCCTCTCTGGCATGGCCTCCGGCAGTGGCCAGGAGACGGTTTTGGACAAAGCTTTTCTCACAGTGGTTGTTCCAGTTATACCCACTGTGACTCGGGGCTGTTCAGAATCTGCCCAGGTGCCCTGAGCTCTGGGGCCTCCTGGGTGGGGGCTGGGCTTGTGGGCAGGATCTCCTTTGGGGGCTCTGGAGGCTGTGGCTCACTTTGGTTGTGGGGTGGGCACTGGAAGCCCCAGCTAGCAGAACACCCACAGAGACTGGGGCCTGCACACATTCCGCCCCAGTGTGTGGGGTGGGCCCAGGCCCCTCTGCGCAGGTCAGCTTCAATGGGGAGGGTGCTCAGGTCCTGCTTGTTTTCCTCTGGGTTAATGGGATTCATCTCCTGGCCCCAGATCCTCACAGGCTGCCCCTGTCCCTCCAGCAATGCAGGACATGGCAGGTCACCCTGGAGGGAGGCATGTTCTGGTCTGGGTGTCAGGTGTGGCACCTCAGATTTTCCATGCATGCTGTGGGCTGAGCAGGACAGCAGATGACCCCGGGCCCCCACCCTGTCTATGGACATTTTTTGCTGCGGCAACTGTGGGAGCTGACAGTGTTCACAGCCACGCCACGGTCATCATCATAGTCAAGTCTTTCTAAGAGTTTCATTGTGACGAAGCCTCCTATTAAATGGCACCTCGGCCCTGCTTCCTGAGGGTTACTGCTGAGTCCCGGATTTCCCACAGAGGCGAAGAGAGGAGAGCAAAGGGAGGAAGAGGCAGATGAGCTGGGCCCTGCAGAAGGGGGTGCTTGGGTTGGGGTCTGTGGAGCAAAGATCTGGGCTCCTAGGGGCCACGCAGACAACCATCCTCCCTGTTCACACCTTGAAGATCCCAACAGGAGCCAGGTGGGGAGACTGTGAGGAGAGGGCCTGTGTCTTGTCTTCCTTGGGCCATGGGACAGGGTGGAGGTTGAGGGCGTCTTTCCCAGGGGATCACAGAACAGCACCTCTGCTGTGGGGGGCATCTAGCATGGGGGGCTGGGCTGTGGGGTGCAGGGCAGGAGGGGGCATGCATGGGAGGGGTGTGGCCCAGTCATTCCTGCATTCACAATCTTTCTTGTCCTGGGCACCTGCACTAGACCCTGGCCTGGAGGGGCGGCTTCCTAGCCTTCAGCATCCCTGGAGTCTGCTCTGACTCTGGACCTGGGGACAGGAGCCAGGCAGGAGGTCAGCAGCCTCCTAGGACAGCAGGAGGGCCCAGGCCAGTGCCTAGCAGACTTCCACGGGAGAGGGGTCCCAGGGGCGGGGAGATAATGATTTCTAGAAGGGTCTGTGTCTCTGAGTGTGCAAGTTTGTCCAAACTGTCCACCAGCTGTGATCAGGTAAACACAGGCAGACCTGAGTTCAGGTGGAGGAAACAGTTTTGTCATTAACTCTCTACCGACTCTAGGGGAATGAGCCAAGCTCCATTGTCGTCTGTGCAGAGGCCACAGCCTTGAAAAGGGAGGGGGTAGAGGGAGCAGGGAGGGTGCTCGGGGCTCAGTCGTCGGGGAAGGGAAAATTTGCCCAGTGCTGGTCAGCGTCCCTGGGATGGGGCCCGCTGTGTCCGTGCTGGCCACTGTTGAGGTCAGGATTCTGTCCTCCCAGAGCCTGGAGACACAGGCCCCATCCTTCCCAATGGGGACACTTCAGGGAGTGGCTCTCAGGTCCCGAGAAAGACCTTCCTGGCCACAGGAGACACACAGACATCAGGAAGGGACAGAGGAAGGATGTGCAGTTGCAGCCTTTTCAGCAGATGCTCTGAGAATGGGAGGTCAAGAGTTGGAGCAAACGGTCAGTTCTGGTGCATTGAGCTTTCTCAGGCAGGTGTTGATGGGGCTGGGGTCAGCCTAGGGGTGTGACCTGAAGCCACTGGAAGCCTTGCTGGGGTCTGGCTCTCTCTTGGTGCAGGGGGGTGGAGGGAGCCCTGACAATAGAGCACTGGGGGGCCTCCAGGAGACCATCCCTGCAGCAGCCGGGCCATGCTCTGAGGATGTGGGAAGAGGACCCCCACTGTCTCTGAGTAGAGGGTGGTGACTTCTTTGCACAGACTGGCCAGGGGTCCCACAGGGGCACAGTACAGGTGTCCCTGGGCTGCAGGGCTGGGGGACATCAGAGCTGCTCTCTGGGCTTGGCAGCCACCTCAGGTGGGATCAGAAGGGGGGGCAGTGCCTGGTGCTTCCCCTCCAGGCCTCTCTCCATGGTGTCCAGGGTAGCTTCTGGGGCTTTGGTGCCAATTTCTGAGGCCAGGGTCCTACCCTTCCTGATGCCGTGATGCTTGGTGGCTCTGGAGGAAGCCCCAGCTTTGGCCACTCCTGCACTGCCTGGGGCTCCAGTCCTGCTGCGCCTTGAGGGGAACCCAGGGCCCCAGGCTTGGCCCTGTAAGGTCAGATGGGGGCTGGGCTCCAGCATCCTGCCGCTAGGTTTAGTTCCTAAATGACAGGGAGGCAGACTCTGGCTGAGCTCAAGACCTGTTCCCAGGCTCTGTGCCAGAGCAGGGTCCCCCAGCAGAGGCTGTGTGGAGCTGGGCAGGGTTCGCACTTTGTGGGGAGTTCCCTGGACCTGGAGACTCAACCCTCAGCCTCCTTGATGATGAATGATTCATCCTGTGACTGTCTTGGCCCAGACAATCAGGTGGCCTCCTCACCTACCCCTCTTCAGACAGGGCCTCAGACCTAAGGCAGGAGCACCCCCTACACCAGACCTCCTGGGTCACAGGAAATGCACAGACATCGGGAAGGGACGGAGGATGGACGGAGGAAGGACGTGCAGTTGCAGCTCTTTCTGCAGATGCCCTGAGAGAGGAGGTAGGAGCACGCTTGCTGTGGTTTGAATGCTTCTCTCCTCCAAAACTCATGTTGAAATTTCATTGCCATTGTAACAGTATGAAGAGTGATTAGGTCATAAGGTCCCCACCTCATGGGTGGGATTGGCGCTGTTATAAAAGGGTGAGTTCGGCCCCCTCTTGCTCTCTTTCTTGCCTTCTGCCATATGATGACACAGCAAGAAGGTCCTTGCCAGATGCTCCTGGACTTGCTTTGGACTTTCCCTTGCTCTTGGACTTGCTCTGGCACCTTGCTCTTGGACTTCACAGCCTCTAGAACTGTGAGAAATAAATTTCCGTTCAGTATAAACTTCCCAGTCTTGGGTGTTCTATTACAACATCACAAAACAGTCTAAGACAACCCCGTATTCAGACCTAAGGTGAGATAACCCCTACCCATATCTAAGGATCCCCTGCTCCAGATCTTAGTGGTGAGGTCAATACAGGACTCCCTCTGAGGGAAGCCCTGACAGCAGTGCCTGGGAAGGCATCTGTAGGGCCCAGTGGGCCGGGGAGGCCCAGGACACACCTACATCATCTCTCATAATCCCTCCATTCTGTTATAACAGGAGCATATGCTTATAGCATACTTTAAAAATCAGCCCAAAACTGAAGGTAAGCATCAGTTAATTGATGGACTCCTTTTCACGGTTTGGTCTTTGTATTTACACCACAGTCATCTCACAGTGTGTGTTGAGCTTTGCACCCTTTTATCAAATGAGGTCACCCCATGAATGCTGGCTGTCACGTTATCACAGATATGTGACAAGTATAATTGGGAATGTTTGCAGAATAGTCCCATTAATGTATGCACCATAATTTCTTCAGGCACTATCTTGCTTTCAACTATTTTATAATTATAAATAATGGTCTGAAGAATGTCTGTTCACAAAGTGTTTTCCTCATGTGTGCTAGCCACTTGTTTTCTTTTGGAAATTGTGTTATATCCTTTGCTGATTTCTTAAGGGATTTGTTCTTTTTCTTATTAGCTTATGTATGTTGTTTGCCTAATAATGGTACAAGACCTTTACATATTAGATTAATATTATTTGAGTTTATTATTTACTGTTAAGTTTTGATGATTTTTAAATGTAAAGAATCTGTAAAGGTGTTACCTAGCTTCATGATTTGGGTATGCGGTGAAGCCTGCCCAACTTTGGGCAGCTGTCTGGGCCTGTGTTTCCAGAGCTTGAAGGAGTCTCTGCTTCCCTCTGGAGGGCTGGTGTGATAGTGTTCTCTCTCCAGGCCTGGGTGCCCTCCTGGGTCTGGGCTTGGGCTGGGCTCTTAGATGTCTCAGAGGAATTGAGACTCTATTAATCAAGTGAGTCTTTCCATTTCTGGTGAGATGATCATGGGTCATCATTGGCCTGAGTGGTGGGATGAGCTATAAATAGTTCTTAATTCCCGGTGTAAGTCCTTGTTCAATGAGATGGACAGAATTTGGCCTTCTAGGATGTCATTTATAACATTTGGCTCTTTGCCAAAATGCAAGTAACCCATGTTTTACTCTGGGGACTGTGGAGTGTGATCCCGTTCATAGACTTTTCCATGTTTCTCCAAATCCTGGAGCAGTTCTTATGGGAACTGATTAGTTTTGTGAAAGTCTAAACTTCACCCATAAAGCCATCTTGGCCTGAAGTCATCTGTGAGGGCAATTATTTAATAATCTTAATGCTTTCTTGAGGATTATTGTTCCAACTACGATTTCCATTTCTTCTTGAGTCAGTTTTAAGTTTTATTGCTAGAAAAGAAAAATGCCAACTTGCCGTCATCTCTGCCGTCACTATTTTGTGTTCAACAATTGCCTTCTGTATCTGCTGTGTCTTCCCCAGCACAGAAGCTGTAATGTTATTAAACAAAGCAATGTATCCAGATCACTCAGAATCTATGCCTGTCACGGGGAGCAGGAGATGAGGGTGAATGAAGAGCCAGAGCATGGCAGGGGAGCCACTGCAAGGATGCTGAAACTCATGTGAACAGAGTTGCTGTAGGCAGGCCACCATGGAACCTTGCGGGGGAAGCACTGCCTCTTAGGAATGGCAGTGAAAATGGGAGAAGAGGGTGGTATTGCCTCCAGATAGAAGATGCAGTGCTTTGCCTTGCTCCTTGGTGCATGGAGAGGGAAAGGGATGCTGCTATAAAGTTCCTGGCTGGACTTTGGCTTGATAAGGCATGGGTACCTTTGGGAGTATGAGGGCGGGTGGGTTTGTGCACATCTTCCACGAGGAGCTGTTAGTATTGGGGCAGACGTTTCAAGTATGGCAAACAAAGGATGTTCTGCATGGGGAAATGTGGTGACATCCATTTCACAAGGACAGCTCACATAGATTGAGTGCTCAGGAAGGACCAGCATCATACCCAGTGCCTGATGTGTATCATCTCAATTAGTCCTTGCCTCAAATGCAAAAGGAAGCCATTGCCATCTTCATCACCACCATCATCATCATCCTCCTGTGCAGATGGAAAAGCTGAGGCATAGAGAGGTGACGGAGTCTGCCCAAGACTGCAAGCCTGCTGGTGGCAGAGCCAGATTCCAATGGAATGAAGGTTGTCATCCTCAGATGGCAGGGTAGGCAAGTGGCTAGAGCTCACTTGGGAGAAGGGGAAAGGACACTGACATTGGCTAGGGATGGAGCAGGGCTTGGGCTGGCTTTCCATGCACGGGCAGTGGGCCTGGCTCATGGCTGTGCTCCAGCCCCGGGTGTGGACATTGAATCTTCCAGGTCTACCCTAGGCTATGGGTTTGGACAGCACTGTGATGGAAAGAAGACGCTCTATGTCCTGCAGTCTGTGACCAATGATGTGACTGTGGGAATGGCGCTGGCATCTGGCTGCCACTCTGGGACGGGTGGCCAGCTGCCATCAGGCCCTGGGATGGGACCACCATACGACTTCTTCCCTCGCTCCTCCAGGTCATGTCCACAGCCCAGGAGGACCAGCAAAGCCTCTCAAGCCGATGGCAGCTCACGTTCTGCCTTGTCAGCTACTCCTCTCCTGGGCAACATTGGCTGCTTGCTGTGGCTCTCCCTGGGGTACGTGACTGCCTCTGTGCTGGGCGCCTGGCCTGGGCTTTCCTTCTGGGCCTGGGCAGCTGGGCTCAGCTTGGACCCAGGCAGCAGCCACAGAGGGGCCCATGGAGGTGACAGAGTTGCTTCTATGATGGTGAACGGGCAGCTGTGACACGGGGGAGGCGACCACTCCTTAGTTTCCAAGTGCTGCGGTCAGGGCCAGGGCCAGCAAAGTCCCTCCCATATTCAAAGAGTGGGTTTGGGTTTGTCCCAGGAGGACATAGTCAGGAGCCCATGCTGGGACATGCCTCCTCCAAAGTTCAGCCTGGACCCCAGCCTCTGCCAACGGCCCCGCTCCTTAGCTAACCCAGCTTACTCCTGGGTTCCACGGCAGAGTCAGATGTTTCTGGGTACTTTCACCTTTGTGCCTTAAAGCATGTTGAGGACTTTAAGGAATTGTGGAGAAATAGGGCTGTGCCAAAGGCAAGTGACAACCGGGAACAATGATCCCACAGAGGCTGCTGAGGCCTGGGCCCCAGGGGCGTGAGTTCATCCTTCTGCCTGGGCTTTGGTGAGAGGGGCAGACTCTGTGGTCTGAGACACAAAAAAACCCCAAAACATACTTGTGTACAGACACACAGCAGAGGCACACACACACTTGGGCCCATGCACACACTCACAGGAGGCTCGTGGACTCCGCACAGTGAAGAAACTCCTCCGGTCGACAGTGGAAGGTGCTGCAGCAGGGACCCACCCCCAAGCCCTGCCTGCCTCCCATTGCCCACCTGGCCCTGGCTTGATGGGCTCATCTCATGCTGTGGCTGGGGCCTCTTGCTTCCTGCAACCCCTTGCTGGCCTGGGGCCTGGGCCTCTCCGGGGCTGTGCCTAGGGTTTGTAACCCAGGGCCTGTGCTGGCGTGCACAGAGCATCTCTCCCTGGGAGGCTCAGGGCTGCCTCCTCGAGTTCTGTGGGCCTGCACCGGCTGGTGAGCCTGTGGTGTGCATTTTTGGGCTGTATCCTTCTACTTCCTGAGTCCAGGGGTCCCAGGTACCCTGCAGCTGTCTCCTCAGCCACCCTGTGGGGCCCCGAGACCTTGCCCTCACTTCAGTGCCCGGGTGCTCCAGCTCTGCCCAGGTGCCAGGCGAAGGTGTGAGCATGAGCCTATCGGACACACCTGGCAATGTATACCGGGTGTCCCACCCCTGCCACCACGGGGCCTCCCAATACGGCAACCGCCAAGGACCTGTGGGGACCAATGAGGAAAGAGAGACGCAGGTCTGGGCCAGGCTCACAGGGACTCCGCCATAGCAGACCCTGCCCCAGCAGGCCCCCTTGTCCTTCCTGGGCCCTGGTCCTTCATGAGGAACTAGCCCATCCCTGGTGGGGCTCCCACCCCACTTCTAGTGGGCTCCATGCTTGTCTTGTCAGAGTCACCCCTCAGGCAGTGGCAGGATCCTCTCCTTTAGACCCACTGTGCCTTCCGGGCCTCCTGGGCTTCTGCTGGGGACAGAAGAAATGCCTCCCCAGGTCTGTCTCTGGAGGCTCTGAGGGAGATGGGCTTGGGGGCTCTAGGAGGAGGCAGGGATTCCAGGGTGTTAGGAAGGCAGGGGTGCAAGGTCCCACCCAGTGAAGTAACAAGCCGTGGGTGGTGACAGTGACCCAGCGCCCTCGCTGCCCAGCCCTGCCTGTCCCCAGCCAGCACTGCAGGGAACCCAGTGAAGTAACAAACCGTGGGTGGTGACAGTGACCCAGTGCCCTCACTGCCCAACCCTGCCTGTCCTCAGCCAGTGCTGCAGGGATCCCAGGCCCAGACTCTGCAGGCCTTCACTGATCCTGGCCACCCAGAAAGGCTGCAGCCTGCGGGCACCAGCCGGGCCACATGCCCAGTGCCAGCTAGGGCCCACCGCCCATCCTTCACACAGGGCTGCTGGGTAGGTGCCCCTCACACCCCCAGGATGTCAGTGCTCACCTCGAGCAAAGTGCCCCAGCTTGGCCTTGGGAGGCGGTCATGTCCCGGGGCATGATGGAGAGCTGTCCAACTGAGAGAGAGGGAGGGAGGGAAGGAGGGAGGGAAAGAGACAGAGAGAGAGAGAGAGAGAGAGGAGGTGTGGGCTCTAAGGCTGCCTTAGTGGAGTTGTGCGTGGCCTGCACCTCACCAAGCCTAGCCACTCTCACCGCTCTGAGTGGCTCACAGGCTTGTGAGGGCCCCGTCGCTGCCTGCTGGGTCCCCACCAGGGCTCCCTCTAGGAATGCGCCATGGCTGCTATGACAATTTGCACAGCCCAGTGGCTTAAACACCACACATTTATACCACAGGTCCAGATGAATCCTACAGGGCCAAGGTCTAGGTGTGCTGGAGGCCATGCTCCCTCCAGGCTTGCGGGGAGAACTTCCCTGCCTCTTCTAGTCTCTGCATCCCTGAGCTCTCGGCTCCTCCTCCGTCTTCAGGGCCAGGGCGTAGCATCTGCTCTCTCAGCCTCTGCCTCTGCTTCCGACCTCATCTGGCTTCTGTCTATGTCAGTCTCCCTCTGCCATCCTCCTAGAAGGACACCTGTGATTATATTAGGGCTCACCTCTTTAATCCAGGAGCACCTCTCCACTTCATGATTTTCAGCTAACTTCCTTCTGCAAAGACCCCCTTTCCCTATAAGGGCACACATTCACTGGTCCCGGGGCTAAGGACCTTGCTCCAAGTCCCTCCACCCATGATGTTGTGCCTTCCAGAAACCTGTCCTCTGCAGTTCGGTCTTGACCCCAAGCCTGCTGGTGACCTGAACATCACAGGGTTATCCCCTTGGGCCGTGTGCAGCATGATGCAATTTCTTGGCCTGAATGTCATGCTCCCTGGGGCAGGACCTTGAGCCTGCAGCACACACTAGGCCACCTGCAGCCTCACAGGCCATGCCCTGGGTAGACAGGGAGGTGCTCAACCCCAGCTCGGGTCCTCTAGTCTGCCTGGCTACCATGCTTCTCATTCTCCTGCATCTGCAGACCCTGGGTTGCCATGTGAGGCAGGGGTGGGGTGGGGCTGAGGGCGTGGCTTTGGTCCCTGGCTGTCCGGATGAAGCACCAGAGTGATGACACAGCCCATCCCGGTGACATGCTCACCCCCAACCCCCATGTCCGGGACCCCGGTCTTGTGTGGTCCCTGATGTGGAGTCCTCAGTCCTTAAGATACATCCAGAAAGTCCTGGCCATGAATTGGGGGTGCAGAGTCCTGCAGAGCCGCTGGGCTGGGCTGGTGCCCCCAGGAGATGGAGGGTCTGGTGGATGCCCTCCTCCCTCAGAGCTGGGGCAGCTGCCTCCCAGGGGTGGGACCGTGGGCTCAGAGAGAGGCCCTTGAGCTGCAGCTCAGGGGAGTGTGAGGCTTCATGGAGTGTGTCCTGGTCCATGTGGTCCACGTGTCTCCATCTCCAAGGAGAGGCTCCTCAGTGTGCATCCCCATATCCGTCCTCTCTGCCGGCCCCCGGCATCTGAGCAGTCATTCCCTGTCAGCACCTCTGCAGCCTGCTGGGCCTCAGGTTCGCTGTGAGGGACCTCCCCGGCCTTCCGCGGAGGTGGAGTAAGCTCCGTCAAGGCAGGTGGCTTCGTCCCTTCCTGTGAGTGACACCAGTGATGAAATGGACCCCTCCACACAGGCATCCTCAGGGCACAGGGCCCTGGGGGCACCTTCCTCCTTTCTTATTTGTTGAGAAAAAAAAGTGGCATTGGGCTCACACCAGGATGCTGGTGCAGAGCTGACATGCTCGGGAAAGGTCAGAGGTCACTGGGGGTGGGAAGGTCATCCAGTCCAGACTCAGCACCTTGTGGGCTGGTAAACTGAGGCTCAAAGTGCTGGTGCCAGGCCTAAGGCCTCGCGGTGACTGCTGTCTCTGGTTCCCAGCACCTGCCTGAGACCTGCCCCAGGCACCCATAACCTGGAATTCCGTTTCCTTGTCCAGGGCCTGAGGAAATGGCTCCCCAGGTCTGTCTCTGGAGGCTCTGAGGGAGACGGGCTTGGAGGCTCTAGGAGGAGGCAGGGATTCCAGGGTGTCAGGAAGGCAGGGGTGCCAGGTCCCACCCAGTGAAATAACAAACCGTGGGTGGCATTTCGGCCTCCCTGCCTTCCCCACTGGGTGTGCTGGTGCTGGTGCTGCTGGGTCAGGGCTGCCCGTGACCCCAGACACCACTGTCCGTCCTGTGAGGCTCCTGTCTGGGCATGTCCTGGGTGGATTCCTCCTTTCTGTTAAGTAGCTACATGAGGCAGGGGCTCCTGGATCCAAAAAAAATGACAGGAATTCCAGAGCCAGGTGCATCCACTCAGGACAGCCAGTGTTCGTGGAGCTGCCTCTCCACAAGTGAAAGTCAGCCCGCCCCTCTCATGAGAAAAGAACCTGTGGATACCTCTCAGCCTCCAGCGTTGCAAGTGCAAGGCCAGTGGAGTTAATCTGCAACGTGCATGAGGGCATGTGTCAGTGGCTGTGTGCAGGAGCGTGAGTGAGCAAGAGTGAGAGTGCATGGCTCCTGCTGTACCTCAAAGTGTGGGCTCCTGGTGGCTGCTCAGCGTTCCCAGGGGTGAGAGGCCTCATGCATCCTAGGCTGTCTATATATAGACACAGATTTTCTTCTCTGTGGTCTGGAGCGCCGCCTGGTGGTCTTGTGCTTCCCTGCAGGGAGGTTTGTGTCTGGGCTCACACTGAGGTACCCATTCTGTCTCCCACGGGAATGTGTGGCCCTGCCCTTGGCCATCACGGAGCTCAGCTGCAGGGATAACTGGGCCTTGGATGTGTCTCTGCAGATGGACAGTTGGCCCAGAAGGGTGGGCTGAAGTGTGTGCTGCCCCTGGAGCTGAGGTGCCCCAGTGCCTTCCCAGAGTGCTGCTGGGTCCAGGCCCAGAGGTCTGTGAGGACCTCACCAGCCCTGGGCATGACTCTAGTAGCTGCACTTGATGCAGGACACTCAGGGCCAAGAAGCAAAGACATGAGTCGCAAACGGACACCACAGCCCACAGCCCCAGTTCTGAAATCTCTGAGACACTCACATGGAAGTATAGCCATCAGGCAGAGGACGACGCAGAGAGATCTCATGTTTTCCTCAACAAGGGGCACGACTTTCCCAGTGGCCTCTCCAGGACAGAACAAGAAAAAATAACTGGCTCTCTCTAGCCTGAGGTTGCATTTCGCCGAGTCTCTGGGATGGAAATGTGTCTTGTGTCTTCAGGAGTCTGCAGGGCAGCCGCTGCTGTGACTCAGGTAGAAACTTCTCTCCCCTGATGTCCTGGCCCCTTGTTATCCCTGCCACGGTGGAATCAGACTGGGCACCGCTTTCGGGAGAAACGGAGGACATGGAGTGACGGCTGGGTAGTGGAGACTATTGAAAGGAGTCAAAACTCTCCAGGGGAAGAGACGCCTCCAGGAACCCTTGGCATTGTTTTCTTCACTTCGCAGGAGTAGGAAGGAGCTGAGAGTCTAGAGAGAGCCTCAGATGCACAACCCTAATTTGGCATATCAGGGAGCAATCTCATCAGCCCAGGAGAAGGCCCAGGAGAAGGGTCAGCTCTTTGTGCCTCTGCAGAGAAGCGGCAGGGACTGGGAGGGCTTTTTCCCTGCCCAGCAGGTGGTGCTGCCTCCTTGTTCCCTGCTTGGCACAGCCTCGGGGTGCAGCTGCTGGCTTTCCCAGGGCCTGTGGAGAGCGTCTTCTTGGTACTTCCTTAACGTCAAATAAAGTGAACGCCTTCTCAATGCACATCTTAATTCATCATTGGAAAGGCCAAAACACACACACACACACACACCCCTATATTTTTTTCTGACAAGAGCTAGAGACAATTGATAAGTATGTTATCTGACTATAGCTCACCTTAAGGAGGAAAAAACTATTAAGAAATTTCTTAAGTGTAAATTGTGCCTAATCATGTGTAAATTAGTAACAGAAGCAAAAAATAATAACTGCAGTCAACTTATACACTTTAAAAGAATACTCTGTGAAACAATGACATGTTATCAAAAAAGGGATACTTAATTTGTTATGTGTGGTGACGGTCAATGAGCAGACTTGTGTTCTTGCTGGAGAAGTCACAGCATCCCCACAGGTGGACTTCCTGCAGCAATCTTGCATGCCTCACACTTCTGTCCAAAGCACGTAAGGGAGGAGCTCAGTGCGCACAGGAACCTGACGCCTGCCACCCAAGGGATGCGTGAGCTTCCGTATAAGCAGAAGAAGATGGAAACTTCAGCACCTGCAACAGAAGAGGCTTTCTGCTTTGGGGACCCAAACAGTTCCATCTATGGTGGAGGTGTAGGCTCATTCCTACATCAACGTCAACAAGCCATTGAACACAACAACATTTAGGAGTAGTCGAGCCCACCTTCTCCAATGTGGCCTGCACAGCCCAGGCTGCAGGGTGGGAGAGGTTGATTCTGGAGAAAAGTCATTCCTGCTCCCCTGGTACACTCTCCTCCCCCACTGCTTCATACAGAGACCAATGTGATGATGCCATCATGATGTTGAAGCACACACTGAACCCTGTAATCAATTAAAGGGTTTTCCCATCCACCCATCCACACACACATCCACCCATCCACTCACCCATCCATCCATCCATCACTTATCCATGCATCCATCCACCCACCCAGCCATGCATTCATCCAGCCATCCCACAATCCACCCACCCACCCACACATCCAAACATCCATCCACTAATTCATGCATCTGTCCACCCATCCAGCCATCTGTTAGCAGGAGCGAATCCATACAGGTCTGCAGCAACTTGATTCTTGCCTCCTTGGAGGAAAGAATTTGGCCAAGGGGCATGCAGAAGAGTGAGAGACCCAAGCAAGTTTTAGAGCAGGAGTAAATGTTTATTAAAGTTTTAGAGTGGGAACGAAAGGAAGTAAAGTACACTTGGAAGATGGCTAAGTGGGTGACTTGAGAGATCTAAGTGCTCTGCCTGGCCCTTGACTTGGGGTTTTATACATTGGCATGGTTCTGGGATTTGTATTTCTTCTCCCTTGATTTTTCCCTTGGGGTGGGATGTCCACATGTACAGTGGCCTGCCAGTGCTTCGGAGGGGCCGCGTACACAATGGGTTTAATGAAATGTGCACATGCTCATTTGAGGTGTTTTTCTCTTACTTTTAGAGTGTTCCTAGAGGAAGATTATGTGCCAGTTAAACTCTGCCACTTTGCCTCTTAGTGCATATGCTTGAGCCCACTCATCCAACTCCTGAGATCTTATCGGGAAGCTGCTGATGACCAGTTTCGGGTGTTTTCTATCTATTGGGAGACTGCCTTTTCTTGGTGCCCGCTGAGATCAATTATTATTATTTATTATTATTATTATTATTTGAGACAGGGCTTTGCTCTACCACCAGGCTGGAGTGTGGTGGCGCAATCTCAGCTCACTGCAGCCTCTGCCTCCCAGGTTCAAGCAATTCTCCTGCCTCAGCCTCCCGAGTAGCTGGAACTATAGATGCACGCCACCACGCCCAGCTAATTTTTGTATTTTTAGTAAAGACAGGGTTTCGCCATGTTGGCCAGGATGGTTTCGATCTCTTGACCTTGTGATCCACCCGCCTCAGCCTCCCAAAGTGTTGGTATTACAGGCGTGAGCCACCATGTCCAGCCGAGACCAATTATTATTTTAGAGAGGCAGTTTAACAATCACTTGACTATCAGCTCATGCCTGCCTAACTACCCACTCTAATACATCCATCCCTTCACATACCCATTCATCCATCCATCCATCCATCCAACCATCCACTCACTTATCTATCCAAGTACTCATCCATGCATGTAGCCACCCACCTACCCACTCATTCATCCACCCACCCATGCATCCATCAACCTACCCATCCACCCATACATGCATCCATCTATCTTTCCACTCTTCCATCCACACACCTACTCAGCCATTCATCCATCCATCCATCCATCCATCCATCCATCCACTAATCCATGGTTGGGTCCATCTGTCTGTGCGGCAAACATGCAAGGATAAGTTCCATGTGACAAGTCTGAACTCAGTGTTGGAATCATGGGAGGGGCAAGGTGGAACAGGCTGGCTTCCTCACCACTATTAACACTGTGGGGAGAAGGCCGATGGCAAACTCACTTCCATGTTAAGTTTCCTGAAAGAGGAAGGGGAGTGTAATGCTAGAGAGTAATGGAAGCTCCCACTGTTGACACAGAGGTAATAAATGCCTGTCTGATGAGCTAAGACCTGCAGGAACAGAAACAGCCACATGAAAACAAGGCAGGAAAGAGGCCTATGGCAGAAGAGCAGCTGCTGAAAGTTCCCTTAGGTTGGGCAAAACTGCTATGTTTTGAGGAACTTAGAACAGTCCAAGGGCAAGCTACCGCCCTGTGTTTCTCCTCTTCCCCCGTGTCTGTCTGTGTTCCACAGTGATTGTGCAAACTCTAAATACATTGATGACTCACCATTGCCTTTATGTTAGAATAAACAAAACAGAAAACAAATCCCTGATGACCCCACAGGTTGCCCTCTTTCACTTTGTATCTCTCATTTCTGCCTCTCTCTCTCTCTCTCTGTCTCCCTTCATCTGGCCCATCTCTCTGTATATCTTTTTGTCTTATTATTTCAACAAAGTCTCTTAGGGTCCATCTACTGTGCTGGAAACTTTCTTCTCACCAACCATTGTAAGTTGGAGAATGTTTTCTCCACCTTATTACAAAATGTTATAGCTAATTCTCTTACTGCAGAATAATCTTTAATATGGGTGCCCTGTTTTTAGAATTTAAAATTAGTATCAATTGCCATTTTTTCACAATTACAATTAGTATTTTACAAATGAGTTTTGTAACAGGGCAGGGCATTAATGAATTAAATTACTCTGTAATAGGAATGAGAAATTTTATTTTAATATTTTTGAGACAGAGTCTTACTTTGTCTCTCAGGCTGGAGTGCGGTGATGTGATCTTAGCTCACTGCAACCTACACCTCTTGGGTTCAAACGATTATCCTGCCTCAGCCCCCCAAGTAGCTCGGACTACAGGTGCACGCCACCATGCCCAGCTAATTTTTGTATTTTTGGTAGAGACAGGGTTTCACCATGTTGGCCAGGCTGGTTTTGAACTTCTGACCTCAGGTGATCCACCTGCCTCAGCCTTCCAAAGTGCCGGGATACAGGCATGAGCCATCATACCCAGCCAAGAAATTTTATTTTTAATGGACCCTCTTAGATAGTTATTAATAATGGCAGTATCAAAATACATGCAATTATGCATATGGAAGTAGCTTTTTTCCTGCAAACTCAAGAATATTTCAAATCATCTTCTCTTTATTCTTTTGAATTACATGTGTGAGAAACAGATTATAAGTATTTCATGTCATTTTCCCAGACATCACTATAAGCATCAAGTAACTATTCACATGTGTGCCAGCGATTTATCATCATACTCATGAGGGTTTTCTATTTCTAGAAGTTGCCCATTTTTTGATCTCTTCTTTGCTTTTTCCTTCTTGTAAATGTTGGACTTCTTAATTCTTTTCTAATGCTGCAGATCCTCCTAGGGAAGGATTCTCTACAGTACTACATGTGTTAGAATGTTGGGTGAAAAATTATACATGGTTTAAATAATGAATGAGCCCCAAAAAAAGAGCTGGATGTTGCCAGGTGCTAGGAATAGACAAAATTAAAAAGGGCATTTGAATTGAGAATGAAACCTGAATGCCCCTTGCATTTCTGAGGTAGGTTTAACATACACAGGACAGGAGCAGCCTTGTGTGACTTCTGGGACTGGAGCTGAGGTTTCTGCTTTAGTAGAGAGGTTTTTTTTTTAATAATTAGTTTCTCTTTTGATTGACACATAAAAATGACCTATATTTATTCTGTACAGCATAATGTTTTGTAACATGTCTACATAGGGGAGTGGCTCCACTGAGCTAATTAACATCTGTATCACTCACATACTCCCCATACGGCTAGAGAGGTTCTAAGTTGGCTTCAGCCATGACGTCAGGTGAGAAACATTCCCCATGAAGAGCAGCCCTGGACATGGTAGAAAAGCAAACCCCAAGCCCTCGCTGTTCACAAAGTGGTCCTAGTGTCTCACCCACCATCTGGAGCTGCAACACTGAGCTAGGAAATCACCGCCGTGGAGTGCCACTGGCAGCGCACAGGTCCCAGCAGCCCGGAATAAGGCGCCATCCACAGATGCCTGCTCCCGGCGGACCACAGCTCCTGTGGTGAGGTCTCATACATAGAAACCATGTGATGAGCATGGGAAAAGCCTGTTATGGCATTCTGAAGGCCACAAAGAGGGAGGTAAACCTCTAGAGATGACAGATACTTCAAGTTACTTTCTGATTTTTCTAAAATTATAAAATAGATCAACAAAAAGCTAGAGAAGAATGAATAATTCAAGAACAGATTTTAAGAAAGAAGAACTTTCTGATGTGTGAAAGTACCCAATATGCATTATCATAATTGTAGGCATTGAGCTCTCAATGAAAGAATGACCTCACACTTGACACTCAGAAGGGGATAAATAATGTTGGACAGATTGCCAAAGTGCTCTAGGAAGAAAATAATCCATCTTTAATTTTACAATACCACTCTTTCTACAATGATAGCAAAAAAAAATCCAGATACAAATGGCAGGAAAGTGGAGCATACAGTTTCTTGCTGAAGCTGCTGTTGATGAATGTGCTTCACTTGCACGATCTCAGCTGTGCATAGTGTGTGGCCAGTGGGGAGCAGTGCTTGTGGGTGGCTGAATAATGCATCCCCCAAATGTTTACATTCAAACTCCCAGAACATGTGGATTTGTGACCTCATATGGCACGAGGAACTTTGTAGATGTGATTAAATTAATCTCGAGAGGGGAGAATATGACCCTGCATTTTCTGGGTGGGTATGACATAATCACAAGGGTGCTTATAAGTGGAAGCAGGAGAGCCAGAGTCAGGGGAAGGGTGATGTGATGATGGACACAGAAATGAGAGGATGGCCTTTGAAGATGGAAGAAGGGGACACAGAGCAAGGAATATGGGTTCTAGAATCTGGAAAAGGCATGAAAACAGAATCTCCCTCCCAGGGTTCAGAAGGAACCAGCTCTGCCAACACTTTGCCTATAGACTAATAAAACCGCAGGACAACCAAGAAACTGCTCTTTCTTACATAGAACACAGTCAGTATGCTCACATGACATGGGTGGGTTTGAGAGTTAAAGGAGACTGCAAGGCCTCTGGGTGAAACAGGGCAGGAATCAGGTGGAGCAAGAGGGTGGGTGGGCAGGACCTGATTTTCAGGAGTGTAAATGTGAGGCACTGATGAGATTTCCAGGTGGAGACAGAGGGAGGAGTTATGTGTTCAGGTCTAGAGTGGAGCTGGTAGCTTGGTCTGGGCCTGAGAAAGGAGGGCATCCTCTAGGGATTGAGAGTAGGAAAAAGGAAGAGTGGATTAGTGCTAAGAACTAAGTGGGAGATTTCTGGAGGTTTCAGCTCACAGAGCCAGCAATGGCTTATGGTTGGGGTTTGTAACCCCAGTCACTGAAAGTGTCCTCCCAGCCTTTCTTTGCATATGCCCCTGGGGCTGAGTTCCTGCGTTGGGTGGTCACTTACCATTCCCTAAGAGGCCCTAAGCACCTCCTGCAGCCCAGCAACTCCTGGACCCTCTGGAGAGGAAGTTTGTGTTTGTGTTTGCTTATGGAGCCCGGCTGCAGAGAAAACAAGTTTTGTTTTTTTTTTTTTCGAAAGGATCTCACTCTGCCTGCCACCCACACTGAAGTGAGGTGGTGCCATCATAGCTCAGTGCAACCTCAACCTCCTGGCCTCAAGCCACCCTCCCACCTTGGCCTCCCAAAGTGTTGCATTTACAGGTGTGTGCCAAGGTGCCCAGTCAAAAACGGGTTCTTGGCTGGGCACTGTGGCTCAAGCCTGTAATCCCAGCACCTTGGGGGTCAAGGTGGGTGGATCACTTGAGCCCAGGATTTGAGACCAGTCTGAGCAACAGACTGTGACATGACCATTTAGCCTATGCAAATGTGGGGCTGGTTAAATGGTCTATGTGGGGCTGTCGCCTTGTCTTTGCATCTGTCACTGAGGCCAGAAGTCAGCAGGGCATACATTTCGGAAGGAAAGACAGTGGGCAAGCTGAGGTGGACAGAGGCATCCACAGGGATGGGTTGGGACACATGAAGGCAGGTGAAACCATGTTGTCTCTCACACCCTTTCAAGGGTCTCAGAGACTTGATTTAGAATTTAGATTTTTGAGAACATTTGTTATAGATGCTAAAAGGCTCAAAATATTTGATCAAAACAGAATCACAGGCCATTGTAAAATGATAGTTACTAATTTAACCAAAGTGGTAATTAAAAAGACTTTGGAGGTGAGTCAAGATGGCTGACTAGATGCAGCCAGGAGGAACATCTGCCATGGAGGGAGTGAGACATCAGGAAGACTGGTGCTTTCCAAGCAGATCTTTAAAGGGAAGGCATTGAGAGTGGACTGAGAGATGCCGGGCTGAAGGTGGAGGAAGATGGGAACCCTGCATGGGGATGCCGAGCACCAGGACTCATTCCTGGCTCCCAGCAACTCCTGGGGAAAGGTTGAGTTGAACAGGTGAGGAGTGGCCTGCTGTTGCCATGGGCCTCCAGAATCCTAGCAGCAGGAGACCCCATGACCCCCATGGACACTTGTGCTGGCAGGGACAGCTGCTTAGAGGGATACCAAGGGTAGGACTCCAGTCTGTGTAAAGCCCAGAGTGTTTGACATGAGAATGGCTGTAGTGGAGCACAGCCAGGTGACACCCATCCCCCAAGGCTCACCAACCTCCTCTAGGAGATTTTAACCTTAGAGTGACTATTGGAGCTGAATATAGCAGGGTGGTCTTGTCCATGGGACAGGGTCCATCTGAAATGAGCATTTCCTTGCCTTCTGGCCTCTCCTGGGGCCCCAGGCTGGCTGTGCCTGCTTGCAGTACAGCCTTGGAAGCCCAACCAGGGTGTTTCCTGGGGGCCCTCATCATAGCTCCTTTGCCAGCAGACCATGCCTAACCATTGGGGACCTCCAGCAAGCCAGCCTCTGCTGATGTGCACCAGTCCACCCATAGCACCTCCCAACTGCTTTGCTGGCATGAGTGCACAGCGGATCACAACTCCCTCTACCACCAGCAAGCATGTGCATGTGCACCCCGCCACCCTGTCCCTGCCAACACACAGGCACCTCACTGTCCTGTGACTGCCAGCAGGAACCTATGTAGGGATGCTGCCACCCTGCTCCTGCCAGTACCCCCACCCCAGCAGAGGCATGTGCACCCTGCCATGACACCACAACTGCTGGCACCTATGAGTGAGAATGGATCCCACTGCCACCACTCTAATGAAGTGCTTTGGCCGGCACCACCTACTATAGTGTTGTGGCCAGTGGACTGGGAAAAACTCAGCCCCTCCAATGCAGCAAGTTTCTAAACTCAAGGGGCCAGAGAATAAAGCCAGGGGCCCAGTCCCAGAGCAGAGAACACACCACAAGAGTGCTGAGGTCAGCCTGGACCCCCTAAGATTTTCAAGAAACACAGCTAACTGAACCCACTTTATACCACAATCAAACCTGCAAGAGTATCAAAGAAGATAAGAGCAAAAAACAAACAAATGAACAAACAAACAAAAACACACACCAAAAAACAACAAAAAAGAAAAAAACATCCAAAGGACAGCCACTTCAAAGATTAAAGAAACAGCCCACAAAGATGAGAAAGAATTAATGCAAGAAACTCTGCAACTCTAAAATCCAGAGTGTCTTCTTACCTCCAAACGACCACACTGGTTTCCCAGCAATGGTTCTTAACCTGACTGAAATGGCTGAAATGACAGACATAGAATTCAGAATATGGATAGGAAAGAAGATAACTGAGATTCAGGAGAATGTTGAAACCCAATCCAAGGGAGCTAAGAAATAAAGTAAAATGATACAGAAGCTGAAAGATGAAGTGGCCATTTTAAGAAAGAATCAAAATGATTTGATAGAGCTAAAAAACTCACTTCAAGAATTTCAGAATACAACTACAAGTATTAACCGCAGAATAGACCAAGCTGAGGAAAGAATCACAGAGCTTAAAAACTGATTCTCTGAATTAACTCAGTCAGACAAAAATAAAGGAAAAGAGAACAAAAAAGAAGGCATAAAACCTCAGAGAAATGGGTGATTATGTAAAAAGATCAGACCTATGACACATTGGTATCCCTTAAAAAGAGAAAGAGAAACAAAGCAACTTGAAAAACATTTCAGGCTATCCTCCATGAAAATTTCTCCAACCTCACCAGAGAGGCCAACATTCAAATTCAAGAAATGCAAAGAACCTCTGCAAGATATTATACATGACAACCATCCCTAAGACATATAGCCATCAGACTCTTAAAGGTTGAAAGGAAAAAAAAAATGTTAGAGGCAGCTAGAAAGAAGGTTCAGGTCGCATACAAAGGGAACCCAATGAGGCTAACAGTGGATGTTTCACCAGAAACTGTACAATCCAGAAGAGATTAGGGGCCTATATTCAGCATTCTTAAAGAAAAGAAATTCCAAGCAAGAATTTCATATCTAGCCAAACTAAGCTTCACAAGTGAAGGAGAAATAAGATCCTTTTCAGACAAGCAAATGCTAAGGGTATTCATCACCACTATATTTCCCTTACAAGAGGTCCTTAAGGGATTGCTAAATATGATAATGGAAGAATGTTACTGACCACCACAAAAACACACTTAAGTACATAACGATTGCCACTATAAATCAACTATACAATCAAATCTGCATATTGAGCAGCTAACAACATGATAACAGGATGAAATATGCACATATCAATATTAATCTTGAATGTAAATGGACTAAATGCCCCAATTAAAGGGCACAGAATTGCCAAGTTGGATAAAGAAGCAAGACCCAAATGTATGCTGTCTTCAAGAGACCCATCTCACATGCAGTGACATCCACAGGCTCAAAGTAAAAGGATGGAGAAAAATCAACAAAGCAAATGGAAAACAGGAAAAAGCAGGTGTTTCTTTTTTTTTAATTTTTTTATTATACTTTAAGTTTTAGGGTACATGTGCACAACGTGCAGGTTTGTTACATATGTATATATGTGCCATGTTTGTGTGCTACACCCATTAACTCATCATTTAACATTAGGTATATCTCCTAATGCTATCCCTCCCCCCTCCCCCCACCCCACAACAGGCCCCGGTGTATGATGTTCCCCTTCCTGTGTCCAAGTGTTCTCATTATTCAATTCCCACCAATGAGTGAGAACATGTGGTGTTTGCTTTTTGTCCTTGCGATAGTTTGGTGAGAATGATGGTTTCCAGCTTCATCCATGTCCCTACAAAGGACATGAACTCATCCTTTTTTATGGCTGTGTAGTATTCCATGGTGTATATGTGCCACAGTTTCTTAATCCAGTCTATCATTGTTGGACATATGGGTTGGTTCCAAGTCTTTGCTATTGTGAATAGTGCCGCAATAAACATATGTGTGCATGTGTCTTTATAGCAGCATGTTTTATAATCCTTTGGGTATATACCCAGTAATGGGATGGCTGGGTCAAATGGTATTTCTAGTTCTAGATCCCTGAGGAATCGCCACACTGACTTCCACAATGGTTGAACTAGTTTACAGTCCCACCAACAGTGTAAAAGTGTTCCTATTTCTACACATCTTCTCCAGCACCTGTTGTTTCCTGACTTTTAAATGATTGCCATTCTAACTGGTGTGAGATGGTATCTCATTGCGGTTTTGATTTGCATTTCTCTGATGGCTAGTGATGATGAGCATTTTTTCATGTGTCTTTTGGCTGCATAAATGTCTTCTTTTGAGAAGTGTCTATTCATATCCTTTGCCCACTTTTAATGGGGTTGTTCGTTTTTCTTGTAAATTTGTTTGAGTTCATTGTAGATTCTGGATATTAGCCCTTTGTCAGATGAGTAGATTGCAAAAATTTTCTCCCATTCTGTAGGTTGCCTGTTTACTCTGATGGTAGTTTCTTTTGCTGTGCAGAAGCTCTTTAGTTTAATTAGATCCCATTTGTCAATTTTGGCTTTGGTTGTCATTGCTTTTGGTGTTTTAGACATGAAGTCCTTGCCCATGCCTATGTCCTGAATGATAATGCCTAGGTTTTCTTCTAGGGTTTTCATGGTTTTAGGCCTAACATTTAAGTCTTTAATCCATCTTGAATTAATTTTTGTATAAGGTGTAAGGAAGGGATCCAGTTTCAGCTTTCTACATATGGCTAGCCTGTTTTCCCAGCACCATTTATTAAATAGCTAATCATTTCCCCATTTCTTATTTTTGTCAGGTTTGTCAAAAATCAGATAGTTGTAGATATGCGGCATTATTTCTGAGGGCTCTGTTCTGTTCCATTGGTCTATATCTCTGTTTTGGTACCAGTACCATGCTGTTTTGGTTACTGTAGCTTTGTAGTATAGTTTGAAGTCAGGTAGCTTGATGCCTCCAGCTTTGTTCTTTTGGCTTAGGATTGACTTGGCAATGCGGGCTCTTTTTGGGCTCCATATGAACTTTAAAATAATTTTTTCCAATTCTGTGAAGAAAGTCATTGGTAGCTTGATGGGGATGGCAATGAATCTATAAATTACATTGGGCAGTATGGCCATTTTCAGGATATTGATCCTTCCTACCCATAATCATGGAATGTTTTTCCATTTGTTTGTATCCTCTTATTTCATTGAGCAGTGGTTTGTAGTTCTCCTTGAAGAGGTCCTTCACGTCCCTTGTAAGTTGGATTCCAAGGTATTTTATTCTCTTTGAAGCAATTGTGAATGGGAGTTCACTCCTGATTTGGCTTTCTGTTTTTCTGTTATTGGGTTATAGAAATGCTTGTGATTTTTGCACATTGATTTTGTATCCTGAGACTTTGCTGAAGTTGCTTATCAGCTTAAGGAGATTTTGGGCTGAGACGATGGGGTTTTCTAGATATACAATCATGTCATCTGCAAACAGCGACAATTTGACTTCCTCTTTTCCTAATTGAATACCCTTTATTTCCTTCTCCTGTTTCATTGCCCTGGCCAGAACTTCCAACACTATGTTGAATAGGAGTGGTGAGAGAGGGTGTCGCTGTGTTGTGCCAGCTTTCAAAGGGAATGCTTGTAGTTTTTGCCCATTCAGTATGATATTGGCTGTGGGTTTGTCATAGATAGCTGTTATTATTTTGAGATACATCCCATCAACACCTAATTTATTGAGAGTTTTTAGCATGAAGCGTTGTTGAATTTTGTCAAAGGCCTTTTCTGCATCTATTGAGATATCATGTGTTTTTTGTTGTTGGTTCTGTTTATACGCTGGATTACGTTTATTGATTTGTGTATGTTGAACCAGCCTTGCATCCCAGGGATGAAGCCCACTTGATCATGGTGGATAAGCTTTTTGATGTGCTGCTGGATTCAGTTTGCCAGTATTTTATTGAGGATTTTTGCATCTATGTTCATCAGGGTTATTCGTCTAAAATTCTCTTTTTTTTGTTGTGTCTCTGCCAGGCTTTGGTATCAGGATGATGCTGGCCTCATAAAATGAGTTAGGGAGGATTCCCTCTTTTTCTATTGATTGGAATAGTTTCAGAAGGAGTGGTACCAGCTCCTCCTTGTACCTCTGGTAGAATTCGGCTGTGAATCCATCTGGTCCTGGACTTTTTTTGGTTGGTAAGCTATTAATTACTGCCTCAATTTCAGAGCCTGTTATTGGTCTATTCAGAGATTCAACTTCTTCCTGGTTTAGTCTTGGGATGGTGAATGTGTCGAGGAATTTATCCATTTCTTCCATATTTTCTAGTTTATTTGCATAGAGGTGTTTATAGTATTCTCTGATGGTAGTTTGTATTTCTGTGGGATCAGTGGTGATATCCCCTTTATCATTTTTTATTGCATCTATTTAATTCTTCTCTCTTTTCTTCTTTATTAGTCTTGCTAGTGGTCTATCAATTTTGTTGATCTTTTAAAGAAAACCAACTCCTGGATTCATTGATTTTTTGAAGGGTGTTTTGTGTCTCTGTTTCTTTCAGTTCTGCTCTGATCTTAGTTATTTCTTGCCTTCTTCGGGCTTTTGAATGTGTTTGCTCTTGCTTCTGTAGCTCTTTTAATTGTGATGTTAGGGTGTCAATTTTAGATCTTTCCTGCTTTCTCTTGTGGGCATTTAGTGCTATAAATTTCCCTCTACACACTGCTTTGAATGTGTCCCAGATATTCTAGTATGTTGTGTCTTTGTTCTCATTGGTTTCAAAGAACATCTTTATTTCTGCCTTCATTTCGTTGTGTACCCAGTAGTCATTCAGGAGCAGGTTGTTCAGTTTCCATGTAGTTGAGCCGTTTTGAGTGAGTTTCTTAATCCTGAGTTCTAGTTTGATTGCACTGTGGTCTGAGAGACAGTTTGTTATAATTTCTATTCTTTTACATTTGCTGAGGAGTGCTTTACTTCCAACTATGTGGTCAATTTTGGAATAGGTGTGGTGTGGTGCTGAAAAGAATGTATATTCTGTTGATTTGGCGTGGAGAGTTCTGTAGATGTCTATTAGGTCTGCTTGGTGCAGAGCCGAGTTCAGTTCCTGGATATCCTTGTTAACTTTCTGTCTCGTTGATCTGTCTAATGTTGACAGTGGGGTGTTAAAGTCTCCTATGATTATTGTGTGGGAGTCTAAGTCTCTTTGTAGATCTCTAAGGACTTGCTTTATGAATCTGGGCGCTCCTGTATTGGGTGCATATATATTTAGGATAGTTAGCTCTTCTTGTTGAATTTATCCCTTTACCATTATGTAATGGTCTTCCTTGTCTCTTTTGATCTTTGTTGGTTTGAAGTCTGTTTTATCAGAGACTAGGATTGCATCTCCTGCCTATTTTTGTTTTCCATTTGCTTGGTAGATCTTCCTCCATCCCTTTATTTTGAGCCTATGTGTGTCTCTGCATGTGAGATCGGTCTCCTGAAAACAGCACGCTGATGGGTCTTGACTCTTTATCCAATTTGCCAGTCTGTGTCTTTTAATTGGAGCATTTAGCCCATTTACATTTAACGTTAATATTGTTATGTGTGAATTTGATCCTGTCATTATGATGTTAGTTGGTCATTTGGCTCATTAGTTGATGCAGTTTCTTCCTAGCCTTGGTGGTCTTTACAATTTGGCATGTTTTTGCAGTGGCTGGTACAAGTTGTTCCTTTCCACTTTTAGTGCTTCCTTCAGGAGCTCCTGTAGGGCAGGCCTGGTGATGACAAAGTGTATCAGCATTTGTTTGTCTGTAAAGGATTTTATTTCTCCTTCACTTATGAAGCTTAGTTTGGCTGGATATGAAATTCTGGGTTGAAATTTCTTTTCTTTAAGAATGTTGGATATTGGCCCCCATTCTCTTCTGGCTTGTAGAGTTTCTGCTGAGAGATCAGCTATTAGTCTGATGGGCCTCCCTTTGTGGGTAACCCAACCTTTCTCTCTGGCTGCCCTTAATATTTTTTTTTCATTTCAACTTTGGTGAATCTGACAATTATGTGTCTTGGAGTTGCTCTTCTCGAGGAGTATCTTTGTGACATTCTCTGTATTTCCTGAATTTGAATGTTGGCCTGTCTTGCTAGGTTGGGGAAGTTCTCCTGGATAATATCCTGCAGAGTGTTTTCCAAATTGGTTCCATTCTCCCTGTCACTTTCAGGTACACCAATCAGACATAGATTTGGTCTTTTCACATAGTCTGATATTTCTTGGAGGGTTTGTTTCTTTCTTTTTACTCTTTTTTCTCTAAACTTCTCTTCTCCCTTCATTTCTTTCATTTGATCTTCAATCACTGATACCCTTTCTTCCAGTTGATCGAATCAGCTACTGAAGCTTGTGCATTCATCACGTAGTTCTCGTGCCATGGTTTTCAGCTCCATCAGGTCATTTAAGGACTTCTCTACACTGGTTATTCTAGTTAGCTATTCATCTGATCTTTTTTCAAGGTTTTTAGCTTCTTTGCAATGGGTTCCAACTTCCTCCTTTAGCTCGGAGTAGTTTGATCATCTGAAGCCTTCTTCTCTCAACTCGTCAAAGTCTTTCTCCATCCAGCTTTGTTCCATTGCTGGCGAGGAGCTGCGTTCCTTTGGAGGGGGAAAGGCACTTTGATTTTTAGAATTTTCAGCTTTTCTGCTCTGTTTTTCCCCCATCTTTGTGGTTTTATCTACCTTTGGTCTTTGATGATGGTGACGTACAGATGGGGTTTTCATGTGGATGTCCTTTCTGTTTGTTAGTTTTCCTTCTAACAGTCAGGACCCTCAGCTGCAGGTCTGTTGGAGTTTGCTGGAGGTCTACTGCAGACCCTATTTTGCTGGGTATCAGCAGCAGAGGCTGCAGAACAGCGAGTATTGCTGAACAGCAAATGTTGCTGCCTGATAATTCCTCTGGAAGCTTCATCTCAGAGAGGCACCCGGCCGTGTGAGGTGTCAGTCTGCCCCTACTGGAGGGTGCCTCCCAGTTAGGCTACTTGGGTGTCAGGGACCCACTTGAGGAGACAGTCTGTCCATTCTCAGATCTCAAAGTCCATGTGGGAGAACCACTACTCTCTTCAAAGCTGTCAGACAGGGACCTTTAAGTCTGCAGAGGTTTCTGCTGCCTTTTGTTCAGCTATGCCCTGCCCCCAGAGGTGGAGTCTACAGAGGCAGACAGGCCTCCTTGAGCTGCAGTGGACTCCACCCAGTTTGAGCTTCTGGGCCACTTTGTTTACCTACTCAAGCCTCAGCAATGATGGGCACCCCTCCCCCAGCCTCGCTGCCACCTTGCAGTTTGATCTCAGACTGCTGTGCTAGCAATGAGCGAGGCTCTGTGGGTGTGGGACCCTCCAAGACAGGCATGGCATATAATCTCCTGGTGTGCCGTTTGCTAAGACCATTGGAAAAGTGCAGTATTAGGGTGGGAGTGACTGGATTTTCCAGGTGCCATCCATCACCACTTCCCTTGGCTAGGAACGGGAATTCCCTGACCCCTTGCACTTCCTGGGTTAGGCAATGCCTCACCCTGCTTCAGCTCACTCTTGGTGGTCTGCACACACTGTCCTGCCCCCACTGTCCAACAAGCCCCCATGAGATGAACCCAGAACCTCAGTTGGAAATGCAGAAATCACCCGTCTTCTGCATAGCTCATGCTGGGAGCTGCAGACTGGAGCTGTTCCTATTCAGCCATCTTGGAACTGCCCCCTCATAGATTCTTGATATTAGACCTTTGTCACATGCTGATGTGGTTTTGCTCTGTGTCATTAAACAAATCTCATCTCAAATAGTAATCCTCGGCCGGGCGCGGTGGCTCACGCCTGTAATCCCGGCACTTTGGGAGGCCGAGGCGGGCGGATCACGAGGTCAGGAGATCGAGACCATCCCAGCTAAAATGGTGAAACCCCGTCTCTACTAAAAATACAAAAAATTAGCCGGGCGTACTGGCGGGCGCCTGTAGTCCCAGCTACTTGGGAGGCTGAGGCAGGAGAATGGCGTGAACCCGGGAGGCGGAGCTTGCAGTGAGCCGAGATCCCACCACTGCACTCCAGCCTGGGTGACAGAGTGAGACTCCATCTCAAAAAAAAAAAAAAAAAAAAAAAAAATAGTAATCCTCATGTGTCAAGGGATGGACCTGGTGGGAGGTGACTTGGTCATGGGGGTGATTTCCCCCATGCTGTCCTCATGGTCTCCTGATAGTGAGTGAGTGCTCATGTGATCTGATGGTTTTATCAATGTATGGTGGTTCCTCCTTCATTCCCTCTCTCTCTCTTTCTCTCTCTCTCTCTGTCTCTCACCTGCTGCCATGTGTCACATGCCTGCTTCCACTTCCACCATGATTGCAAGTTTCCTGAGCCCCCAACCCTAACCACACAGAACTGTGAGTCAATTAAACCTCTTTTCTTTACAAATTACCCACTTTTGGGCAGTTCTTTATAGCACTGTGAAAACAGACTAATATAGTAAATTGGTACCAGGAGTGGGGAACTGTTATAAAGATAACTGAAAATCTGGAAGCAACTTTGGAACTGGGTACCTCCTGACAGAGGTTGGAACAGTTTGGAGAACTTGAAAGAAGAGGGGAAGATGTGGGAAAGTTTGGAACTTCCTAGAGACTTATTGAGTGGTTTTGACTAAAATGCTGATAGTGACATGAACAGCGAAGTCCAAGCTGAGCTGGTCTTAGATGGTGAGGACTAAACTCTGATTTTTTTTTTATCTTGCCCAAATTCCTATCTAAAGAGTCTGGGGAGGCATGCTCTACAAATCATAAATTCTCATCAGATAGGTTTTATTTAAACCTATATATCATGATTTACTTTCCAAACTGACTCTGGCATAACATTATGAGACAAATAAGAAAATCAAAATATTTTACCCCAAAACATGTTTCTTTGCCATACTCTGAGATGGCCCTGCAGGCTGGGCATGGTGGCTCATGCCTGTAATCCCAGCACTTTGAGAGGCTGAGGTGGGCGGATCACCTGAGGTTGGGAGTTCGAGACCAGCCTCACCAACATGGAGAAACCCTGTGTCTACTAAAAATACAGAATTAGCCGGGTGTGGTGGTGCATGCCTGTAATCGTAGCTACTCAGGAGACTGAGGCAGGAGAATTGCTTGAACCCAGGCAGTGGAGGTTGTGGTGAGACAAGATCGTGCCATTGTACTCCAGCCTGGGCAACAAGAGCAAAACTCCGTCTAAAAAGAAAGAAAGAAAGAAAGAAAGAAAGAAAGAAAGAAAGAAGGAAGGAAGGAAGGAAGGAAGGAAGGAAGGAAGGAAGGAAAGAAAGGGCCCTGCAAAGCTGTTCTTTGTGGGGGAAAATTTGCATCTGTAAAGAATCTCTATTAACATGGCTAGATCTTTTTCTTCTAGAACCTCCCAATCCTAAAGAGTTGAACTAAGATCTGAATAGGAAACATTTGTCACCTATTATCTCTAAGGGCAGCCACTATAAGACTTCAAAAGAACTTTGGACTCTAGAATCTTTATCTTAACCTGAACATTACCTTTCTATCTATCCCAGGTCTTTAGACAAACTCAACCAATTGTCAACCAGAAAATGTTTAAATTCACCAATAGCCTGGAAGCCCTCGCTTTGAGTTGTTCCACCTTTCTGGACCAAACCAATGTATCTCTTAAATGTATTTGATTGATGTCTCATGCCTGTATAAAACCAAGCTTGATGGAATTTTTCCCTGCCCTAGAAATCTGTGGAACTTTGCCCTTGAGAGAGATGATCTGAAATAGGAACTTATGTTTAAAAGGGAAACAGAGCATAAAAGTTTGGAAAGTTTGCAGCCTGGCCATGTGGTAGTAAAGAAAAACACATTTGCTAGGGAGAAATTCAAGTTGGCTGCAGAAATTTGCATAAATAATGAAGAGATGAATATTAATAACCAAGACAATGGGGAAAATGTTTCCAGGCCATGTCAGAGATCTTTGCAGCAGCCCTTCCAATCACAGGCCTGGAGGCCTATCAGGGAAAAATGGTTTCATGGGCTGGGTCCAGGGCCCAGCTGCTCTTTGGAGCCTTGGGACTTGGTGCCCTGTGTCCCAGCTGCTCCAGGTCTAGCTGTGGCTAAAAAAGTCCAATGTACAGCTCAGGCCATTGCTTCAGAAAGCCCCAATCATTGGTGGCTTCTACATGATGTTGGGCCTATGGGTGTGCAGAAGAGAAGAGTTCAGCTTTGTGATCCTCTGCCTAGATCTCAGAGGATTTATAGAAATGACTGGATGTCCAGCCAGAAGTCTGTGCCAGGGGCAAAGCCCTCATGGAGAGCCTCTGCTAGGGCAGTGCAGAAGGGAAATGTGGGGTTGGAACCCCCACACAGAGTCCCCACCGGAGACAGTGACTAATGGGGCTGTGAGAAGAGGGCCACCATCCTTCAGACCCCAGAATGGTAGATCTATTAACAGCTTGCACTGTGCACCTGGAAAAGCTGCAGGCACTCAATGAGAGCAGCCAGGAGGGCTGAACTCTGCAAAGCCCATGAGAGCAGCCATGGGATCAGAGCTGCAAAGCCACAGGGTGAGAGCTTCCCAAGGTTGTGGGAGCCCCCACTTTGCATAAGCATGCCCTGAATGTGAGGAATGGAGTCAAAGGAGATTATTTTGAAGCTTTAAGATTTCATGACTGCCCCACTGGAGTTTGGGCTTGCATGTGACCTGTAGCCCCTTTATTCTGGCCCATTTCTCCCAACTGAAATGGGAGCATGTATCTAATGCCTGTACCCCCATTTTGTCTTGGAAATAACTGACTTGTTTTTCATTTTACAGGTTCATAGATGAAAGGGACTTGCCTTGTCTCCAATGTGACTTTGGATTTGGACTTTTGAGTTAATGCTGAAATGAGTTAAGATGTTGGGGGACTGTTGGGAAGGCACGATTGGTTTTGAAATGCAAAGAGGACATGAGATTTGGGAGGGGTTGGGGTGGCGTGATCTGGTTTGGCTGTGGGTCTCTACCCAAATGACACCATTCCTCAGGGTGATCAGCGAGCTACCTGATGGCAGGTTGGATTATATTGGACCTCTTCCATCCTGGAAAGGGCAGAGGTTTGTCCTCACTGAAATAGACACTTACTGCAGATATGCATGCAATGCTTCTGCCAAGACTACCATCTGTGGAGTCATGGAATGCCTTATCCACTGTCACAGTATTCCATATAGCATTGCCTCTGACCAAGGCACTCCCTTTACGGCTAAAGAAGTGTGGCAGTGGGCTCATGCTCATGGGATTCACTTGTCTTACCATGTTCCCCATCATCCTGAAGCAGCTGGATTGATAGAAGAATGGAATGGCCTTTCAAAATCACAATTACAATGCCAACTAGGCTCCAATACTTTGCAGAGCTGGGGCAAAGCTATCCAAAAGGCCATGTATGCTCCAAATTAGCATCCAACATATGGTACTGTTTCTCCCATAGCCATAATTCATGGATCCAGGAATCAAGGGGTGGGAGTGGAAATGGCACCATTCACCATCACCCCTAGTGATCCCCTAGCAAAATTTTTGCTTCCTGGTCCCATGATATTACATTCTGTTGGCCTAGAGGTCTTAATTCCAGTGGGAATAATGCTGCCATCAGGAGAAACAACAACAATTCCATTAAACTGGAAGTTAAGATTTCCACCTGGCCACTTTGGGCCACTCCTACCTTCAAGTCCACAGGCTAAGAAGGGAGTTACAGTGTTGACTGGGCTGATTGACCTGAACTATCAAGATGCAATCAGTCTATTACTCCACAATGGAGGTAAGGAAGAATATGTATGGAATACAGGAGATCCATTAGGGCATCTCTTAACATTACCCTGCCCTGTCATTAAGGTCAATGGGAAACTACAACAGCCCAATCCAGGCAGGACTACAAATGGCCCAGACCCTTCAGGAATGAAGGTTTGCATCACTCCACTAGGAGAAAAAACTCTACCTGCTGTGATGCTTGCTGAAGGCAAAGGGAATACAGAATGGGTAGTAGAAGAAGTAGTCATCAATACCAGCTACAACCACGTGATCTGTTGCAGAAATGAGGACTGTAATTGTCATCAGTATTTCCTTCTTCTTTTGTTAAAAACATGTTTGTGCATGTACACACTTGTACTAAGAAAATTCCTTCATTTTATTTCTTTTTTCCTTTATCATGTGACATAAAATTTATTGACTTCATATCAGCATTTAAGTGTTCTTAACTTTACATAATAGCACTTGGGTTGGGGATTGGTGCATTTCTGGTTGTACAAAAGATAGTTGTATTACATTAGGTGTAATTATGACCTTATTATTGTCTTTATTTGAAGATTATGTATGATCTCAGGAGATTCGTATGGGTTCAAGTTGACAAGGGTTGGACTTGTGATGGTTAATACTGAGTGTCAACTTGATTGGATTGAAGCATGCAAAGTATTGATCCTGGGTGTGTCTGTGAGGGTGTTGCCAAAGGAGATTAACATTTGAGCCAGTGAGCTGGGAAAGGCAGACCTACCCTTAATCTTGGTGGGCACCATCTAATCAGCTGCCAGTGTGGCCAGGGTATAAAGCAGGCAGAAAACATGAAAAGACTAGACTGGCTTAGCCTCCCAGCCTACATCTTTCTCCTGTGCTGGATGCTTCCTGCCCTCGAACATCAGACTTCAAATTCTTCAGCTTTGGGATTCGGACTGGCTTCCTTGCTCCTCAGCTTGCAGGTGGCCTACTGTGGGACCTTGCAGTTGTGTGAGTTTAATACTCCTCAATAAACTCCTACATATATATAATATATAATACATATTATATATTATATATATACATACTAGGGTTCTCTAGAGGGACAGCACTAGATATATATATATATATAGTTTCCATAGTCTGTGGTGTAAACTATGTGAAATGGACTTTACAACCTCCTGAAGGGTAACACCCAGACTGTCACCTGAACTCCCTGAAATCCTGTGCCCTGGGGATTGGAGAAACCTTAAAACCAAAGCCAGTGTTAAGTTAGCTCAGTCTTTGATTAAACATGGCAATCTCCCTATACTTGGCTTCCAGGGGTGGGTGAGGGAGAATTCCTGCCTGGAACAAGGTCGCATTACAAAGAATCTTCACAATGCTCATGAGACATCTTGGACCTTCCATCAGAAGCATTCAGGATGGCAGGAGACTGGACATGATGAGCAAACATGGGGAGAGGAGGAAGGAAACAGAGAATGGAAGGAGGTGACAGCTGACAAGGCCTTGTGTTCCCAGATGCTGAGTGTGAAATGAAGCGTTTATGATGAAGGAAACAGAACAGATGTACGGTACAATATTAAATATAAAACAGTAAATTACAGCAGGTGGCTTCACAGCAGCTTAGACACAGCAGAAGAGAAGAGGATGGAATTGGAAGATCGATGCTCAGGACGGATGCAGAGTGAAGCCGAGGACCCGGCAAAGAGGATTTGGGAGTTGCAGGCTCTGGCAGAGGACCCACCCCAGAAAGAGAGAAGGAGGGGGTGGGAGGAAGAAGGAATGTTTGAAAGTGCTCCATAGAGAACCAGGACAGCCCCTTGGGCCAAGCAACCCACGACCCTTGCAGCTTCAGAAGTCCAGACTCCAGCCTGGCCTCACATGCTGGTTGGTCTTATCCCTGCCAGGCCAGAACCCTCTTCAGAACCCAGAGCCCCCACAGCTCTCCCTCACCCTATTCCCAGGACATGTCTCCTGTGTACTCTTCCCTGGCCCACAGGTGGGAGTTTACACCTGCTTGGGTAGCCTCGGCATCCACACCAACAACCCGGTAGCAGTTGTCCTGCTCCCTCCACCTGGCACAGCTCGAATCTCCCACAGTGCAGGCCCCGTGTATAGGAGTGATTAGGACACACAGGAGGGCAGGTCAGGACAACAGGTGCTGAGGCAGGCAGATTTCGAGGATTTAAGTGCTGATGCTCTTGGAAGACCATTTCCATGGGGTTAATTGTGGTTTTTCTTGGTGAACTGTTGGCTTGTTTTTGATATTGTTGTTGCTCTAAATAGTGTTTACCTGGCTTCAATACAAACTCTATTGGTCATGTTCTTTGTTAAAATATGTATCATTCTAAAAGTTCACATGGCATTAGATTTTTTGCTCAAACTACCTATAATATTTCTCCAACAGAGTGCACATTTGCCTTCCTTCTGCACATACCACCGCCCCCTGCGCTGAGCAGTGTCCCAGTGGGTCCATCTGTTTAGGGGGTGAGGAAGGGGACACAGGCCCTGACACAATGTGGGGCTGTGCCAAGCTTGGTGGTCTTGCACGGGCACTGAGTGGGTGGGCCCTGGAGAGAGGGGAGGTCATTCCCCCAGGGAACCCCCCAGGCCACAGGGAAGAGGTCAGCTGGGTGCATGAGGTGGAGGGTGGAGATGCATAAAGGGTGGGACGGGGCCTGCTGTTCTATCAGCAAAACCCCTCACACCCGAAGGACACACAGGGCGAGGGCATTGTATTCACTGACCTCACACTTCACTGTCCATTAGCGTTCACCCACAAAATAATAGAACACCCTGAGAGAGGCACAGGAATGCATTACTCGCATTTTTATGACAGCTGAATGGAGGAAATTTCTAAGCAGGTTCAGAGAAAGGATATCAAGCTGTGTTTGGAGAAAGGGGTGGGAATTCTAAACAATATCTGTGGAAGCAGGACATCTAGAACCACAGATGTATTCAGAAAAATGCTAGATCTCAGTACTACTCTAGAATACCAGCAGTTTTCTGTTGATGGTATGGGAAGGGTGATATCTTCCGTTGGTGGGCTTTGCCTTTGACATTCTCTGTGACATATCTACACTGCATTTTAAACGTCAATATTATTGTGAATTGTAAGTTAAAATAAAATGTTATCTCATTCAGTTATTTATACATTTAACTTCCATTTTCCTTTACAACAACTTAGCGACACACCTAGCCCTGTTTTCCACCCAGACCAGCCTGTGCTGCTACAAGCCTGGTTTCTCTTCCTCATCATGACTTACTCAGCTTCCCTTCCTGTTTCAGTTCAAGAAAATGTGGGGGCAAGAAGAAAGGGGGCAGCTGCCACTCACAGAGCTCACACTAAATGACAGACAGCTTGCCCTCACGTCTACCTATTTTTCTAGTTGAATTTCATTGCTTGCAGCAATCAACCTGAGGGATTCATTTTCCCACATACGGGAAGCTCGGCCCCAGGTAGGGGGATTTGCTTGGTGGGGGATTTGAACCCAAGTCCCTCTCACTGCAAAGCCCACAGCACCCCTGTAAGGAACAGACAGGGAACAGGGAGTAGCCCTGGATCACCCTAAACTGACTTCGGGTTTAGAGAAGGACTGATTACCTGGGGAATGAGGAAGCTTATTGCTCTGGAGCTCTCTTCTGGAGAAATGTCATGAACGTGCCCTGTAAGGAGCTGGTGGCAACTTCCGTTAATTCCGGGACCAGCGACCTCAGGTCAAGAGCCAGATGCTCATTCATGTCTCTCCAGGCCAGAGGTTCTGGCCAAGTTTGGGCTCCCAGAGGAGTCTAAGAAAATGTGGAAGGCACCAATGTGTGTTTTTGAAGATTTATTTCAGAGTGAACATCAGCGACCTACAAGAACCTGGGATAGAAGCCAATGCCTCCCCTTTCCCTGTGACGTGAGACAGGACCATGTGCCTCCTGTGGACTTCAAGAAATGTGGACTTGAGCTTTGCCATCCCTTCGCCTGATCCTATTTCATAGATTTTGCTGTTATATTCTCTGTATCTTTACAGGGATCGGGAGGCTGAATTAGTCTTATTCAGGGTTAGTAACTGTCTCTTCCTAACCGGTGGTGGTCCTGATAAGTTTGCACATTTGTGGCTGTCCCAAAGAGCAGTGCAATTATGAAGGTGTAAATACGACCAAAGACCACTCTCAGATACATCTCTGATTGTTGGCTTTGTCTGAGAGAACATGTTCTTTTTGGAGGTGGCCCGCTGTCGACACTCCCACCAGCACCTCTTCTTAGGCACAGTGGAGGATCCCAGCCTATATGGCAATGGCAGTTCCTTCTGTTGTTGCAGACCCCTCTATGACTGCACTTCTCAAGGCGACAGTCGTAGCCCAGTGAAGTGATAGTTGCATTGCACCGGGTGTTATTACAGAAGTTTCCATGAACACAAGGAGTGCCATCTATCACACGCCCAACCTCAGTCATGTCTGTTGCATGGTGTTCATCCAGTCTAAAACACTGAAACCCTCCTCTCACTGAGTGATGGAATGAAACATGTTCCTGCAGCTGGGGAAGATGGGTCACATTGGTACACTGCAGTCCTCCACAAAACTTATCTATTCCTGTACAAGCCTGGTAGCTGAGATATGTTTGTTGTCTAATACAATGTCCAAATCGGTAGCTTTCAAGATTTATGTCATAGCAGACCTCAGGAGCATCCTCAGCACTGACACCAAACATCGCCTTGCAGAGCACATTGCGGTCAGTGCAGTTCCCATGATAACAGTAGCCTTCTTCCATGCACAGGGTTCCATCTTGCATATAAAAGTTTGCTGGGCATGTCACGGTGGTCCCGTGACAGTACTCTGGAAGGTCACATATATTTTGGATAGGTCTGCAGAGAGTCCCTGGTGGGGAGAAGCTGAAGTTTGTACAGCACTCTCCTATATGACAGGTGCTCCCCGGTGTTAAGTGACAGTCACTTTGGCAGCAATAACTGGCATAACACTGCTTGAAGGAGCCACAGTCACATTCCTCCCTCCCCTCCACTATGAGGTTTCCACAGCGAACCATTGTCATGGTTTCGTTATACACAGGAGAAAGTGTTTTGAAAACACACCGGCCTGGACGTATAAAACAATTTCGTGCATGTCCATAAGAACAGTTACTGAATGCATCTGTCATCCCAGGAAATCTCTGCATAATGCAGGAGGCCCTTCTTTAACATGTGCAGTAGTTATCATCATACTCCAGACCAATACTTCTCATCTGTGTCTGGGTTATTATGATGGCTACCAATAAATAATGTCTGCCTAGAGTACCAATGTGTAATAGGCCTAAATGTGTACAGAAGCTATACCTTTCAGGTTCATAGTTGGATTCATGTGGTGCGTCTTTAATAAGTAGTGTGGATGAATGAACATGAAAAGTATCAGAAAAGGTTGTTTTAAAATAGGTAAACATTGCACTCTGAATTCGATATTGATTCACAGGGGCTGGGTCACGATTATTATATATGGTCAAAAGATAAATGTAGTACCACAGATCAATATTTTGAACAATGCTGTCAATGAGACTGAACATCTGGACCACCTCTTTGGAACAGGTGGTAATATTGCCATATATATGATAATATGAATTGGAACATTGAACGTGGCCTTTTATATTGCCTCTATGAGAACTATACAGCGAATTAGATATCCTGGGATTCATGCTGTTATTTGCTTCAGAGAACAGGGGGTCTGTCTCCTCATTGTCACCATCTCTAAATGTGGGCACCGTTGCATTGGGCTCAGCCACTATCTGAGAAACAACATGTTCAAACCTGCGGGAATCCTGGAGGGGTTTGATTTCGTAGGCAAGGTCGTCCAGCTTCATGATGCCTCTGAGGCCCCCATAGCACGTGTCGATGGTGACCATGGACTGAGGCACCTCCTCCAGGTAGCCGAGGTAGTAGCAGTCTGGTGGAATGTAGGGGCCATCCATCGGCAAGGCTCCTTGGTCATCCTGAGTTGTCACCAGCAGATGTCTGGGCCAAAGAAGGTGTTTCCTCCGCATGTGAATGACGTGTCTTTGACCCCCAAAACGCAGGCTGTGGGACAGCCAGCCGGGAAACTGAAGGCCTTTGCCGTGGTGCGTCTCCTTCCTGGGAATCACCACCTCGGAGGAGGCGTAGTGCCACAAGGGACGGCCTTGAGAACACCGGACTGGAGCCAGGAGCGCCCAGAGCCCCAGCAGCAAGAGGGGGGCCCTAAGGGTGACCCGCACCTCTGCCTGCCTCATGTCCCAGCCCAGCAATAATTACCCAACGACAATGGGAAAGGAAAGGACTGTCCTCGGTGAAGCCAGGCCCCAACCAGCTGCGGTGGCTGCGTCCCTCCCAGGGAGACCCTGACAGAGAACAAAGGGCCTCCCCAGGCTCCCGCACCACACCGCGGGGCACCTGGACTCTGGGAGGGAATGAGGTAACAGTCCCAGGGAGGGGCAGGAGGTGGGTCTGGACAGGACGGCAGCTGCTGCACTGCGGGATGAGGCTGAGGGTCACGGCTGTGAGGGCTCATTGGGAAGGGAAAAGGGAGAGGGAAGCAGGGCTGTCTCTTTTACCACCGTCAATCTTTTCTGTTGCTTTCTGAATCTACAAAATGCAATGATGTGTGTTCAATGCCCTCGCATCACCCGTGTTATTCTCGGTCACTCTGTGGGTTAATATGCTCCTTTCTGTGGCTTACACTGCTTACTCCTTTGTCATGTGGAGGTGGGCACTGCCAATATTTTCCTTGGGGACTGAATGTTTTTCTACTCTTAATAAGTACCCATGTCTTATTCTTTTTGTTGTTGTATTGTTTTGTTGTGGCTTTGAAGTTTTGTTTGAAGTTACCAGATTGTGAAAGGAAAATATCTTGGGCCCCATCAAGCTGAGAACCACTCAGGGCAAATCTGCCTCCCAGTCTATTTAAAGTTGTCCCTCTGCTCACAGAGACAGATGAATATTCTCATGACCTCCTTTGCGAACACTTATCAGAAACTCAAAAGAATGCAACCATCTGTCTCTCACCTACCTGTGACCTGGAAGCCCTAAGTGGGGAGGACTTGCTTTGAGTTGTCTCAGCCTTTCTGGATGGAACTAGTGTCCTTCTTACTTATATTGATTGATGTCTCATGTGTCCCTGAAATGCCTAAATCAAGATGTGCCCGACCACCTTGAATCCACAGTTCCTGGATTCACAAGATCAACAGTTGATATAGGGTAACTTTTTCTTCTGTGCTATGTAAAACCCTTGTGAATTATGATACTTTTTACTTAGTCCATCTATTGGGAGCAGACACTATTCCTGACCCCATGAGAGCCCCAGGTGCTGTCCCTCCGATGCTTCTGTGTGGTTCTCTCCTGGTCTTTGGTCATTTCTTCAGATGCAGGAGCTGATCAGCTCTCAGGGAAGGACAGAGGGGGCCCTCTCCGGGTGTCTCATGTCTGAGAACTAACGTTTCACATATTTCTGCTGATTCTGTCATTGCTTATGAGGGGAGGGAAAATCCAATGCCAGATCATAATCAGAAACACAAATTACTGTTTCCTCAAAAGTGTAAATATTTCCCTTTCCTGGCGAATGTGGTCACTCCATTTAAACTTAACATGACCATAGTGTGTTTCGAAGGCTGCGTTGTGTGGCACTTTGTGTTCCAATGCCCCGTACTCCCATCTTCCACCGCTTCAAATCCTGCCTTTTTACCACAAATGTACGATTACTAATGAAGCTGGTTTCCCCTCTACGAGCGTGCAGGTTGGACGCCCTTTCCCTACCCCTTTAGGGTTTTCACAGGGAGCAGAAGGAAAATATTTGACATCCCTGAAGGAGGCTGCTAGGGTAGACTGTGTCCCTCCTAAATTTTTGTGCTGAAGTCCCAACCCTTGGTCCTTCAGAATGAAATCATACTTGGATCAGTGTCTTTTAAAGAGGTGAATAAGTTAAAGTGAGATTCCTGGAGTGGGGCCCTAATGCAATCTGACTGTTGTTATAAGAAGGGGAAGCAGGAGGGAGGGTGCACACGCCCTGAGGGACGGCCATGTTACCACAGAACAGCGAGAAGGCGCCATCTGCACACCAGGGAGTGAGACTTCAGAGGAAACCCACCCAGCTGGCAGCTTGATCTTAGGCTTTCATCCTCCATAAGTGTGAGGAAATTGGTTTTGTATTGTAAGCCATCCAATCTGTGGTATTTCATTATAAAAGCCCTATAAAATGAATACAGTAGGTAATAGGAGATCTTCTAAAAATTGAAAAAGTCGGATGGCCAGACAAACCTAGACACTCCTGTTCAGACCTGAGCAGGGTGATGGACCTGCTATGGGACAGGAGAGGGGAAGAGATGAACCCAGCACCCAGACCCAGCTGAGCCCATTCCTCAGCAGGCTGTCCCTGGGCCGGAGCTTGCACTGGTGTGAAAGAGTGTGTCTTGGTCTTCAGGGGCTCATGGAGTTGGACAGAGAATGGTGTAAACTCTTGCTTACACAAAAGAACAAGTCATCGGTGTGCCCGTGTTTATGTGAATGGGATGTGTTTCTAGGGTGTGCTCATCCCCAAAGAAAAATTAATCAGGTCTCTTGGGCTAGAAAGAGGTTGTGGCATTTGTGTGTATTAATAACTGCGGTCGGACAGTAAATTATGTTAAAATGCTTATGGGAAGGCACAATGGAAAGAAACAGTTTGTTACAGAAGGAAAAAAATGGTGATTATTTAAATGAGATGCCTTTGAAAGTCACCATGCCAAGAAAGCTGATCACATGATAGTGTTGGGTTTCATGTTCAGGAGATCAGGAGGGTCCATTTGCTGGCTTTTACGATACCTAGACAGAGCTGAGAGTATAATGTGTGAATGGAGGGGACGTGGAGAAAGGGGAGGCCAAATGTTTGATGGGAATGGAGGGTCACTATTGGAGCCATTAGGAAATACACAAGCATGATTTGTGCTGAAGCACAGAACAGTGTTCCTGGGGAATATTGTGTTGCTTTGGCAGCTGCTGAACATACAGAAGTTTCACTGTTCTTAGTTCTCAAATTCTCTAGACTCTCTTGGCAGCCCAGTTTTAAATATTGGGAATATAGGTAAGACACATTCGTTATTAAAAATTATTAAGAGAAGATGTAGGAAGAAGTTTAAAGTAATCCATTTAGGTTATGAAAATTTAGTTGCGGCGAACTGTGATGTCCATTTCTTACTTGGAATAATGGAATGTAAGTCATTAGTCATCTCAATGGTTCATTTTTCCATAACCATCAATTACAAAACTGCTGCGTAATTTCCTGAATTGCCCGCCATAGAAGCTGACCTCACATTTTCTCAGTGAGAAACTGCCAGTCCCGTTGATCCAGCCTCGTTCTTCCCATAGGGGATTTTGTATCTCTGTGGACATGTGGTACAGTGCTGCATATCCATTGGCATATGGCCTCGGGAAAGGTTCCAGCCTATCCATGCACGATGAAGCTTACTTAAGGGATGAAGCCGGAATGCTGGGTGTGCCAGTGCCGACAGCCGAAAGAATCAACTGCCTGGTGTATGATGCTTTTATGAAAACAAGCCCAGGGCCTCTTGCTTTCTTCTGTATTAGATTCTCTGGTGAATATTTTTATTCATCTCTGCCAGAAATTGCCACATATAATTACCTAGAAGCATTACAATAAACTGATTTGGAAGTTAACTGACTTCCTGGTGAGGTTAAAATGAGTGTCAGGTGCATAGTGAGACAGACCGGAGACATGGGTGCATAGCAAACTTGTGCTCACCATGGTTTCTATCTTAGTTAGGGAAACTTCTGTACCTTCCTTAGATGTTCAGGCACTCCATTGAGGACCCTGACATAACATTATTTATTGACAGACCATAGCCCAAAGTATAGAACTGGATATTACCAAGGAGGATATACTATTACTATTTTATCTTTATCTTAAAATACACTCTTCCAACTGAGGTGAAAATTAATCCAGATGGTAGAACTTATTGCAGTTACTACAGCATTTTAGGAAATCAAAAGCTGCAGAACAAACATATGGACAGATGGCAGGTATGTTTTTGGAATCATAAACAACTTCGTGGTGATTGTAAAACCAAGGGGTGTCTCACAAGGGCTGGAAACCTCTCAAAATGAAACAACACACTGAGGATCTTTGAGAAGTACTCTGACCTCCAAGTGAGCTGGCTGATATGGAGGCTGAGCTACATGTAGAAAGCCAAAGGAATTTCTGCAGGACATCATCATGCCAAGCACAGCCGTAACCTGGGTTCCAGCCCTTTTCACACGCTCAACGGTTGGATCTTGGGAGGAAATCAAAGAAGCCATTGTAAAATATCAAAATTTAAACCCTGATTTTGAATTTAAAAAGTGTTAAAATATGGTTGTGGCCTACACTCAGAAAATCTGTGTCCTTCAGATGGTTTCTCGGTGGCACCAGATGGTTTCAAGTGGCTATTCATTAGGTTTCTCAGTGAAATTACCAGATATAGAATAAATAAATTGTCACTGTCTTAAATCAACCCATGGGAAAGGAAAACTGTATAAAGACAGCAGAGAGGAAACATTGTCCACACCAAGGAAAAAACAATCTCCAGAAACTGTTGTTGAAGAAACAGAGGCATCACACTTACTAGAAAAATATATTGTATTTCATATATTATGGGCATACAACGTGATGTTTTGATATATGCGTGCATTGTGAAATTATTAAATCAAGTAAATAAACATGTCTGTCACCTCACATACTGCTTTTTTTATGGTGTAAATGTGTAAAATCTACTCTCTTATCAGTTTTCAAGTATATATAGTACATTAGTATCACTGAGGTCTGACCATGGTGTGCAATAGATCTTCAAACGAATTCCTTCTGTCTAACCAAAACTCTGTACCCTTTCACCAGGGCCTCAGCTTTTACATCCTCCTAACGCCAGCTCCTGGTAGGCAACATTCTACTCTCTACTTCTCTGAGTTCAACATTTTTAGATTGCATGTGTAAGTGAGATCATGGAGTAATTTTTATACCAGGCTTATTTCACTCAACATAAAGACATTTAAATGCTCAACATCACTCACTAATCATCAGGGAAATGCAAATTAAAACTGGGATGAGATATCACCTCACACATCTTACAATGGCTTAGTCTGAGTCTGTTTTTGTGTTGCTATAACAGAATACCAGAGACTGGGCATTTCTTTTTTTTGAGACAGAGCCTCGCTCTGTTTCCCAGGCTGAAGGGCAGTGGCATGATCTCCGTTCACTGCCAGCTCCGTCTCCCGGGTTCACCCCATTCTCCTGCCTCAGCCTCCCGAGTAGCTGGGACTACAGGCACCCACAACATGGAGACTGGGCAATTTTTAAAGAAAAGGAATTTATACTTAATGGTACTTGAGTCAGAGAAGCCCAATATCAAGGGGCTGGCATCTGAAAAAGGCCTTCTCACTGCATCATCTAACAGCAGAGGAGGATGAGCAAGAGACCACTTGTCTGTGAGAAAAAAAGAGGCCATCTTTTATTAGAAACTCGCTCCTGTAATAACTAGCCCACTCCCATGATAGTGACAGTAATCCATTCATGAGGACAGAGACTTCATGACCTGATCACATAATAAAGTCCCACCTCTCAACACTGTTGCATTAAAGATTTTTTCCAAATCATAAACTTTGGGTGACACATTTAAACCATAGCATTCCATTCCTAATACTAAAATGTATGTCCCAATTACAATGTAAACTACATACATTCCATCCCAACTGTCTTCAAAGTCTTAACTCATCCAGCATCAATGCAAAAGTATGAAGTCCAAAGTCTCATCTAAATCAGATATGAGTGACACTGAAGGCACAATTTAGTCTGATATAAATTGTTTCCATCTGTGAGCCTATAAAATCAAAATAAGTTATCTACTTTCAAATACAGTGAATGATGAGGCAGGTATGGGATAGAAATTCCCATTTCAAAGCTCAGAGAGAGGCAAGGAGAAGGGGTGCATAGTCCAAAACCCAACATGGGAAACAACATTAAGCCTTAAACCTGGAAAAAATCCTCCTTGACTGCATCCTGTGCACACTGGGGAGGGGGATGGGCCCCCAAGGCCTCCAGCAGTCTTGCCTCTATGGATTTTCTGGGTTCAGTCCACTCAGCCTCTCTCACAGGTGGGACTGTCAAGCCTCTAGCTCTCCTAGGTGGACTGGATACCCTTTGTGGTGCCTCCAAACCCATATTTCTGCTTGGCATTGTGCTGAGGGCTCAGTGTGGTGACTCTGTCTCTGCAACAACTCACTGCCCGAGACCTTAGGCTGTCCACAGCATTCTTTGAAATCTACGTGGAGAAAGCCATGCCCTCGTGGTTCTTCTATTCTGCACACCTGCAGAATTAACAACACATGGATGCCATGGAAGTTGATGACTTGTACCATTGAAGTGATGGCTTGAGCCACACCTAGGTCCTCCTGAGCCACAGCATGGGCAGCCAAGGAGTGCTGTGCCTGGACACAGGGAACGGAGTCCTAAAGTGCCTGCTAGAAGTGAGGCCATAGATTTGCTTCAAATTTCTTCCATCATATATCCTCGTTTATGGCTCTGAACTTCCACTTTACAGAAAGACCTAGGGATGAGCACAATTCAGCCACATTCTTTGCCACTTTATGGCAAGGATGGCCTTTGCTCCATTTTCTGATGAGCTATTCTTCTTTTTCTCCTGAGACGTCATCAGAACGGCCTTTATTGTCCATGGTTCTACCAACATTCTAATGGTCATCACTTGAATAATCTCTAAGAAGTTTCAGAATTTCCTCACAACTCTCTTCTTCTGAGTCCTCAAAAGAATCACCTCTAGTGTTCTATTCAGGGCAATCTAGACTTTTTATAGTCTGATCCTCCAAATTATTCCAGACTTTGTGCATTACTACATCCACTTCTACATTTTGGAGTATTTGTAATCACAAAAGCCCCACCTCTTGATACTGATTTTTTTGTCTTAGTCCACTTTGTGGTGCAATGAGGCAATACCACAGACTGACTAAGTATAAGTAAAAGAAATTTGTGTTCTCACAGTTCTAGAGCCTGGGAAGTCCAATATCAAGGTGCTAGCATCTTGCAGGGGCCTTCTTGCTGTGACACCTATGTGGGAGGCAGGAAAGCATGTGCGAAGGAGAGAAATGGGGCTAAATTCATCTTCTAATGAGGACCCCAGGCCTGTAGTAACTAATCTACTCCCTCTATGAGTAACCCACTCTGCCAATAATGGCATTAATTGCTTCATGAGGGCAGAGCCCTCATGACCTAATCATTCCTGAAAGTTCTTACCTCTGGACACTATGGAATTTGGGATTAAGTTTCCAATATACATTCTTTCTAAATAGCCAGAGCTTTTTAATAGGTTTACCACCCAAGGCTACATGAGGCTGTGAAGCAGTGGCCTGAGGGTGACTGTCCTTTGTGAGAATGGAGAGGAGTGAACTGACTCATGGAGACACAAGTAGATGAAGTAAAGGGACTCATTGCTTCATTACATGGATAGTGAGGGTGACTGAAGGCATTAACGGATTAATCGTGGTGGCAAAACCATCTGAGGTGGACACCACGGGGAGCCAACCAGAAAAAGAGGACACATCCCATTAAATGGTGCTTCATCTCCTTGCAAAACCAATGAAAGAAAGCGAAACACAACGCCATAGTGTATACCAGACAGTGGATTGAGGGAAGAGTTTCCTAAGTCGTAATCGACAAAGTGGAGAAAACATACAAATCTTTGCACGGTGCTAACATTTGGACTGTGGCTTCATTGTTTCTTATTAACATTTTAGTGAAATATTGCTAGAAGGAGACTGAAAATGAAGTATGAAAAGTTAAATGGGATTTCTGTTCCAAGTTAGTCCTTTTCAGATGAGAGGAACTAAGAAGTTACAGGGAAGAAACAATAATATCTGCTGAGCAAGATTTTTGCAGGGCAGGCCAAGGAATTACCAAGGAGAAAAAGGAAATGTCAGCTTCACCTTGCATCTGCTCCCGAGCCAGGTCCTGAGCACCCCCTGCTGGCGCTGATCGTCCCCTGGTGTCTGATCCCCTCTGGTTCCCTCAGCTTCCCTGGTGGTGTCTGAGCCACTCTACTGGTGTCTGAGCCCCTCTGCCTGCCCTCAGCTCCCCCTCGTGGTCTGAGCCACCCTGGTGGTGTCTGAACCCCGCTTGTGATGTCCTGAGCCCCTCTATTAGTGTCTGAGCCCTACTGGTGGGTCCTGAGCCCCTTTGGTGGTGTCTGAGCCCCCTGGTTTTGACCCCCCCCTTCTGCATCCTGAGCCCTCCTGGTAGTGTCTGAGTGTTATTTTCACCATACACTCAAATAAGATTGAGCAGTGATTCTTTCATCTGTGGTGGTCATTCCAAGTGATCTGTCCAGGGCACATGGGGACTCTATCCCTAGGACCACTTGTCCCCACAGAAGGAGAAACCACAGTAGCAGCACCAAGGGTAGGTCACAGCATTGTCACCAGGAGTCCCCATATTCTTCTCCCAGACGCAGTGAACCTTGTCACCCTCTTCCCACACTCCACAGGGGGTGTACAAAGAGGCATCTTGCATTGACCTGACCCTGGGATGTTATGGAAAAGGAGACAGCCTGAGCTCATGACTCCTGGAATTACATGCTCCAGTCTTGGCTATATACAGACCTGCAATTCTTTTCCTTTTACTCAGGCACTTTGCCTTCTGGTTGAGGACAGTGTTCTACAGCCCTCCACAGTGTGCTAGAGCTGACTAGAGTCGAATAGCCACTTTCTTTGTGCAAGTTTCCTTTCTGTGACTTTACTGGATTTCAATGGTAGTAAGCGTTCATCCAGACAGATTCCAAGACAGTGTCCACATGAAAGGAAAACAAAGGCTGATGGGCAGAGACGCCCTGAGCATCCAGTCCCAGGGTACCTTTGCCAGCTGCCCTTCCAAACATCCAGAGGCAGGGAAGGGAGGAGCCCTGCTGAGCAGTGCACACATGTCCGCAGAGAGAATGTCACAGAAATGCAGCTCTGCTCCCGCTCATGAGAAGCAGCTCATCCGCTGTCCTGCAGGCCCTGGTGAGGAGCCAGCCCATGTTTGGGTCCCTCCTCAGCATCCCCACCATGGAGCCTGTGCCTGCTCATCACTGTTGAGGGAGCATCCCTCCTGCAGCAGGCTCACTTGTGGCTGCCCCACACAGGGCTGCTCTCAGTGTGTTTTCTCTGTGCTTCCAGGACTCCCTTGTGAACTTCAGCTTGGGGAGGTCGAGGACACATGAGGCTGCCCTGGGCATTCTCTGAGCCTTCTGCAAAGACTCTGGTTTCACCTTCGCTAACAATAGCTTGAGCTGTGTCCAGCAGACTGGAGTGGGTGGCACAAGTGTGTAATCCAGCTGGAAAAAATCAGTACTATTCTCCATCAGACAAGGAAGAACTCAAAAGAATTCTTGCTGTTTAACAGGGAGCTGAGCAAGAGTAAGGTGTAGAAAGCTTACTTAAAGAAATAATAACAGATAAATTTCCAAAACTTGAGAAAGATATAAATATCCAGGTACAGGAAGGCATGACAACACCAAACAGAATCAACAAAAATAAGACTACTACAAGACATATACTAATCACACTTTCAAAGACAAGGACAAAAAATGGATCCTAAAACCAGCAAGAGGAAAGAAACAAATAACATATGAAGGCATTCCAATTCCTCTGGCAACAGGCTTCTCAATGCAAATTACACAGGCCAGGAGGGAATGGATTGACATTTTTTAAGTGCTCAAAAGAAAAAAAAACCTGCCATCCAAGAATATATTCTTCAGCAAATTACCCCTCCAATTGAAAGGAGAGATAAAGACTTTCCTAAACAGAAAAAAGATGAGAGGATTCACCACCCTCAGGCCCATCTTACAAGAAATGCTAAAGGGAGTTCTTAAATCTCAAAGAAAAAAATGCTAAAGAATAAAACAAAACTTTTATAAATATAAAACCCACTGGTAAAATTAGGTACATGGAGAAACCCAGGGGATGGAGTCAAAATGTAGAATTTTTCTGTGTCTTTTTTGCCTTTGCTTGTTTCTGTTCTTTCATTTGAGTTGTCATCTCCTTTAAATAACTTCTCATATCTATAAGGTGTTTCTTTTAAGACTCATGATGACCACAGCACAAAAACCTATAACTGATTCACTAAAAATCAGAAGCAACAAATTCTACTGAAGAAAATCACTGAACCACAAAAACAAGAAAAAGAAAGAAAGAAAGAAAGAAGGAAGGAAGGAAGGAAGGAAGGAAGGAAGGAGGAAGGAAGGAAGGAAGGAAGGAAGGAAGAAAGAAAGAAAGAAAGAAAGAAAGAAAGAAAGAAAGAAAGAAAGAAAGAGGGAGGGAGGGAAGAAGGAAGGAAGGAAGGAAGGAAGGAAGGGAGACAGGAGTCTCAAAACTGCCAGAAAATGGGCAACAAAATGGCAGTGGTTGCTCCTTCCTTCTCTTTTCCCCCAACTAGACGGCATCGCTCCTCACACTATGCTACCTGGCGTTGGGACAGGAGTGACACAGGTCATGCTGAACTGTTGTTCTTATTCTCTTCAATGTGTCGTTTCTTACTTTTAGGCTGTAACCAGGTATGGGGATCTCTCACTTGGCTTCCTTAGCTCTTGTGAAGGATTTTTGGACGTGGATAGTTGTTCAGATTAATGTTCCGGCAGGGAACCATCACTGGAGAGTCCTATTCCGCCATCTTGCTCCTGGATGATCACTCAAGACTGTCAGACTAAAGGACACACATACACTGAAACTGAAAAGAAGGAATGAAAGAAGACATTTCACGTAAATGTTAACCAAAAGAGAGTGAGGTGGGAGTATCTACATATATATCAGAAAAAAATAGATTTTAAGTAAAAAGCTCTCACAAAAGACAAAGATCTTTGTCTTATATAATTATTATATGTGATACAAAGTTTCACTTATCAGAAAGATACAGTTATGCACACACACACATGCATCCAACATCAAAGTACCTAGACATATAAAACTATCATTTACAGATCAGAGAGGAGACACAGAAAGCAATACAATACAATTAGGAGATTTCAACACCCCACGTTCATCAATAGATAGAACATACAGACAGAAAATCAGTAGGGAAACAGCAGACCTGAATAGCACTAGAGACCAAATTGACCTAACAGATAGATACAGAACATTCAATTCAAGTCCAGCAGAGCATGCATTCTCCCCAAATGCACAGGGAACATTCTTCAGGATAGATCACGTGCTAGGTACTACACATGACCTTAGCCAAAAGGCTGAGGAATGATTACCTCACATGTTAGGTCACAAAGAAGACTCAACAAAATTAAGAAGACTGAATCGCATCAAGTATCATTTCTGACAATGGATTGAAACTAGAAATCACTAATAGGGAAAAAGTTGAAAATTTACAAAGAAGTATAAGCTAAGCAAACTTAAAAGATAATGTAGAAAATATTTTGAAATAAATGACAGTGAAAACGCACTACATTGAAACATGGGATACTGCAAAAGCAGTACTAAGAGGGAAATTCATAATGATGCCCACCTACATTAAAAGAGAAGAAAGGGGCTGGACATGGTGGCTCTCACCTGTAATCCTAGCACTTTGAGAGGCTGAGGTTGGTGGATAATTTGAGGTCAGGAGCTCAAGACCAGCCTGGCCAACATGGTGAAGCCCTGTCTCTACTAAAAATACAAAAATACAAAAATTACCTGGGTGTGGTGACTCATGCCTATAATCCAAACTACTCAGGAGGTGGAGGTTGTGGTGAGCCGACATTGCACCACTGCACTCGATGTTTATTGCGGCACTATTCACAACAGCAAAGACTTGGAACCAACCCAAATGTCCAACAATGATAGACTGGCTTAAGAAAATGTGGCACATATACACCATGGAATACTATGCAGCCATAGAAAAGGATGAGTTCATGTCCTTTGTAGGGACATGGATGAAGCTGGAAACCATCATTCTCAGCAAACTATCACAAGGATAAAAAACCAAAAACCGCATGTTCTCACTCATGGGTGGGAATTGAACAATGAGAACACTTGGACATAGGGTGGGGAACATCACACACCAGGGCCTGTCATGGGGTGGGGGGAGGGGGGAGGGATAGCCTTAGGAGATATACCTAATGTAAATGACGAGTTAATGGGTGCAGCACACCAATATGGTGCATGTATACATTTGTAACAAACCTGCACGTTGTGCACATGTACCCTAGAACTTAAAGTATAAAAAAAAGAGTTTGAAAAAAATAATAGAAAAATAAAAAAAAAGAAGAGAAAGAACCTAAATTAATCTTATTAATCTTACACCTCCGGATTTAGAGAAAGAATAAGTAAGTCCTAAGTTAGAATGAAATAATAAAGATTAGAGTAGAAATTAATGAAATACAAAACAGAAAAATAATAGGAAAAATCAACAAACTAAGGGCTTTTGAAAAAAAAGACAAAATTGACAAAACTTTAGCTAGACTACAAAAAAAGAATACTCAAATAAATAGCATCAGAACTGATCAAGGAGACATTACAACTGATGCTACAGAAATAAAAATGATCATGATGTGATATGATCTGGATCTGTGTCCCCAACCAAATGTCATGTTCAGTTGTAATCCTCAGTGTTGGAGGTTGGGGCTCAGCGGGAGGTGATTGGATCATGGAGAAGGTTGGTTTCTCATGGTTTAACACCATACCCCTTGGTGCTGTCGTCCGATAGTGAGTTCTCCTGAGATCTGGTTGTTTAAAAGCATGTAGCGTGGCCGGATGCGGTGGTTCACGCCTGTAATCCCAGCACTCTGGGAGGCCGTGGTGGGCGGATCGCGAGGTCAGGAGGAGACCATCCTGGCTAACACGGTGAAACCCTGTCTCCACGAAGAAATACAAAAAATTAGCCAGGCGTGGTGGGGAGTGCCTGTAGTCCCAGCTAGTCAGGAGGCTGAGGCAGGAGAATGGCGTGAAGCCGGTAGGCGGAGTTTGCAGTGAGCTGAAATCGTGCCACTGCACTCCAGCCTGGGCCACAGAGTGAGACTGTGTCTAAAAAATAAATAAATAAATAATAGAAAAAAATAAAATAAATAAATAAATAATAGAAAAAATAAATAATTAATTAAATAATAGAAAAAATAAATAAATAAATAAAGCATGCAGCACCTCCGGTTCTCTCTCTTGCTCCTGCTTCAGCCATGGAAGAGGTTCTCCTTTACCTTCCACCGTGACTGAGTTTCCTGAGGCCTCCCCAGATGCAGATCTTGCCATGCTTTCTGTACAGCCTGCAGAACTTCTTTTTTTTTTTTCATAAATTACCCTGACTCAGGTATTTATAGTAGGGCAAAAACAGACTCATACATGGAGACGACTATAAATCATTATTGAATAAACACCAACACATTGGATAACCTAGAAGAAATGGGTAAATTCCTCAAAACATACATTCTACCAAGACTGAATCATAAAGAAATAGAAAACCTGAAGAGACCAAAAATGAACAAGGAGATTGAAACAGCAATCAAAAATCTCCCAATCAAGAAGATTTGAAAATCAAGTTCAAGTGGTTTCTCCAGTGAATTCTACCAAATGTTTAAAGAAGAACTAAAACTAATAACTCTAAACTCTCCTAGAAAGTTAAAGGAACACTTTCAAAATATTTTTATGTGAGCACTCTCAGTCTGATACCAAAGACAGGCAAAGGCCATTTAAGAAAAGAGAACTACAGTTCATATCCCTAATTTGTATAGGTACAAAATTCAACAAAACCCAGCAAATCAAATTCAACAGCACAATAAAAGGAACCTATCCCACCACCAGAAATGCATGATAAAGTGGGATACATCTCTGAGATGTTCCTGTTTGAAACACAAAATCAAACATCTTTGTAGTAACTCTAAGAGCTGTAGCCTGGCCTGGCACAGTGGCTCAAACCTGTAATCCCAGCACTTTGGGAGGCCAGCGTGGGCGGATCACCTGAAGTCGGGAGTTCGAGACCAGCCTGACCAACATGGAGAAACCCTGTCTCTACTAAAAATACAACATTGGCAGAGTGTGGTGGTGCATGCCTGTAATCACAGCTACTTGGAGGGCTAAGGCAGGAGAACAGCTTGAACCAGGGAGGCTGAGGTTGCAGTGAGCAGAGATCTTGCCATTGCACTCCAGCCTGGGCAACTCCATCTCAAAAACAAACAAACAAACAAACAAACAAACAAAAACCTGTAGCCTTTTGGCAAGGAGATGCTTCAAGCCATTCTGAATGTAGTCACACCATAAATAACACATACCCAAACTCCAAGTGGATGATTCTTGGGTTAAATCGTTTTAACTGTGTTCAAAGTATTTTTGAGCTTTGGTTTCTCCCCAGGGTTACCATCACTCTTTTACCAGCACGATGTTGTTGACTGGTCACAACTGATGCAACGACAACCACAGCTGTGACTTTAAATTTTACCATCAGATGTTGATTGGAGACAATAACCAATTACCATACACCTCAAGATTCGTGGAGAAATCATGGTTTCATGGAGAAATCAAGATAACATCTACTTGAGCTCATCTGGTACCACCAAGCATGTATCTTGAGAGCTTCATAAATTACCAGAGTTAGCAAACAAATTTACAAGAAAAAAACAACGCCATCAAAAAGTGGGCGAAGGATATGAATAGACACTTCTCAAAAGAAGACATTTATGCAGCCAAAAGACACATGAAAAAATGCTCCTCATCACTAGCCATCAGAGAAATGCAGATCAAAACCACAATGAGATACCATCTCACACCAGTTAGAATGGCGATCATTAAAAAGTCAGGAAACAACAGGTGTTGGAGAGGATGTGGAGAAATAGGAACACTTTTACACTGCTGGTGGGACTGTAAACTAGTTCAACCATTGTGGAAGTCAGTGTGGCGATTCCTTAGGGATCTAGGACTAGAAATACCATTTGGCCCAGCCATCCCATTACTGGGTATATACCCAAAGGACTATAAATCATGCTGCTATAAAGACACATGCACACGTATGTTTATTGTGGCACTGTTCACAATAGCAAAGACTTGGAACCAACCTAAATGTCCAGCAATGATAGACTGGATTAAGAAAATGTGGCACATATACACCATGGAATACTATGCAGCCATAAAAAAGGATGAGTTCATGTCCTTTGTAGGGACATGGACGAGACTGGAAACCAACATTCTCAGCAAACTATCGCAAGGACAAAAAATCAAACACCACGTGTTCTCGCTCAGAGGTGGGAATTGAACAAAGAGACCACTTGGACACAGGAAGGGGAACGTCACACACTGGGGCCTGTCGTGGTGTGGGGGGAGGGGGAGGGATAGCACTAGGAGATATACCTAATGTAAATGACGAGTTAATGGGTGCAGCACACCAATGTGGCACATGTATACATATGTAACAAACCTGCACATTGTGCACATATACCCTAGAACTTAAAGTATAATAAAAATAAAAGAAAAAAGAAAAACAAAGAAATTATCAGAGTTAGTTACACAACCAGATTTTTCTATTATTTTAAATTTAAAATCAGGAGTTAAACATTCATATTCTGTAATGGCTTTCTGAATGCCTCCAGAGCTTGATCACTTGAATGTTTAAATAGGATTATAACCTAGGTTACAGCGACTAGTTTTGAATAATAATCTGCTGGAGTATGCTCTTTCACTTCCTTACTACCTAATTTGTGTGGGTGCCAATCTTCACATCAGCCAGCACAGGGAAAGGAGGTGTGTATTTAAAGGTTCCTTAACATTGTCCATCTTTTTTGGTGATGATTATGTTCTACTTGTTTTCAATGTTTTCTGCTGTGTACATTAAGAGTGTACAACATGGTGTTTAGATATACACATGCATAGTAAAAAGGTTACCACAACCTAGCAGCAAATTAACCAATCAATTTCCTTTTATGGTTACCGTTTTGTAGCAGGAGAAACTAAATTCTACTCTTTTAGCAAATGTTCAGTATACAATAAAATATAACTACAGCCTACCTGCTGCACACAAGAGCTCTTGATTTTATAACTGCAAGCTCTTTCTTGTGTAGCGTCTGCATAACTGCAAACTCTAACTTCTGTAGCTTCTGCGTGACTGCAAATGTGTTAACTTTCACCTATTTCTCCCCATTTCCTACCTCTCCACACCCCTGGTAGCCATCATTTCACTCTCTGTTTCTATGGATTTGATATTTTTAAAGATTTTACATGTAAGTGAGAACTTGCTGTATTTTTATCTTGTGTCTGGCTCATTTCACTTAGCACTACGTCCTCTGGATCTATCCATGTTGTTGTAAATGACAGTCGATCTCCTTCCTTCTTGTCCAGTATTGGGGTATGTTTCATCAAGTCTTCTTTTTCCCTGAAAACATCCCCAAATCATGCACTATTTCAACACTTACCTTCTAGATATCAGTCTCTTTGTCTATTTTTGAGACTTGGCTAGCTTACACCTTCTAGTCACTGGCTTAAATTCTACTATTCAGCGTGGGTTTACTTCAGCTGATGGTGATGGTACCTCCTTCTCCATAACATGCAGTTTCAGTTTTGAGATGTGATCCATCAGCACATATTGTGAGGCTCACATTACCAATGGGAGTCTGTAATACACCTAAGCAATATGCAGGCAGTTTCCTCACTAAGATGAGACGGGGTGAGCACAGCTTGATATTCTGCCACGCCTCCTGCCTGTCTCACTACTCACTACACACTAAATTTGAACTCACATGAAGTTCAGGTTAATGTTTCAATCTGTTTGGTTTAATTTAATTTTTACTTCAAGATTATTTCCATTATTATATGTGGCTATTTCAGTACAAATTGAAGGAAAGGCAACTTTTATTGCCTTTATTTATGAGGCTTTATTTATGGGCATGATGACAGCAGTTTTAAAAGTCACATTCCGACATAGTGATGGGCTGGATGAAGAGAGGGCATTCCCTCTGAAATGCTCTTCGGAAGGATCAGAAATGCCTCAATCGACCAACTCTCCTGTCCTCATGACTAGAGCTGTGTCACATCTTCAGAGAGACACACATCCGTGGTAGGAAGGATAAGATTACATGGATGAATCTGGCTGTTTTCTAATGTTTTGCCTGAGATGAATCCAAATATATGGGGAATGGTTATTTTTATTATTTTGGGATTTGTAAGCAATGGCTGAAAACAAGAATACTTTTTAAGATGACATTTTATTTTTGTGACATTCTGTTATTTCATTGTAGAGATTGACAATTACATTTTCTTTTTCAAAAAATAAATTGTATTATGTATATCTAAGACATACAACATGATATGGAATAAATATATACAGTAAAATGATGACTATAGTGAAATAAATTAATGCAGCCCTCAACTTACAGAGTTACCCACCTCCCCCATTTGGCAAGAACAGCTATAACCTCAGTTAGCAAAGTCCTGGATGCAATGCACCCTTATTAACTTCCTCATGTTGCACGTTGGATCTGTGGCAGCTTCCAGATGGGAAAGCCTCAAAGAGTCAGACGTGACGATATGGGGGTGCTGCATCTGAGCACACAGCTCCCTGCAATCCTCTCTGTTCCCAGGTGTCCTGTCCCAGGTGCAGCCGTAGGAGGGGCAAAGCCCTCGCAGGCAATCTCCGTGTCCCATGCTGCTTCCCGCTGCTCCGTTACCAGGGGTTACTCAGGGGGGGTGGATCCCCCGACCTGCAGGGAAAGGTTGGAATGCAATGGATTGCTCACCTCTGTTATGGAGGGAGCATATAGTTTATCCCTACCATCAAAGTTGAGTATCCATCTCCAGAGATGCATTCAGGATACATCCGGTTCTCCTTGCAGCTGAGTTTTGTGACTACTGAGGACACAGCCCTGTATGACTGTGTAAGAGACACAGAGAGGAGATCCCAGTGTGGGCCCAGACACAAACCTCACTGCAGGGGTGCCTGGGACCTGGATGGCAGGGGCCCCCAGGGCCCAGCCTCAGGGCATATGCAACCAAGGAGGGCATATGGGGAGGGAATCATCACCCAGGGTTTCCTTTCCTTAATGAACAGCATCTGAGCCATGGAACCTCTGCTTTATATCTGGGCTACGGAGTGGCCTGAGGCACCTGAGATGCAAGCACAATGGAGATGTTTAAGATTCTGTATGAGCATATGTGACATCACAGTTCTTTTTCCTCATCTCTCGGATTTCACTGAAACTGTGAAGAGAACTGTCATCCTACTGGCACTGTGTGCTGTGCAGGAAATTTCTAAAATATGGTAACCATCATGAGGGATGCCTTCGTGGCTGCACTGTGCTGGGAAGAGTCACACCAGGGAGAAATCCTGTGAGGAACCCTGGACTCCACCGGCTGTGCCCAGCACAGCTGTGAAAGACCCAGTTGATGTCCAAGAAATGAGAATGCAAACATCTGCCTCCAGCACATAGGAAATTACAGCAAACGATTCCATGTCCCGTGGTCCCTCTATCCCCAAATTCTTTCCCTTTTCCCAAAATCAAGGAGGAGAACTGGAGTTTCCAGTCCATAGCCTGAGCCAGCCACCACGTGTGTGTCCCCAGCCTTTCCCAGAGCTGCCTGAGGGGCTGGACAAGACCTGCTCCCTTCCCTCCTGCTCACACAGCTGCACAGGGGAGCTCCTGCAGGCTGTTAGCATCCCAGTTTCCAAACAGCTTTCATATCCACAGGATTCATTTCTTGCTGTTACTATTGTTATTTTGCCTGAGCATTCTCATGACTGCATCACTTGTCAGAGACACGTGCCCTGCACTGAAACCCCACTCTCTGCTTTCCACAAAGATGGAGTTCCTTAGACCTTCATCTGCTAGAAGGATCTGATGTCTTGTCCTTACACTGGCCAAGCATTGTCTGATATGCCCCAGTTGGCACACAGACATTATGGATTATTTGCACCTGTGTGGGAATGGTCTATAATTGGGACACGTGTCTAGACTCAAAGATGCCTGGATGGTCTATAATTGGGACATGTGTCTAGACTCAAAGATGGCTGGATGGTCTATAATTGGGACACGTGTCTAGACTCAAAGATGCCTGGATGGTCTATAATTTGGGACATGTGTCTAGACTCAAAGATGCCTGGATGGCCTATAATTGGGAACCGTGTCTAGACTCAAAGATGCCTGAATGGTCTATAATTGGGACACGTGTCTAGACTCAACGATGCCTGGATGGAAAAGGTGCAGGCTGCTCCACTGATGTCACCTGTTTCATCATAGTTTTATGATTTAATAAAAGTCATATTTTTTTCATTTTTGCACATCAAATTTTTTTCTGTGTTCCATATTCCTAAGCCCATCTTTGAGCTCACAGCCCTTTCCCAAGAAATCAACTTCTAGACCTCCCTCTTCTCGGGGCTCCGAGGTGATTTCTGAGTGGCATCCTCTCCACCTCCCTGCTGGGAACAGAGCCAGTCGCAGGGCTCATGGGCAGCTTTAGAATGCCTGCTACTCCGGGGTGTCCCCCTGCTTCTCACTGGAGAAGAGGCCTCTGGGGTGGTCACAGCCTCTTTCTCCACATGAATCCTGAGAGTTCTTCCTGAGCTACACAGCTGGGGGAAGACGGCCCTAAGAGACGTGAAAAGAGAGACATGGGAAGTGAGGTGTCTCAGCTCTTGTCTCCCCTGGTTGGTGTGGCCTGACCTCACCAGAGCCCCAGCCTAACCCACCTGACCTGTCCCCAGGAGCTGTACTGAGCGATGGCTGCACCTGCTCAGTTACCTGTGGGGCCCAGTGCCTCTGAGAGAGGTGCCCAGTGAGGGCTCTGCAGGGCTCCCCCCGAGCAGGAGCTGGGCTGAGGTAAATCAGCAGGAAGGAGGGGCTGCCCAGGCCCCGGGGAGGCAGGCAGCGTGGAGAGGAGACAGAGGCGCACTGGGAGGGAGCAAGCCAGTCAGGACCACCCTCTCAGCTCTGAGAAATGAGCTATGCTCACGGAATGCTCACACTGACCACTGAAAGACTTGACTATGATGATGACTCTCCCTGTGTTAGCAGGTGGGTGTAAGCACCTGCTTCCCAGGTTCAAGCCATTCTCCTGCCTCAGCCTCCTGAGTACCTGGAATTACAGGCACCTGCCACCACGCCTGGCTAATTTTTTTGTATTTTTAGTAGAGATGGGGTTTCACCGTTCACCATGGTGGTCAGGCTGGTCTCGAACTCCTGACCTCAGGTGATCCACCTGTCTCAGCCTCCCAAAGTGCTGGGATTGTAGGTGCTAGCCACTGCACCAGCCTCAACACAACTCTTTTAGGGTCAATATCTTGAGACCCACAAGGAATTTCCTTTGAGCAAATTCTGTGGGAGGTATGTAGCCTTTTATCTTTATAGTTATGTATTTAGGAAAAAAAAAAAATGAGAGACAGGTTTGTGTGACACAGTTCCCAGCTAGCCTTTTCCCTGTAGCGTAGTGAGTCTGAGATCCCAAGATTTTATTTTTCTTTTATAATATAAACATGAAATAATAAGAAATGTATATTTGTAAGATCTGAGAGCTACAGTGTAAAAGAAAATAACACAGAAAAAGAATACACACACTCGCACACACACACATACACACAAACACACATATATGGTCTCTGTCCCTGTCTCCTGGTGCACAGCTCCTGAAACCCTTGGAATCTCCCAAGTGATGTGTCTTTATGGATGCTAATGAGACGACTGATTTCTGGGGACTCCCAAAGGACTGGTGGCCAGGGGAACCAACCTCGTGATTACGGGGTTAAACTTTTCAGCCCCCTATCCCCTGATTTCCAGGGATGGGGAGGAGCTGAAGGTTGAGTTGATCACCAGTGGTCAATGATTTAATCAGTCGTGCTTATGTGGCCATCGTGGGTGGCTCATGTCTGAAATCCCAGCATTTTGGGAGGCCAAGGCGGGAAGATCACTTGAGGCCAGGAGTTTGAGACCAGCCTGGGCAACATACTGAGAATTCATCTCTACAAATAAAAAAAAAATAGCCAGGCATGGTAGTGCATGCCTGTGGTCCAGCTACTCAGGAGGCAGAGGTGGGATGATCAATTGAGTCCAGGAGATCAAGGCTGCAGCCAGCTATGATTGCAGCACTGCATGCCAGCTTGGGTGACAGAGCTAGACCCCGTCTCAAAAACAAAACAAAATGAAACGAAACAAAAAACAAACTAAAAACCAAATCATGCCTATGTCATGAAGTCATGAAACTCAGGACAGCGGCCGGGCGTAGTGGCTCATGCCTGTAATCCCTGCACTTTGGGAGGCCAAGGCAGGCAGATCACTTGAGGTCAGGAGTTTGAGACCAGCTTAGGCAACATAGTGAGATTCTGTCTCTATTTTTTTTTAATTAAAAAAAAAGATAAAGTAAACATGGGGCAGAGGAAGCAGTCAGATATGCATTTGTCCCAGGTGAGCAGAGGGATGACCTTGAGTTCTGTCCTTTGTCCTGCAAGGATAAGCTATCAATTTACATTGTCAGGGAAATTCAACAGAACTGTTCTAAGGTCAAAATCTTGAGGCCCACGAGGAATTTCTTCATGGGCAAATTGTGAGGGAAGTATGTAGCTTTTTAAAAAAATCTTTGTAGGTATCTATTTAGGAACAAAATGGGGGAGGCAGGTTTGCATGATCCAGTTTCCAGCTTGACTTTTGCTTTTGGCTTAGTGAGTTGGTGGTCCTGAGATTTCTTTGCCTTTAGCAGTCATTATTCAGGGAAGAGGGTATGGTCTTGATACTCAAAATTTCTTAGGCGAGAAATCTACCAGGGTTTGGATGAGACCATACATTGCTCATTCAGTATCTCAAACCCAGAAAGATGAGTTACTGACATTGAATGTGTGAAAGGAAAACAAACAGCTCTGTTGAATTTTTTGAATTTCATCTAAAACAGTTCTGGGTTTTGTTTTGTTTAGTTTTTGAGACAGAGTCTTGCTCTATTGCCCAGGCTAGAGTGCAATGGTGTGATCTTGGCTCACTGCAACCTCTGCCTCCTGGTTCAAGCAATTCTCCTGCCTCAGCCTCCTCAGTAGCTAGTATTACAGGCATGCACCACCATACTCGGGTAATTTTTGTATTTGTAGTAGAGACAGGGTTTCACCATATTGGCCAGGCTGGTCTCCAACTCCTAGCCTCATGCAATTCACCTACCTCAGCCTCCTAAAGAACTGGGATTACAGGCATGAGCCACCATACCCAGCCAAAACAGTTATGTTGAATCTCACCCTGACAACATAAATGAAAAACTTGTCTTCACAGGTAAGGGACAAAGGACAGATTTAAAAGTCATCCATCTGCACACTGGAGACAAAAGCATATCTGACTGTTTCCTGTAGTCTATGTGTATTTTTCTTCTGTAAAAATGCAGATTCACTGAGTGCAAGATGAATACATAATTGACTATTCCTCCACCCTTTTCTTTCCGCATGTAAAATGTGGGTTCCATGAATGCTGATCAAAGACTAAAAGGAACACAAATGCTTGGCTTTTCAATATGCTCTCCCTTCCCGCTTGTTTTTCCTTTTGCCTTCCCCTACTGGCCACTCTTTTTCCATTTACTTATTCATTCATTCATTTATTCATTTATTTATTTATTTATTTGGAGATGGAGTCTCACTCTATTGCCCAGGCTGGAGGCAATGGCATGATCTCAGCTCACTGCAACCTCCGTCTCCCAGGTTCAAGCAATTCTCCTGCCTCAGCCTCCTGAGTAGCTGAGACTACAGGCACCCGCCACCACACCTGGCTAGTTTTTGTATTTTAGTAGAGACAGGGTTTCACCAAGTTGGCCAGGCTGGTCTTGAACTCCTGACATCGTGATCTGCCCACCTCAGCCTCCCAAAGTGCTGGGATTACAGGCATGAGCCACTGCACCTGACCTATTTTTTTAAGACAGAATCTTGCTCTGTTGCTCAGGTTGGAGTGCAGTGGTGCAATCTCGGCTCACTGCAACCTCTGCCACTTGGGTTCAATCAATTCTCCTGCCTCAGTCTCCTCAGTAGCTGGGATTACAGGCATGCGCCACCACACCCAGCTAATTTTTGTATTTTTGGTAGAGACAGGGTTTCACCATATTGGCCAGGCTGGTCTCGAACTCCTGACCTCAGCTGAGGAGACTGAGACAATCCTGGTCAATATAGTAAAACCCCATCTCTACTAAAAATACAAAAATTAACTGTGCGTGGTGGCAGATGCCTGTACTCCCAGCTACTTGCCAGGCTGATGCAGGAGAATCACTTGAACCAGGGAGTCAGAGGTTTCAGTGAGCCAAGGTCACACCACTGCACTCCAGCCTGATGACAGAGCAAGACTCCGTGTCAAAAAAAAAAAAAAAAAAAAAAAAAAAAAAAAAAAAAGGGCTGGGCGCGGTGGCTCACGCCTGTAATCCCAGCACTTTGGGAGGCTGAGGTGGGCAGATCACGAGGTCAGGAGATCGAGACTGTCCTGGCTAACATGGTGAAAACCTGTCTCTACTAAAACTACAAAAAAAAATTAGCCGGGTGTGGTGGCGGGCACCTGTAGTCCCAGCTACTCGGGAGGCTGAGGCAGGAGAATGTGGCATGAACCCAGGAGGCGGAGCTTTCAGTGAGCCGAGATCATGCCACTGCACTCCAGCCTGGGTGACAGAGCGAAACTCGGTCTCAAAAAAAAAAGAGAGAGAGAGAACTTAGTGATTTTAAAGGTTTTTTTCCTTTCTTTTGATATCTAATGTTGGATTTACAACTTTGAAATGCAAAACTACATGTACAAATCTGTGAAACACAGGGCAGATGCTAGACAAAATATGCCAGAATTTCCCAGTGATTACCTCTATTGGAAAATTTCATCTCCAGACTTTTCCATACATTATGCATTTTCTACAGCAAACAAGCATTGCTTTTGTGATCATAAAATACAAGCAGACACAATCAAGACTGGGGGAGGTTTCCTGGGGGAGAGCAGCCAGGCCCAGGATGCAGGGCTCTCCTTCCTGGGACATCAGCCAGGTCAGGGCCCTTGAGGCACAGGTCTGGGCAGCTCTACCAGTGGGCATGGGCAGAGAAGGACCCAGCTGGTTGAGCCCCTGATGCAATTGAGGGCAGGCCCCTTGCCGGAGAGGGAGACAGAACAGCTGCCAAAACACAGCCTTGAGGCCAGGCTCTGTCTGGGGGTCTCGCTGCTGCTCCCCAGCCCACAGGGCTTCCAGCCGCACCAGGACAAGCTTCACTGCAAAGGCGGGAGAGGAGGGGAGGGGATGTGCCTTACCTTGGGGCGTGTGCAGTGTGGACTGTGTGTGCGTGTGCATATGCACATACATTTGTACGTTTGTGGGATACTGGTGGGTGCACAAGCTTTGTATGTGTGGACGTACATGTGTCTGTGTGTGGGGTGTGTATGCACGTGTGTTTACACATATGGGGTTTGGGTGTGCACGTGTTCATACATATGATGTGCGCATGTGTGGGCATATACATGTGTCCATTTATGGGGTATGGGATGCAGATATGTGCATGTATTCATGCACATTCATGTAGCGCATGTGTGTGTTACAGCATATGGTGAGTGCATGGGTGTTCGTATCTGTGGGGTACAGGTATCATGCACGTGTGTTCATCTGTGTGGGGTGTGGGTATACGTGGACCGTGGCCTGAGGCTCCCCCACAGGACACTGCTCCCTGCCGCCTCCCCAGGGGCTAACAGGACCCTGCTCCTCTTGCTAAAGCCAGTTTGGGAGCAGCCCCACCCAGGCAGCCCCAAGCCAACCAGGCTCGCCTCTGACCAGATGGCTGAAGGAGCAGGTAGAGCAGGAAGTGTGAGCCAGTGACCCAGGTTCCCCTGGTGGCCAGGCTTGGTGGCCCATGTCCATGGAGTCCCCCACCTGCCAATGACCTCCAGCCATGTCTCCTGGGTACCAGGCCACCCATGGGTGGGGGTGGGGGTAACTCCCTGCTGACTCACTGCTCAGCTGGCACCAATGAGGTCTCCACCTCAGCCCTGGGCTGAGTGTCCAGTGCTGAGTCCTTCCTACAGGCAGGTGAGCTTGGGAGGCAGGGACCCTGTGGACTTGGGGAGCGGGCTCAGGGTCTGGAGGCCAGAGGCCTTGTCCCCAGGCCCGGCATCCCATCAGCAAGAGCCCAGGAGGCTCTCAGGGCAGCACTCCTCTAGCAATCTCAGGGGCAGCGTCCTCCCAGGAGTCACATCCAGATCACCATACGTACCTGCTGGCCCCTAGCATGTCCCATAAGTGGAGAGGGGTTGGCCTGTGGAGGCAGGGGTGGCCAGAATATGTGCCGGAACCCCATCTACAGGCTGACACCTAAACCCAAATGGCACAGGGGAGCCTGAGCATGAAGTGGCTGGCCTCTCCCTCGCGGGGGCCCAGCAACTGCTGACTCCATGTGCCAAGCCCCGCCTGCCCGCTGGAAAGCCTCAACAGACTGCTCCCTGTGGTGACACCACCACTCGGGTCGGCTTGGCTGAGGCCAGCGGAGCATCTCCCCTCTAGGTCCATTCACATCCATCTTCCCTGGACAAATGAACACTCCCCAAACACTCACTTGCCACTTTGACCCCAGACCAAACACACAGCCACTCCTGGAGTGCCGGTGACTGAGGGTGGCTGGGCCCTTCTGTGCCCACAAAGCAGGGCCTGGGCTATACCTGTGGGGCTGCACGACTGTGCCAGGACAGCCTTACCTTTGCTGGGGGCTTCGTGCCCTCCCAGCTGCGTGTGTCCATGGACGAGGGGACCTGGTAGATGTCATGCCCCATCCCGGCAGAAGGTGGCACCTGGTAAATATCCTGGGCAGGGCCTCCAGGCCCTGGGGACACCTGGTACAGGTCTGTGGCCGGGCTGGGAAACGGGTGATGGGGCGTCTGCTTCGAGAAGGTGGATGTCTGCTTGGCTGGGGGCGACTGGAACTGAGGGCTGGGACCCGGGACTTGGTAGAGGCCTTGCTGAGCCTTGCTGGGAGTGGGCACCAGGTAGACGCTGTCGGGCTGGGGCTGGTAGGTGTTGGGGAGCATGGGCGTGTACTGGGAGGCCGGAGGCACTGGGGCATGGAGGCCAGGCTGAGGCTGGGCCGGGGTGGCGGGAGGGCCGGGGCCAGGCCCTGCTGGCTTCTTATCATACATACCCACCAAGATCTTGAGGTGGTTCCCAGGCACGATGCCCTGGCGCCCGTGCAGCGAGCAGAGCCACCAGCCATCCAGGCCCTGCGTGTCCTGCTCCAGCACCGTCATGATGTCGCCCTTGCGGAAGGAGAGCTCATCCGGGGACTCGGCCACATTGACATAGAGGGCTTTGGCCAGCACATTCAGGTGGTTCATGGTGTCCGGCGGGCCTGGGGCCCCGGCTCCCGTGGGGGCGCACACCGAGCTGCCCGGGCCGCGTGCCCTCGGGGCTCCGAGCGCGCCGCAGCCGCCCCGGTGCCGCCGCGCAGCTGCCGCCTCGGCCATCCACAGCCGGTCCCTTAAGTTTTTTTTTCTTATTGTGACAAAAAGCATATAAGATTAACTGTCTTAACCATTTGTAAATGTACTATTCAGTAGAATTATGTATATTGACATTGCTGTGAAACATCTCCGGGACCTTTTCATCTTGTGAAACGGAATCCCTGTACCCATTAAACAGCGATTCCCCAGTTCCCCTTCTCCCAGCCACTGGTAACTATCATTCCACTTTCTGTTTCTATGAATTTGACTACTTTAGATACCTTATATAGTGGAATCATGCAGTATTTATTGTTTGTGACTGGCTTATTTCCCTTAACATAATGTCGTCAAGGCTTACGTATGTTACAGCACGTGACAAGATTTTCTTCCTTTTTAAGGCTGAATACTACTCCATTGTATGTATAAATCACATTTTGTGTATCCATTCATCCATTCATGGCCTTTGGGTTGCTTCTATCTCTTGTGATTGTGAACAATGGTGCTGTGAACGTGGATGTGCAAACAATCTCTTTGAGACCCTGCTTTTAATTCTTTGATTATATATCCAGAAGTGGGATTGCTAGATCATATGGTAGTTCTATGTTTCATTTTTTGAGGACCCTCCGTACTGTTTCCCATAACCATAATAGCTGCATCATTTTACAATCCCACTAACGGCACACAAAGCTTCTGGTTTCTCTACATCCTCAAAAATGCTTGTTTGTGTTTTTTTCTTTTTCTTTTTTTTTTTTTTGAGACAGAGGCTTATCCTGATGCCCAGGCTGGAGCACAGTGACATGATCATAGTTTATTGCAGCCTGGAGCTCCTGGGCTCAAGGGATCCACCTGCTTCAGCCTCCTGAGTAGCTGGACTACAGGCATGCACCACCACACCCAGCTAATTTTTGTATTTTTGGTAGCAACAGGGTTTTGCCATGTTGCCCAGGTTGGTCTCCAACTCTTGGCCTCAGATGATCCACCTGCCTCAGCCTCCCAATGTGCTGGGATTACAGGCGTGAACCACCATGACGAGCCAAATGAGGCTAATTTTAAATTCTTTTGTAGAGACAGTATTTCATTATGTTGCCCAGGCTGGCCCCAAACACGTAGCTTCAAGTGATCCTCTTGCCTGGGCTGCTCAAAGTGCTGGGATTGGCCGGGTGTGGTGGCTCATACCTGTAATCCCAGCACTTTGGGAGGCTGAGTCGGGCAGATCCCGAAGTCAGGAGTTTGAGACCAGCCTGGACAATATGTTGAAGCCCCGTCTCTACTAAAAATACAAAAATTAGCCAGGCATGGTAGAGCGTGCCTGTAATCCCAGCTACTTGGGAGGGTGAGGCAGGAGAATTACTTGAACCTGGGAGGCAGAGGTTGCAGAGAGCTGAGATTGCACCATTGCACTCCAGCCTGGGTGACATAGCAAGACTCTGTCTCACGGGTGGGGAAAGCGGGGAGGGCTGGGATTACAGGTGTGAGTCACTATGCCTGGTCCACTTATTGTTTTTGATGGTAGCCAACCTAATGGGTATGAGGTGATAGCTCACTGTGGTTTATTTCTCTGATTAGTGATGGTGACCATCTTTTCATATGCTTTTTTGGCCATTTGTATGGCATATTCACCCAGAATAGGTAATTTTTTTAAAACATAAAAATTTAAAAATTATTTTTTAAAAGAAATAATTTGTGTGTGTGTGTGTGTGTGTGTGTGTGTGTGTGAGAGAGAGAGAGAGATGGAGTCTTGCTCTGTTGCCCAGGTTGGAGTGCAATAGCACCATCTTGGCTCACTACAACCTCCGCCTCCCGGGTTCAAGCAATTCTCCTGCCTCAGCCTCCCAAGGAGCTGGGACTACAGGCGGGTGCCACCACGCCTGGTTAATTTAGGTATTTTTGGTAGAGACAGGGTTTTGGCATGTTGACTGGGCTTGTCTTGAACTCCTGGCCTCAAGTGATCCTGTGCTGGGATTACAGGCGTGAGCCACTGCACCGGGTCTCTGTTCTTGTCAAAAATCAATTAATCGTAGATATTTTGATTTATATCCGGACTCTCATTTCTGTTACACTGGACTGTACCTCTACCTATAGGCCAGTACCAGAGCCTTTTTTTTCCTTTCTTCTTACTGGTAAACTGAAGTCACATCACAGTCTTGATTATTGTAGCTTAGTAGGTTTTAAGATTGGAAAGTATAAATTCTCCAACTTTGTTCTCCTCTTTCAAGATTGTTTTGTCTAATCTGGGTTCTTTGCATTGCTATATGAATTTTAGGATCAGCTTCTCCATTTCTGCCAGAAAGGCAGCTGGGATTTTGATAGAGGTTGCATTGAATCTGTAGATTAGTTTGGGGATTATTGTTGTCATAACCATGTTTAGTCTTCCAATCCATGAATATGAGATGTCTTGATTTAGGTCTTCTTTAATTTTTTTTTTTGTTGGTGGTGGTGAGATGAGGTCTCCCTCTGTTACCCAGGCTGAAGTGCATGATCTCAGCTCACTGCAACCTCTGCCTCCTGGGCTCAAGCCATCCTCCTACCTCAGCCTCCTTAGTAGCTGGGACTACAGTCATGCACCACCCCACCTGGCTAATTTTTGTATTTTTTGTAGGGATGAGGTTTTACCATGTTGCCCAGGATGGTCTTGAGCTCCTGATCTCAAAGCAATCCACCCGCCTCAGCCTCCCAAAGTGCTGAGCTTAAAAGCATGAGCCACTGGGCCTGGTCAGGTGTTCTTTAATTTTTTTCAACAATGTTTCAGAGTTTTCAGTATATGAGTCTCAGACCTCTTTTTTTGAATTATTTCCTATGTGTTTTATTCTTTCAGATGTTATTACAAATGGAATTTCTTAATTTCATTTTTGGATAGTTCATTACTAGTGTATGAAATATAATTGATCTTTGTGTATGGATCTTGTGCCTTTGACCTTGCTGAACTTGTTTATTAGCATGTGTTTTCTCTTTCTCTCTCTGTCTCTAGTGTGTGTGTGGGTGGGGGAAACTTTCTTAGGCTTTCTATATACAAGATCACATCTGCCGGGCACAGTGGCTCACGCCTGTAATCTCAGCACTTTGGGAGGCCGAGGTGGATGGGTCACCTGAAGTCAGGAGTTCGAGACCAGCCTGGCCAACATGATGAAACCCTGTCTCTACTAAAAAAAATACAATTGGCTGGGCATAATGGTGGGTGCCTGTATCCCAGCTACTCAGGAAGCTGAGGCAGGAGAATCACTTGAATCCAGGAGGCAGAGGTTGCAGTGAGGCAAGATCGCGCCACCACACTCCGGCCTGGGCAACAAGAGCAAAACTCCGTCTCAAAAGTAAATAAACAAATAAAAAGATCACATCGTCTGGAAATATAGTTTTACTTTTTCATTTCTAATATAGATGCCATTTATTTTATTTTTTTTGTGTGCCTAATTGTCCTGGCTGGAACTTCCTCTTTTTTTTTGAGACCGAGTTTTGCTCTTGTTGCCCAGGCTCTGAGGTGCAGTGGCATGATCTTGGCTCACTGCAACGTCCACCTCCCAAGTTCAAGTGACTCTCCTGCCTCAGCCTCCCGAGTAGCTGGGATTATAGGCATGCACCATCACATCTGGCTAATTTTTGTATTTTTAGTAGAGACTGGGTTTCACCATGTTAGTCAGGCAGGTCTCGAACCACTGACCTCAGGTGATCCACCCACCTTGGCCTCCCAAAGTGCTGGGATTATAGGCATGAGCCACCGTGCCCGGACTGGAACTTTCAATATAATGTAGATTATAAGTGACAAGAGTAGATGTACTTGCCTAGTTCCTGATCTTAGGGGGAAAGCTTTGTTTTCCCCATTTAATACATTGTTAGCTGTGGGTTTTTCATAGATGCCTTTAGCAAGTAAAGAAAGTTTCTTTCTATTCCTAGTTTGTGGACTGTTTCTATCATGAAAGGGTGTTGGATTTTGTCAGAAAATTTTTGTGTTTATTGAGAAGATCATGTGGTTTTTGCTTTTTATTCTACTTTTATGGTGCATTATATCAGTTGATTTTTGGGTGTTACTCCAAGCAGGCATGAATCCTACTTGGTCATGTTATAGAATCTTTTTATGTATTACTGGACTTGGCTTGCTAGTATTTTGTTGCAGTTTTTTTTTTTTTTGGTCTTTATGAGAAATATTGGTTATTATTTTTCTTTTCTCATGATGCCTTTGGTTTTGGTACCAGGAAAATATTGGCCTCAATGAATGAGTTTGAAAGTGTCAGCCGGGCACAGTGGGTCACACCCATAATCCCAGCACTTTGGGGGACTGAGGTGGGTGGATAATAAGGTCAGGTGTTCCGAGACCAGCCTGGCCAACATGGTGAAACCCCGTCTCTATTAAAAATACAAAAAAAATTAGCCAGACTTGGTTGTGCGCACCTGTATTCCCAGATACTTGGGAGGCTGAGGCAGGAAAATCGCCTGATTCCGGGAGAGGTTGCAGTGAGCCAAGATTGAGCCATTGCACTGCAGCCTGGGTGACAGAGGGAGACTCTGTAGTATAAGAGGAAGGAATGCATGTTTGTAGTATAAGAGGAAGGAAGGCATTAGAAGGAGGCCTGAAGATTCATTTGGGGGATTTGGGGTGATAGGTAAGGTCAGGGCTTGGAGAGGACAGGAAACTTTTCTTTTTTTTAGACAGTGTCTCACTCTGCCTCCCAGGCTGGAGTGCAGTGGCGCAATCTCTGCTCACTGCAACCTCCGCCTCCTAGTTCAAGTGATTCTCCTGCCTCAGCCTCCCAAGCATCTGGGACTACAGCCACACACCACCATGCACAGCTAATTTTTGTTTCTTTCTTTTTTTTTTTTTTTTTTTTTTTTTTGAGACAGAGTCTCACTCCCTCACCCAGCCTGGAGTGCAGTGGCACGATCTCAGTTCACTGTGACCTCCACCTCCTGGTTCAAGTGATTCTCCTGCTTCAGCCCCCCGAGTAGCTATGATTACAGGCATGTACCACAAGCCTGGCTAGTTTTTGTATATTTTATTTTATTTTATTTTACATTATTTTATTTTATTTTTGAGATGGAGTTTTGCTCTTTCGCCCAGGCTGGAGTGCAGTGACGCAATTTCGGCTCACCACAAGCTCCGCTTCCCAGGTTCATGCCATTCTTTTACCTCAGCCTCCCGAGTAGCTGGGACTACAGGCACCCGCCACCACACCTGGCTAGTTTTTGTATTTTAGTAGAGATGGGGTTTCACCAAGTTGGCCAGGCTGGTCTCGAACTCCTGACATTGTGATCTGCCCACCTCAGCCTCCCAAAGTGCTGGGATTACAGGCATGAGCCACTGCACCTGACCTATTTTTTTAAGACGGAGTCTTGCTCTGTTGCTCAGGTTGGAGTGCAGTGGTGCAATCTTGGCTCACTGCAACCTCTGCCAGTTGGGTTCAATCAATTCTCCTGCCTCAGTCTCCTCAGTAGCTGGGATTACAGGCATGCGCCACCACACCCAGCTAATTTTTGTATTTTTGGTAGAGACAGGGTTTCACCATATTGGCCAGGCTGGTCTCGAACTCCTGACCTCAGCTGAGGAGACTGAGACAATCCTGGTCAACATAGTAAAACCCCATCTCTACTAAAAATACAAAAATTAACTGTGCGTGGTGGCACATGCCTGTAATCCCAGCTACTTGCCAGGCTGATGCAGGAGAATCACTTGAACCAGGGAGTCAGAGGTTTCAGTGAGCCGAGGTCACACCACTGCACTCCAGCCTGATGACAGAGCAAGACGCCATGTCAAAAAAAAAAAAAAAAAAAAAGGCTGGGCGCAGTGGCTCACGCCTGTAATCCCAGCACTTTGGGAGGCCCAGGTGGGCAGATCACGAGGTCAGGAGATCGAGACTGTCCTGGCTAACATGGTGAAAACCTGTCTCTACTAAAACTACAAAAAAAAATTAGCCGGGTGTGGTGGCGGGCACCTGTAGTCCCAGCTACTCGGGAGGCTGAGGCAGGAGAATGTGGCGTGAACCCAGGAAGCGGAGCTTTCAGTGAGCCGAGATCGTGCCACTGCACTCCAGCCTGGGTGACAGAGCAAAACTCGGTCTCAAAAAAAAAGAGAGAGAGAGAGAACTTAGTAATTTTAAAGTTTTTTTTTCTTATTGTGACAAAAAGCATGAGGTTCTCAAGGTTCACGCCATGATGGTGCCACTGCACTCCAGCCCCTTCCCTCTACTTTGCTGCCACTCGGATGGGGGAAGCTCTGGAAGACTTCTTAGGGAAGTGGCATATAAACTGTGTGTCATACTTGTTGTTGTTTTTTTTTTTTTTTTTGGAGACAGGGTCTTGCTGTGTCCCACAGGCTGGAGTGCAGTCGCATGATCACAGCTTACCATGGCCTCAAACTCCTGGCTCAAGCAATCCTCCCATCTCAGCCTCCCAAGAGGCTAGGACTACAGGCAAACACCACCACGCCCAACTAATTTTTAAAATTCATCCCACGTAGAAGAGGGGGAAAGGCATGAAAGGGCATTTGTGGCAGAGGAACAGTGTGAGCAAAGACCAATAGTCTGGGAAAAGGAGGAGGATAGGCTGTGGGTGGAGCAGGAAATGTGGGTGCTTCTCTTGGCAAAGGATTCTGAATGCCAGGTGAGCAGGACGAATGTATCTTGTGGGCGCCAGAGAGGCCTGGGCCTCAGCCTGCCCCTGTAAAATGAGGTGATTAGACTGGTCTGCTTCAGGCCTTCCTAGGGCAAGGGGCTGTCACAGAAAGGGTCTACTCTAGGTTCTTCCAGGTTCAACCCCAGAAAGGCAGAATGGGAAGTGGCTGGAGCAGCTCAGAGGCTAGGGGTAATATTTTGCTCCAGAGCCCAAGTCTGAGAATGACTATTTTACCAAGCTGTCTGCATTGCATCCCTAAGTCACCCTGGCTAACCCTCCACCCAGTCAGGGTCCTGCAGGGAAAACCCAGGCCTTGGGTCAGGAGGCAAGAAGGGTGATGGGTGTCTTACCCCTGGCTCCACCCTAGGTAAGGGTTGGCCCTCTTGGAGCCTCAACTTGCTCATATGCACAATGGAGGAGCTGTGCCTTGGGCTCTCTAAGCCTCTCTCCCCAGGACAGCACTGTCATTCTGGAGATGGGAACAGCATTAGCAAAGGAACGGAAGTAGGATTGTGAGGACCTTGTTGGGCAACAGACAGGCAGGTGAGGCTGGAGAATGGAGTCCCTAGAAGTGGATGGTTCTTGTTGGGGTTGGCTGGATCCAAGGGGTATGACCTTCCTCCTTATGTGCAGAACTGGGTGAGCCCTAGGTCATGGCCAGCAGCCCTCGGAGTGGGACTGAGGACCTGTTGGGAAACCAGTTTGGCAAGGCCATCATCTCCATGATGTCATCCAGCCACTGTGTTCTCTGGGCAATAGTGCCAGGCAAACTTCTGGCCCTGCAGGAGGAGAAAGGGCCTCAGATGCCCACTGGGCAGCAATGAATTCCAGGAGACCCAGCCTCACAGACAAAGGAGAGGCAAGGGGCTGGAACAGGAAGGAGAGAGTTCTGGATGTGCCAGCCTGGACCTCTTTAGACTTCTGGGAGTCCCTGATGCCTGGGCGCAGGGAGTGGGGGTCTAGGCTCATGGTGGGACACTATGTAATTGCTACCTGATGGGTTGGACACTGGCTCCTGATCATGCTTATACTACATGTGTGGCAATTTTGTTACCACTATGACCTTCACAGCTTGAGTCCTGTGAGGTAGGACCACCATTATACAGATAAGGAGACAGACTCAGAACCCTCGTTCTTTTGTTGTTTTTTTTTGTTTTGTTTTGTCTTTGAGACAGAGTCTCACTCTGTCGCCCAGGCTGGAGAGTGGAGTGGCACAACCATGGCTTACTGCAGCCTTGACCTCCCAGGCTCACAGTGGGACTACAGACACATGCCACCATGCCCGGCTAATTTTTTTTATTTTTTGTAGAGACAAGGGTCTCCCTGTGTTGCCAGGGCTAGTCTTGAACTCCTGGGTTCAAGCAATCCTCCTGCCTTGACCTTCTGAAGTGCTAAGATTACAGGCGTGAGCCACTGCGCCTGGCCAGAACATTTGTTCTTAATCACCATATTCTACCATCCACCATTTGGAAGCTCCGCTTGGATGAAGCCTGAGCACTGGGGAGACCTGGGCCTCAGTCTGCCCATCTGTAAAATGAGGGGGTTTGACTGGCTTCCTTCAGGCCCTCCTAGGGCAAAAAACTGTAACAAGAAGGGTCTAGATTCTTCCAGGTTCAGCCCTGGACTGGCAGAGTAGGGAGTATCTGGAGCAGCTCAGGGGCCGAGGGTATTTTGGCTCCAGAGTCCAGTCCGAGAATGAATATTTTACCAACCTGTCAGTGTGGGATCCCAGCAAACCCTTCTCTCTACTTCTGAACATAGCACCTGAATCTTGGCATCACAGAGTCCTGGATACCCACCTTATGGTTCAAATAGGTAACTGAGTCCCAGAGAGGACAAGGGACAGGCTTCAGGTAGTGTAGCAAATCAGGAGCAGAGCCATTCTGCATCCCAGATTCTCAACCTCCCAAAACTTTGTTTCCTCCTCAGGTCCTGGCACACTTAAGCATGAAATAACTGACACATATTGAGTGCCTATGGCATACCATGCACTCATGTAACCATCACCACAGCCCTATAAAGCAGATGCTAATAGTCTGTCCCTTTTATGGGCAAAGAAACTGAGGCTCAGAGAGGGGAAGTCATTTGTCCAAGTTGACACTGCATGTTGGTGGTAGGGAAGGGATTTGAACCCAGGTATATAGGCCCTTCCCCCTCAGCAGATCCAGTAAGCCTCACTGGAGGCATGAAGACCTGTAGACAGCAGGGTGGATGGCTCCTTTGCTGGTTCTGAAGGCGCGCAGTGTCCAATTCAGAGTTTCCACGCAGGCCTGGCCTCTCTGGGGCAGGCAGAAAAGTGCTGAGGCTGCAGAAGGGCTCTGAATCTTCCCAGAGGAGGCGGCCATGGTGGGAGGCAGTGCTCTGCACCAACCTCAGAGCCAAGTGTAGACATGGTGGCTGGACCAGCTGCAAACAAGGGAAGGCAGGCAGGGTGGGGCCCAAACCCTAACCCAGCCTCCAAGCCGTGTTCCCAGCCTTCCGCCAGCCAGGCCCTGCCCTACCACCCTTCTCGCTCCCCACCTGGATTTGAGATGAGGACGCCGGGCCTAATAATAGCCAAACGGCAGCAGAGGCAGTGCCTGGAGCCACTGCCAGTTGGAGCCTGGGGTCCCCCATGGTCTCATGTTGGCCTCCAACAGGGTTCAGAACTTTAAAAGTACTGCACTCCAGCCTGGGCGACAGAGTGAGGTCTTGTCTCAAAAACAAAAACAAAACAAAACAAAAACCCTTTAAAATAGCAACTGCTTATGAAGTTTATAATATGTGCTGGGCACTGTGCTAAAGCATAGCCCACAGTAACTTACTTATTCCTCACCCTACCCCCACTGGCTAAGACTATTTCTTTTTTTTTTTTTTTTAAGACAGAGTCTCACTCTGTCACCCAGGCTAGAGTGCAGTGGCGCAATCTCGGCTCACTGAAACCCCTGCCTCCTGGCTTCAAGTGATTCTCCTGCCTCAGCCTCCCAATTAGCTGGGATTACAGGGGCCCGTCACCACGCCTGGCTAATTTTTGTATTTTCAGTAGAGACGGGGTTTCGACATGTTGGCCAGGCTGGTCTTGAACTCCTGAACTGAGGTGATCCATCTGCCTCGGCCTCCCAAAATGCTGGGATTACAGGCATGAGCCACTGTGCCTGGCCAGGCTAAGACTATTCTTAGCCCTTTTGATGGATGGAACACTGCCCCTGATGATAACAGGAACTTGGCAGCCTTCAATTGCTGAGCATGCATACTGTCCCTCCTTGGCACTCTGCTAAGCACTTTCTTTGTATTTTCCCATTGATTCCCCATGGCATTATGAGACAGATGCTAATTTCTTTAGACGAAGAAAAAAATGAGGCCCAGAGAGAAAAGTGACTTGCCCAAGGTCACACAGCTATAATGGACAGAGTCGAGACTCAAACCTAGGACTTTCTAACTGTAGCGAGGCTAAGACCTTAGATTCTGGAAACAGACAAACTTAAGTACGGTGGGTTCATCACTGCTCCTTAGCTATGCAGCCTTGGCAAGTCACATCACCTGCCTGAGCCTCTGTTTTCTCCTCTGTAAATTGAGGGTTTGGGGGAGATAATACTAACACTCCCTGACAGCTATTAAGCCCACGTTGGGTGTAATAAAATAGGTAATTTACAGCACACATTTCCATGGTGCATTCCCTCAGTCAATTCTCACAATAGCCCCCAATGTTAGGACTCCTCTCTTCCAGCACCTGTGTTTTTTGGTTGTTGTGTTTTTTTGTTTGTTTTTTTTTTTAGACAGTTTCACTCTTGTTGCCCAGGCTGGAGTGCAATGGCACAATCTCAGCTCACTGCAACCTCCGCTTCCTGGGTTCAAGCGATTCTCCTGCCTCAGCCTCCTGAGTAGTGAGTAGCTAGGATTACTGGCGTGCGCCACCACGCCTGGCTAAGTTTTATATTTTTAGTAGAGACGGGATTTCACCATGTTGTCCAGGCTAGTCTTGAACTCCTGAACTCAGGTGATTCGCCTGCCTTGGCCTCCCAAAGTGCTGGGATTACAGGTGAGAGCCACCATGCCCGGCCCCAGCACCTGTTTTATAGAAGGGAAATGTGAGTCTCAGAGAGGAGCGGCACTTGCCCAAAATCAATAGCAAGTGAGTCAGGACTTAAGCCCAGGGCTGTGGTTCTAGAGGCTGAGCTCTTTTTTATTTTTTAAGACAGGATCTCTGTCACCCAAGCTGGAGTGCAGTGGTGTGATCATGGCACACTACAGCCTTGACCTGTCTGGGCTCAGGTGATCCTCTCACCTCAGCCTCCCGAGTAGCTGGGACTACAGGCACTCACCACCACACCTGACAAATTTTTATAGAGATGGAGTTTCCCCATGTTGTCCAGGCTGGTCTCAAACTCCTAGTTTCAAGTAATCCGTCCACCTCAGCCTCCCAAAGTGCTGGAATTACACAGGTGTGAGCCACCATTCCCAGCCAGGCATGTGACTATTTTTGGCCAATAGAATATATGGAAGTGGCATTGCCAGTTCGAAGCCTGGGTGTTAAGAGATTGGGCCTTAAGAGATTCCACTCATTCTCTTGGAACTCTCGCAGCTGTTATGTGAACAAGCCTGGGCTATCCTGCCTAAGAGACCACTGGAACAGGGACTAGTTATCCTAGCTGAAGCTGTCCTAGTCAGTCACCATCTAATCCAATAGCTGACCACAGATACATGAGTAAGCCCAACTGAGACCAGAAAAATCTTTAGCTGAGCCCAGGCTAAAGTGCCAGTCCATGAAATCTTGAGCTAAAAAAATGGTTGCTGTTTTAAGGCACTAAGTTTTGGGGTGGTTTGTTATGTAGCATTGTTGTGGCAATTGATAACTGATACACAGTTTTATTCAGTGTAATTAATGCTGGCTGCTGTAACAAACAAAATATCTCAGTGGTTTAACCCAATCAGAGTTTATTTCTCACTCCTGCAAAGTCTGATATAGGTTGGGGCTCTCCCAGGGAGCTCTTTTCCAAGCAGTGACCTTGCCCCCCAATCCTGCCTCCACCCCAGGCTCTCCATGGAATCTATTCCTGAATCCTCTGCATGTGGAAAGGGAATCAGAAAATCAAAGGAGGCACATCCACACTTAACTGCCTTTGCGCAGGGGTCACGTATAATTTCATTGGCCTTTATGTAGTCACATGACTCTACTAACTGCAGGAAAAATGAGAACATGACCTTCCTGTGTGTCCAGGAAAAGGAAACAGGTTACAGAACACAAAGCATTGCTTCTGTTACATTCCTCCTGTTGTGGGGCTGGTGTGCGTGCATGCATGCGTGTGTGTGTGTGTGTGTGTGTGTGTCTGTGTCTGTATGTGTGGTGGGAGTTGGAGGGGCGTGTGTGTTAAGTAGAGAATTAACATCTATAAAGAATCAACAGTGGTGCATGCCTGTAATCCCACTACTCTGGGGAGCTGAGGCAGGAGGATTGCTTGAGCTCAGGAGGTTGAGGCTGCACTGAACTGAGATCATGCCATTGCACTCCAGCCTGGGTGACAGAGCAAGACCGTGTCTCAAGAAAAAAAAAAAAAGAGAGAGAGAGAGAGAGAATCAACTTCAGCACCTACCATGTGTTAGCTTAAATAAGGGACAAGTTATAGGTAAAGAATTTGAGGCTCAGCTTAACTGGGCCTGGTGCCGCATGCCTGTAGTCCCAGCTACTTGGGAGGCTGAAGTGGGAGGATCACTTGACCCTAGGAGGTTGAGGCTGCAGTAAGCAGAGATTGCCCACTGCATTCCAGCCTGGGTGGCAGAATAAGACCTTGTCTTAAAAAAAAGAAAGAGGCTGGGCACAGTGGCTCATGCCTGTAATCCCAGCACTCTGGGGGGCTGAGGCGGGCAGATCACCAGAGGTCAGGAGTTCGAGACAAGCCTGGCCAAGATGGTGAAACCCGGTCTGTACTAAAAATACAAAAATTAGCCAGGCGTGGTGGTGGGCACCTGTAATCCCAGCTACTTGGGAGGCTGAGGCAGGAAAATGGTTTGAACCTGGAAGGCGGAGGTTGCAGTGAACTGAGATCATGCCATTGCGCTCCAGCCTGGGTGAAAAGAGGGAAATTCCATCTCAAAAAAAGAAAAAGAAAAAAAGAATCTGAGACTCAGAAAGGTTGAGGAACTTGCCCCAAATCATACAGCAAGCCAGTTGAGTAGCTATTTTGCGGTAGTGAAGGGCTCAGGGAGATCTGGAGTTGGACAGATCTAGGTACAAATCCCAACTCTGTCAATTCTTCACTGTGTGACATTTGGCAAGTTACTTAATTTCTCTAGGCCTCAGTTTCCTCATCCACAAAGTGGGGAGCTAATACTTCCAACCTTATAAGGTTGGGAGTGATCATTCACAGAGCTTGCATGGGATGGGGATCCTGGTACATGGGCCTTACATAATGAATGTCAGCCACATAGGCAGAAATGATGCTATCTCTGATCTTACCCTGCCAGGGTCCATGAATTTGGCCAAGGGGATTTATTATGTTTTCGATAAATCCTATCCCTTCCCTCTGTCTCTTGTGGTGTAAATGGTTTTATTTACTTCATTAAGAGATGGCAATTTGGCTAAGTGTGGTGGCTCATGCCTGTAATCCCAGCACTTTGGGGGGCTGAGGTGGGAGGATCGCTTGAGTCCAGGAGTTCAAGACCAGCCTGGGCAACATGGCAAAACCCCATCTCTACAAAAAGTACAAAAATGAGCTGGGTGTGGTGGCACCCACCTATAGTCCCAGCCACTTGGGAGGCTGAGGTGGGAGAATCCCTTGAGCCTGGAAGGTGGAGGTTGCAGTGAGCTGAGATCATGCCACTGCACTCCAGATTGGGTATCGGAGTGAAACTCTGCCTCCAAAAAAAAAAAAAGAGAGAGAGAGAAAGAGAGAGCTAGAACTATTTCCCCAGTTGAATTTTTTTTAATTAATTAAGTTTTTAATTTTTTGAGACAGGGTCTCACTCTGTCTCTCAGGCTGGAGTGCAATGGTGTGATCACAGCTCACTGCAGCCTCGACCTCCTGGGCTCAAGCGATACTCCCACCTCAGCCGGTGCATGCCACTATGCCCAGCTAATTTTATGTATTTTGTTTTTGGTAGAGATCAGGTCTCACTTTGTTGCCCAGCTGGTCTCAAACTCCTGGGCTCAAGCAATCCTCCTGCCTCAGCCTCCCAAAGTGCTAGGATTACAGGTGTGAGCCATGATGCCCGCTCCAGCTGAATATTTGTTACTGAATAAACCTTTATAAGCACAAAGCCCCTGAACACCTATGGCTGCTGACAGATGTCTGAAATGCCTCCATTACTGCATTTTTTTTTGAGACAGGGTCTAGCTCTGTTGCACAGGTAGGAGTGCAGTGGCGCAATCATGGCTCACTGAAGCCTTGAACTCCTGGGTGCAAGCAATCCTCCTGCCTCAGCCACCGAAGTAGCTGGGACTACAGGCACACACCACCATGTCTGGCTAATTTTCTTATTTTTTGTACAGATGAGATCTTGCTGTGTTGCCCAGACTGGTCTGGAACTCCTGGCCTCAGCAATACTCCTGCCTTGCCTCCCAAAGTATTGGGATTACAGGAGTGACCCACTGCACTCAGGCTTAAATCTTTTTTTCTTTTTTTTTTTTTTTTGAGACAGAGTTTTACTCTGTCGCCCAGGCTGGAGTGCAGTGGCGTGATCTCAGCTCCCTGCAACCTCTGCTTCCCGGGTTCAAGCAATCCTCCTGCCTCAGCCTCCCAAGTAGCTGGGACTACAGGTGCATTCCACCACACCCGGTTAATTTTTGTATTTTTAGTAGAGACGGGGTTTCATGATGTTGGCCAGGCTGGTCTTGAACCCCTGACCTCAAGTGATCCGCCCACCTGGGCCTCCCAAAGTGCTGGGATTACAGGCATGAGCCATCGTGCCTGGCTGGCTTAAATAATTTTTAAAGTTTTGTTTTGAACAGGTAGTTCTGGGAGGCCAGAGGAGTTATCTCTCAGGAGATAATTATGCTCAAGTCTGGAAGATAAGAAATTGTTGAACAAAAAACTAAGTTGGTCTCGACGTGGGGGTGGGGGTGTTCCAGGCAAGGGGAACAGACTACGCAAATGTCCCAAGGCAGGAACAATCTCCAGAAACTGATGGAAGACCAACGTGAGTGAAGTATGAAGGGTAAGGGAGAAGTGGGGTTTGGATGGGGAGAGGGGAAAAGGCCCAGACTGAAAGGCCCCTGTGGGAACCTTCATAATTTGCAGGACCTGGTGCAAAATGAGAAAAAGGAGCTCCTTGTTCAAAAATTATTAAGTATTTCAAGATAGTGACAGCAGAGCATTACACTGACCCTTCATTGCATGAAGCTGGCCCTGCTCATGGACCATAGTAAGAGGAAAGGACTTTCATGTGAGGGCTGCAGGGACCCATGGAAGGTTTTTGAGCTAGAGGTGATGAGATCTGATTTGCATACGCTTTAGTTGCTGTCGTCACTACCCCACACCTGGATGATGTGTGTCTCTGCACAGGTGGCCTGCTTCACTTTCCTCTTAAACATGTCACTCCCCTGCTCAAGAACCTGGGGTGGTTCCTACTTCCTATTAGACCCAGCCCAGATTCCCTATCCAGACACCCAGAGGCCCTTCAAAATCTTCCCTTACTGGATTTAGTTAATCTAATGTCAACAAAGGCTGTGTGCTGAATCCCAGAGAGATGATGACTCAACCCAAGTTCACACAGCAATTATAGGAGAGCAAGTCAAGGCTGGAACCCAGGTTTCCTGAGGTCGGCCCATCCAGCCCTGAGCGAAGGTGCAGTCCTCTGAAGTGTTTTGTATCCCCCATCCTAGCACAGAGCCATGCACACAGTAGATGCTCAATCTGTGCCTGTGGCCGTGAGTTCGTTCCTCTTAGGGCACATCTCTGCCAGGGCATGGGTGTCCCAGAGTCCAGGATGCAGTTAGCATCCTTCCTGACTCCTTCTCTCCCTCATCCCTACCTCTAGGCATTCACCAAGCCCCACCGCACCCAGGCCAGCTGGCCAGGTCCTGCCCATAGACATGTTGTTTGGCCTGTGCAGTGTTTTAAAGCTTTTCCAATTCATCGTTCTAACATTTTAAAAAATCCGGAAACTTCACATGGCAACCCGCATCTTGTGTCTCTTTGCAAAGTCTCAAGCCTGGGTCTGGGTTCCTTCGGGGAGGCAGTTCTCTCCAACCTCTGAGCTTGCGGTGGGTGGGGTGGGGAGCGGTCACTGTAGTCCCCAGTGGGGCGCCTGAATTTGGGACTTTGAAGCGACAGTGCCCTAATTACCTCCAAGGACCAATAAGGATGCTGGAAGCTGATTCAATCAGACGTATAATAACCCCTCCTTCTGGAGCGGGGCCAGGTGGGGGCAAACGCCGCCTCTGGTCTCTAACAACAGGGAGTAGGAGGGGTGTTTTGCCCTAAACCTTACAACTAGCCCCAACCTGATGTTTGACTTCAGAATCCCTTAGGGCTTCATAGATGAAATGAATGCCCCTGAGAGAGGCCATGCTGCTTCCTCTCACCTGGCCTCTGCCTTTGCTTTCTTCTCCCCCGGGACTGTGCTCTTCGACCTCATCTTCACTCTGGCTGGCTCCGGATTACCATTCAGATCTTAACTCACACGTCACCTCCTTAGAAAGGTCTTCCCAGAGCACGTATCTGAAGCTCCCCAAAATTACTCTGTACTGTAATTACTCCCCATCACAGCACTGACGATCGGAAATGATTAATTTTTTTGTTGTCTCCTGCTAGACTGTGAGCTCTGAGAAGCCAGGGACTTGGGTTTGTCTCGCTCAACAGGGTCCCCAGGACCTAGAAAGGATCTGGCATCAACGAAGGGGCTCAACACACATGTGTGGAACAACTGAACCACTGGATTCACAAAACAGCTTTCCCTGAAGGATGCATGTGACCCCTGGGTCAGCCAGCCAGCATGGGTGGGAGCCAGTAAGGAGGCAGCCAATTTGCAATTAGGGAGCAATTAATAACTACCCAATTGGTACAAAAGACAGCTGAGGGGCTGGGAGGAGAACAAGGGAATGAAGCTCAGAAAGGAGCCTCAGGTCTTTCTTGGAAAATACTGGGAGCGGGCAATGAGGAATCCCCGGGGTAACATTTGAAAACCTCTTCTGTTATTGGAGATTTAAATGATCAGAAGCCCCCCTAAAAGGACTTGGTCCCTTTAAAACATTTTTTTTTTTGAGATGGAGTTTCACTTTTGTCACCCAGGCTAGAGTGCAATGGCACGGTCTTGGCTCACTGCAACCTCCACCTCCCAGGTTCAAGTGATTCTCCTGCCTCAGCCTCCCGAGTAGCTGGGATTACAGGCGTCCACCACCACACCCAGCTAAATTTTGTATTTTTAATAGAGATGGGGTTTCACCATATTGGCCTATTGGTCTCAAACTCCTGACCTCAGGTGATCCACATGCCTCGGCCTCCCAAAGTGCTGGGATTACAAATGTGAGCCACCATGCCTGGCCAAAACATTTTTTAATGGTTTGTAGAGATGAGATTTCACTATGCCCAGGCTGGTCTTAAACTCTTGGACTCAAGAGATCTGCCCACCTCGGCCTCCCAAAGTGCTGGGATTATAGGCATGAGCCACTGAGCCCAGCCAGGACTTGGTCCTTTAAGAAGCAGGTGTGGGCCGGGTGCGGTGGTTCACGCCTGTAATCCCAGCACTTTGGGAGGCTGAGGCAGGCGGATCACAAGGTCAGGAGATCGAAACCATTCTGGCTAACACGGTGAAACCCTGTCTCTACTAAAAATACAAAAAAAAATTCACCGGGCATGGTGGCCGGCGCCTGTAGTCCCAGCTACTCAGGAGGCTGAGGCAGGAGGATGGCATGAACCCAGGAGGCAGAGCTTGCAGTGAGCCAAGATCGTGCCACTGCACTCCAGCCTGGGCAACAGAGCAAGACTTGTCTCAAAAAAAAAAAAAAAGAAGAAGCAGGTGTGCCGGGCTTGGTGTCTCATGCCTGTAATCCCAGCACTTTGGGAGGCCTAAGGGGGAGGATCACGAGGTCAAGAGATCAAGATCATCCTGGCCGACATGGTGAAACCCCATCTCCACTAAAAATACAAAAATTAGCTCGGTGTGGTGGCACTCACCTGTAGTCCCAGCTACTCAGGAGGCTGAGGCAGGAGAATTGCTTGAACCTGGGAGGTGGAGATTGCAGCGAGCTAAGATCATGCCACTGCACTCCAGCCTGATGACAGAGCAAGACTCCATGTCAAAAAAAAAAAACAACCTTTCTGGGCATGGTGGTGTGTGCCTGTAGTCCCAGCTACTCAAGAGGCTGAAGTAGGAAGATTGTTTGAGTCCAGGAGTTTAAGCTTGCACTGAGTCATGATCACACCACTGCACTCCAGCCTGGGCAACAGAGACAGACTCTGTCTCTAAATAAATCAGTAAATCCTGCCTTAGATAAAAATTGCAGACCAGGTGTGGTGGCTCACACCTGTAATCCCAGCACTTTGGCAGGACGAGGTCGGTGGATTGCTTGAGCTTAGGAGTTCAAGAGCGGCCTCGGCAACATGGCAAAACTCTGTCTTTACAAAAAAATACAAAAATTAGCCAGGCATGGTGGCATACACCTGTAGTCCCAGCTACTCAGGAAACTGAGCTGGGAGGATCACTTCAGCCTAAGAGGTTGAGGCTGCAGTGAGCTGTGATTGTGCCACTGCACTCCAGCCTGGGCAACAGAGCAAGACCCTGTCTCAAAAAATAAAATAAAACAAAATAAAATAAAATTGCTGTTGGATTAATTAGGAGGTTTGATATGGAGCAAGTCATCCTTTCATGTTTTGAAGTAACTTTAAAGTTTGTCCACTCAGTAAGACACAAGTATCCATTTGGGCTTCTTCAATATTCTATGGGGTTTGGCCGGGCATGGTGGCTCATACCTGTAATCCCAGCACTTTGGGAGGCCAAGGAGGGCGGATCACTTGAAGCCAGGAGTTCGACACCAGCATGGTAACACGGTGAAACCCCATCTCTACTAAAAATACAAAAATTAGCCAGGCGTGGTGGTGCATCACTGTAGTCCCAGCTGCTTGGGAGGCTGAGGCATGAGAATTGCTTGAATCTGGGAGGTAGAGATTGTGTGAACCAAGATCGTGCAACTGTACTCCAGTCTGGGTGACAGAGTGAGACTCTGTCTCAAAAAAATAAAATAAAATATTCTATGGGGTTCAAGAGTTTCGTTTTTAGGGCCAAAGCATTATTATTGGAGGAAGGCAATCCCTACTTCTCCCACTTATTTCTGCCATGGGAGGAGGGTTCTCCTGCCCAACACCCACAGGCCCAGGCACCTGGAGGCAACTCTAAAAACAGCAGGAGACTACTGAAGGAAATTGTCCATCTCTACGAGGCACTCCTTGTGTCTCCAGAATTTATTAAATGACATCACAGTAAGGCTTGGCAAGTAGGATAAGGGAGTTAGACCAGGGAGGACAGACAGAAGTCTGCAGGCCTGAACACAGGCAGGAAGGAAACGGAAAATGCAAACAGGAGAGGTGAGGCCAGAGCTGAGCACTGCAGAAGGAAAATGAACAACCCTAGTTTGTATTACAGAACACTTTCACAAGTACGGTCTGCCTTTATCCTCAGCAGTTCTTACTGGTAAGATATAATGATATCCATTTTATAGATAAGGATCCTAAAGCCCAGCAAGGTCATGGATCTACACATAACTGAGCCACACATCTTAGATCAGTGCTTTTTCTGCTTGGCACACCCCACAGGGACTGGCACATAATGGGTAAAGAGTTGACATTTATTGAAGAAAAGTAGAAGGTATGCATTTGACAGCACTTAAAAAAAAATGTAGGCCAGGCGCGGTGGCTCACGTCTGTAATCCCAGCACTTTGGGAGGCTGAGGTGGGTGAATCACCTGAGGTCAGGAGTTTGAGACCAGCCTGGCCAACATGGTGAAACCACATCTCTACTAAAAATACAAAAATTAGCCCAGTGTCATTGCATGTGCCTGTAATTCCAGCTACTCAGGAGGCTGAGGCAGAAGAATCGCTTGAACGTGGGAGGTGGAGGTTGCAGTGAGCCAAGATCGCACCACTGCACTCCAGCCTGAGCAACAGAGCAAGACTCCATCACAAAAAATAAAAATAAAATAGAAGCTGATAGGGTATATTTGAGGGGGAAAAGATTCAATAACAGAAATTGAAATGTAGGTAAGCATGAGGAAGTTGTAAGCACTTCCTAGCTCTGTCTTTTTTTTTTTTTTTGAGACGGAGTTTCACTCTTGTTGCCCAGGGTAAAGTGCAATGGCGTGATCTCGGCTCACGGCAACCTCCACCTCCCGGGTTCAAGCGATTCTCCTGCCTCAGCCTCCTGACTAGCTGGGATCCACCTCCCGGGTTCAAGCGATTCTCCTGCCTCGGCCTCCCGAGTAGCTGGGATTACAGGCATGCGCCACCATGCCCAGCTAATTTTGTATTTTTAGTAGAGACAGGGTTTCTCCATGTTGATCAGGCTGGTCTCAAACTCCCGACCTCAGGTGATCCACCCGCCTCAGCCTCCCAAAGTGCTGTGATTACAGGTGTGAGCCACTGCACCCAGCCTCTAGCTCTGTCTCTTACTTGAATGTGATCTCACCCTGTGTGCCTCAGCTTCCTCATTTGGAAATCCAGGTCTCAGAGTCAGGAAGTAACTTTTTGGTTACCTTACACTGAACACTGAAGGTTGCATAAGAGTTGGTTACATGCTGGGCGCAGTGGCTCATGCCTGTAATCCTAGCACTTTGGGAGGCCGAGGTAGGTGGCTCATCTGAAGACAGGAGTTTGAGACCAGCCTGGCCAACATGGTGAAACCCCGACTCTATTAAAAATACAAAAATTAGCCAGGTGTGGTGGCACTTGCCTGTAATCCCAGCTACTCGGGAGGCTGAGGCAGGAGAATCTCTGGAACCCGGGAGGCAGAGGCTGCAGTGAGCAAAGATTGTGCCACTGCACTCCAGCTGGAGACAGAGCAAGACTCCGTCTCCAAAAAAAAAAAAGAGAGATACACTCCAGGTAGATGGGACTGCATGAGCAACGGCTTGGGTTAGAAATTATGGCAGCATGGATGAGAGACACTGTTCTCATGTATTTTGTTTCACGAGGACAATAATAAAACTTGTTTACTGTGATGACAATTAAATAAGATAATGCAGGTAAGGTGCTTAGCAGAGGCTTGTACATAATGAACTCAGTAATGGTGCTTGTTTTTACTGCTATTTTTGTTGTTTTTACAGATTAAAAAAACAAAGGCTCTGATAGGTGATATGTAGGCCAGGCACACAGCTATTGGTTGTTGAGCAGGATTTGAACCCACAGCTTTTATTTATTTATTTATTTATTTATTTATTTATTTACTTATTTACTTACATTTTTAAATTTAATTTAATTTTTTTTTTTTTTGAGATAGGTTCTCACTCATTGCCCAGGCTGCAGTGCAGTGATGTGATCTCGGCTCACTGCAACCTCTGCCTCCCAGGTTCAAGTGATTCTCCTGCCTTAGCCTCCTGAGTAGCTGGGACCACAGGCACATGAAATCATGACCAGCTAATTTTTATATTTTTAGTAAAGACAGGGTTTCGCCATATTGGCCAGGCTGGTCTTGAACTCCTGACCTCAAGTGATCCGCCCACCTTGGCCTCCTGAAGTGCTGGGATTACAGGCGTGAGCCCACTGCACCCAGCCTATTTATTTGCTTTTAGAGACGGAGTCTCACTATGTTGTCTAGGGTGGAATGCAGTGGCTATTCACAGTCACAATCCCTCCACTGATCAGCACAGTTTTGACCTGCTCCATTTTCATCCTGGGCCTGTTCACCCCTCCTTAGACACCCTTGCTTACAGGAGGTCACCATATTGAAGCTGAACTTAGCACAGACACTCGATCAATATAGCACACTACAGCCTAGAACTCTTGGGCTCAAGAATCCCTAGGCTTATCCTCCTGCCTCAGCCTTCTGAGGAGCAGGAACCACAGGGACACACCACTGTTCCCGGCACCATATCTTCTTGACACTAAGAGACCAGGCTCTGAACCACTGTGTTCAAGTTACCCCGTTGTGGGGCCTCTGTTCCTGCCCTAGGGGCCTCCCTGACTCAGCAACTGTGGGTGGCCTTGCTTCTGTGCCTGGACAGCAGAGGAGGTGAGAAGCCTTCCAGTTCCTTGAAAACCAAATACGGCCAGACCAGGCCTCTGAGGCCCAACCCTCAGGCTTGGCCTGCTCCTGCCTGCTCATATGGGCTGTGGGGCGCAACTCCCTACTCAACCTCCTGGCTCTGCTCCAGGAGGCTCTGGCAGAACCTCCATCCAGATCCTCCTTCTCAGGATCTTGTTGGGAAAAATACTGAAAGAGAACATAAAATGAGTGCCTCTCATCCATGCTGCAATAATTCCTAATTCTAAGACTTTGCTCATGTAATTTGGTCCACAGAGTACCTCTCAAATCAGTGTTTAATGTGTCTTTGGTGGCCAGTGTGAGCTATCAGGAAGAGTTACTTTATAACTGTGAGACCTGCAGTAAGTCACTCATCTCATCCATCCACCCATCCATCCATCCATCCATCCATCTACCCACCCATTGGGCACCTACCTGTGCCAAACACATTACATACAGACTCTTCTTCCAGACCGGAAACTCCATGAGAATTGCAGACCAGGTGTCAAAAGATAATTATTCAGGGCAGGCATGGTGGCTCATGCCTGTAATCCCAGCACTTTGGGAGGCCGAGGTGGGTGGATCACTTGAAGTCAGGAGTTTGAGACCAGCCTGGCCAACATGGTGAAACCCTGCCTCTACTAATAATGCAAAAATCAGCCAGGCGTGGTGGCATGCATCTGTAATACCAGACACTTGGGAGGCTGAGACAGAAGAATCACTTGAATCCAGGAGGTAGAGGTTGCAGTGAGCCAAGATCGTGCCATTGCACTCCAGTCTAGGCAACAGAGTAAGACTCTGTCTCAAAAAATAATAAAAAAATTAAAAAAAAGATAATTATTCAACCAATATCCATGTGTCTCAATGTGTCTCCTCCAATTTATATATTGAAACATAATCTGCAATGTGGTAGTATTAAGAGGTGGGACTTTTGGGGGCGATCACTTCATGAAGCTCCATCCTTATAAATGGGATTAGTGCCCTTATAAAAGAAGCCTGAGGGAGTTTGTTCACCCCTTCTACCATGTAAGGACACATAGAAGACGTCCTCTATGAGGAACAGGCCCTCATTGACACCCAATCTACTGACGCCTTGTTCGTGGATTTCTCGGCCTCTAGAACTATGAGCAACATATTTCTGTTGTTTATATATTACTGAGTCTGAGGTATTTTGTTATAACAACAGGAGCAGACTAAGACAATGAACCGATGGGCCAAGGCTTGTCCTTACTACAGTCCTGGTAAGGCTGTTATCATTATCACCCCCATTTCACAGTTGAGAAGCCCGACACTCAGAGAGGGGAAGTACAAAGAACATACAGCCAGAGATGAGTGGAGCTGAGACTTGGCCAAGTTCTTAACCCTCCTAACAGGGAGGAACCATGCTAAGGGGCAGGCCCTGGAGGAGGACACGGACCATTTCTCCTTCAGCTCTTGGCTTCCTTGGCAGGAAGTGGATTAATTCTTTCTCTTGTCTCCTTCCTAACCAAGCCTTTGAGGGTGCCCAGCTCAGAGTCTACAAAGTCCTTTTCAAGGTTTCCAGAGCCCTCCTCTCAGCCCTGTAGGGGATTCAGGGCGGGGGGACCTTCCTCATGGTTCAGATGGGAGAATTGAGGCCTCTATTGCCCACAGTTATGTGCCATATTAGGGGCCTGGAATCTCATGCTTCAAGAAACTGAGCATGGAACTGGCTGCTAGATATTTCCTGTAGGTGTGGTATGAAGCTCTTAGAGTCTGACAGGTCCTAGCTCTGCCACTTACAAGTTATGCAGTCTTAGAGGAATCACTTCACCCCTCTGAACTGCAGACTTCTCCCCTGAATAGTGAGGACAGTGCTAGTACCTATTTGAGAGATGTTGGGAGGATGAAATGAAACAATGCTTGTGAAGCACTTAGCGTAGTACCTGGAACATAGTCAGTGCTCCAACAATGAGGCTATTATGGTACTAAGTACCTAAAACAGAACATCAGACTGGTAGGAATATCCATGCTGAGGGTAATGTTAGCTAATGTTTCCCTTTTTTTGAGACAGAATCTCGCTCTGTCGCCCAGGCTGGAGTGCCATGGCCCAATCTCAGCTCACTTCAACCTCCACTTCCCAGATTCAAGCAATTCTCCTGCCTCAGCCTCCCATGTAGCTGGGATTACAGGCACAAGCCACTTCGCCAGCTAATTTTTGTATTTTTAGTAGAGACAGTGTTTCACTGTGTTGGCCAGGCTGGTCTCCTACTCCTGGCCTCAAGTGATCCACCCTCCTTGGCCTCCCAAATTGTTAGGATAACAGGCGTGAGCCACCATGCCTGGCCAGCTAACGTCTTTTTTATTGCTACTATGTACCAGACACATTCATCTGGACAATATCCCTGTAACTTAGTGCCATTTTACAGATGTGATAACTAAAATTAGCCCAGCTAATTTTCTTGTATATTTAGTAGAGACGGGTTTTCACCATGTTGGCCAACCTGGTCTTTTTTTTTTTTTTCTCAGATGGAATCTTGCTCTGTTGCCCAGGCTGGAGTGCAGTGGTGCAATCTTCGTTCGCTGCAACCTCCAACTCCCGGGTTCAAGCAATTCTCCTCCCTGGGCCTCCCGAGTAGCTGGGGTTACAGGCGTGTGCCAGCACGCCCAGCTAATTTTCTTGTATATTTAGTAGAGACGGGGTTTCACCATGTTGACCTGGCTGGTCTTTTTTTTGTTTGTTTGTTTGTTTTGTTTTTCTGAGATGGAATCTTGCTCTGTTGCCCAGGCTGGAGTGCAGAGGTGCAATCTTGGTTCGCTGAAACCTCCACCTCCCGGGTTCAAGCGATCCTCCTGCCTGGGCCTCCTGAGTACCTGGGGTTACAGGCGTGTGCCAGCACGCCCAGCTAATTTTGTTGTATATTTAGTAGAGACGGGGTTTCACCATGTTGGCCAGGCTGGTCTTTTTTTCTTTTTTCTTTTTTTTCTGAGATGGAGTCTGGCTCTGTTGTCCAGGCTGGAGTGCAGTTGTGCAATCTTGGTGCACTGCAACCTCCACCTCCAGGGTTCAAGCGATCCTCCTGCTTGGGCCTCCTGAGTAGCTGGGATTACAGGCATGTGCCACCACGCCCAGCTAATTTTTTTGTATATTTATTAGAGACAGGGTTCCGCTATGTTGGCCAGGCTGGTGTTTCTCTTATTTTTTTGAGATGGAGTCTTGCTCTATTGCCGAGGCTGGAGTGCTTCTTTTTTTCAGATGGAGTCTCACTCTGTTGCCCAGGCTGGAGTGCTTCTTTTTTTTGAAATGGAGTCTCACTCTGTTGCCCAGGCTGGAGTACAGTGGCGCAATCTTGGCTCGCTGCAGCCTCCACCTCCTGGGTTCAAGTGATCCTCCTGCCTGGGCCTCCCGAGTAGCTGGGATTACAGGCCTGTGCCACCACGCCCAGCTAATTTTTTTGTATATTTAGTAGAGACGGGGTTTCACCATGTTGGCCAGGCTGGTGTGTTTTTTTTTTTTTTTTTTGGTTTTTTTTTTTTTTTGGAGATGGAATCTCGCTTTACTGCCCAGGCTGGATGGAGTGCTTCTTTTTTTTCAGATGGAGTCTCACTCTGTTGCCGAGGCTGGAGTACAGTTGTGCAATCTTGGCTTGCTGCAGCCTCCACTTCCCGGGTTCAAGCGATCCTCCTGCCTGGGCCTCCTGAGTAGCTGGGATTACAGGTGTGTGCCACCACGCCCAGCTAATTTCTTTGTATATTTAGTAGAGACGAGGTTTCACCAAGTTGGCCAGGCTGGTCTTTTTTTTTTTTTTTTTTTTTTTTTTTTCTGAGAGGGAGTCTCGCCCTGTTGCCCAGGCTGGAGTGCAGTGGTGCAATCTTGGTTCGCTGCAACCTCCACCTCCCGGGTTCAACAGATCTTCCTGCCTGGGCCTCCCAAGTAGCTGGGATTACAGGCGTGTGCCACCACGCCCAGCTGATTTTTTTGTATATTTATTAGAGACGGGGTTCCACTATATTGGCCAGGCTGGTGTTTTGTTTTGTTTTTTTTTTTTTGGAGATGGACTCTCGCTCTACTGCCCAGGCTGGATGGAGTGCTTCTTTTTTTCAGATGGAGTGTGGCTGGGTGGCTTGGGTGGCTGGGCTGGCTGGCTGGCTTGGCTGGGTGGCTTGGCTGGCTGGCTGGCTGGCTTCGGTGGCTGGGTGGCTTGGCTGGCTTGGCTGGCTGGCTGGCTGGCTTGGCTGGCTTGGCTGGCTGGCAGGCTTGGCTGGAATGACTGGATTGGCTGGCTTGGCTGGCTGGCAGGCTTGGCTGGAATGGCTGGCTTGGCTGGCTTGGCTGGCTGGCAGGCTTGACTGGAATGGCTGGCTTGGCTGGCTTGGTTGGCTGGCTGGCTTGGCTGGCTTGGCTGGCTGGGTGGCTTGGCTGGCTTGGCTGGCTGGCCGGCTTGGCTACCTTGGCTGGCTGGCAGGCTTGGCTGGATTGGCTGGCTGGGTGGCTTGGCTGGCTTGGCTGGCTGGCTGGCTGGCTTGGCTGGCTTGGCTGGCTGGCAGGCTTGGCTGGAATGGCTGGCTTGGCTACCTTGGCTGGCTGGCAGGCTTGGCTGGATTGGCTGGCCTGGATGGCTTGGCTGGCTGGCTGGCTTGGCTAGCATGGCTGGCTCGCTTGGCTGGCTGGGTGGCTTGGGTGGCTTGGCTGGCTGGCTGTCTTGGCTGGCTGGCTGGCATGGCTGGCTTGGCTGACTAGGTGGCTTGACCGGCTTGGCTGGCTGGGTGGCTTGGCCGGCTTGGCTGGCTGGCTGGCTTGGCCGGCCTGGGTGGCTGGCTGGCTTGGCTGGCTGGGTGGCTGGCTGACTTGGCTGGCTGGGTGGCTTGGCTGGCTTGGCTGGCTTGGCTCTCTGGCAGGCTTGGCTGGATTGGCTCTCTGGCAGGCTTGGCTGGATTGGCTGGCTTGCCTGGTTTGGCCGGCTTGGCTGGCTGGCAGGCTTGGCCGGCTTGGCTGGCTGGCTGGCTTGGCCGGCTTGTCCGGCTGGGTGGCTTGACTGGCTTGGCTGGCTGGGTGGCTTGGGTGGCTTGGCTGGCTGGGTGGCTTGGCTGGCTTGGCAGGATGGGTGGCTAGGCTGGCTTGGCTGGCTGGCTGGCTTGGCTGGCTTGGCTAGCTTGCCTGGCTTGGCTGGCTTGGCTGGCTTGGCTGGCTGGGTGGCTGGCTGGCTTGGCCAGCTGGGTGTCTTGGCTGGCTTGGCTGGCTTGGGTGTCTTGGCTGGCTAGGCTGGCTGGCTGGCTTGGCTGGCTTGGATGGCTGGCTGGCTTGGCTGGTTTGGGTGGCTTGGCTGGCTAGCTGGCTTGGCTGGATGGGTGGCTTGGCTGGGTTGGTGGGCTGGCTGGCTTGGCTGGCTTGGCTGGCTTGGATGGCTGGCTGGCTTGGCTTGCTTGGCTGTCTGGGTGGCTTGGCTGGCTGGCTGGCTTGGTTGGCTTCGCTGGCTGACTGGCTTGGCTGGCTTCGCTGGCTTGACTGTTTGGGTGGCTTGGCCGGCTTGGATGGCTGGGTGGCTTGGCCGGCTTGGTTGGCTGGCTGGCTTGGCTGCCTCGGTGGCTGGCTGGCTTGGCTGGCTGGGTGGCTGGCTGGCTTGGCTGGCTGGGTGGCTTGACTGGCTTGGCTGGCTGGCTGTCTTGGCTTTCTAGCTGGCATGGCTGGCTTGGCTGGCTGACTGGGTGCCTGGCTGGCTTGGCTGGCTTGGGTGGCTTGGCTGGCTAGGCTGGGTGGCTGTCTGGCTTGGCTGGCAGGTTGGCTTGGCTGGCTTGGCTGGCTTGGGTGGCTTGGCTGGCTAGGGTGGCTGGCTGGCTTGGCTGGCTTGGGGGGCTGGCTGGCTTGGCTGGCTTGGCTGGCTAGGCTGGGTGGCTGGGTGGCTTGGCTGGCTTGGCTGGCTTGGGTGGCTTGGCTGGCTAGGCTGGGTGGCTGGGTGGCTTGGCTGGCTTGGGTGGCTTGGGTGGCTTGGCTGGCTAGGGTGGCTGGCTGGGTGGCTTGGCTGGCTTGGCTGGCTTGGGTGGCTTGGCTGGCTAGGGTGGCTGGCTGGGTGGCTTAGGGGGCTGGCTGGCTTGGCTGGCTTGGCTGGCTTGGCTGGCTAGGCTGGGTGGCTGGGTGGCTTGGCTGGCTTGGCTGGCTTGGGTGGCTTTGCTGGCTAGGGTGGCTGGCTGGCTTGGCTGGCTTGGGGGGCTGGCTGGCTTGGCTGGCTTTGCTGGCTGGGTGGCTGGCTGGCTTGGCTGGCTTGGCTGGCTGGCTGGCTTGGCTGGCTTGGCTGGCTTGGATGGCTGGCTGGCTTGGCTTGCTTGGCTGGCTGGTTGGCTTGGCTGGCTGGCTTGGCTGGCTTGGCTGGCTGGCTGGCTTGGCTGGCTGACTGGCATGGTTGGCTTCGCTGGCTTGGCTGGCTGGCTTGGCTGGCTTGGCTGGCTGGCTGGCTTGTCTGGCTTGGCTGGCTGGCTTGGCTGGCTTGGCTGGCTTGGCTGGCTTGGCCGGCTGGCAGGCTTGCCTGGCTTTTCTGGCTTACTGGCTTGGCTGGCTTGGTCGGCTTGGCTGGCTGGCTTGGGTGGCTTGGCTGGCTTGGCTGGCTGGCAGGCTTGGCTGGCTTGGCTGGGTTGGCTGGCTGGCTGTCTTGGCCGGCTTGGCTTGCTTGGCTGCCTGTGCTGGCTGGCTGGCTGGGCTGTCTGGCTGGTTGGCTGGCTTGTCTGGCTTAGCTGCCTGTGCTGGCTGGCTGGCTGGGCTGTCTGGCTGGTTGGCTGGCTTGGCTGGCTTGGCTGGCTTGACTGACCGGCTTGGCTGGCTTTGCTCTCTTGGCTGGCTTGGCTGGGAGGCTGGCTTTGCTGGGTGGCTGGCTGGCTTGGCTGGTGGTCTGGTTTGGCTGGCTGACTGGCTGGGCTGGCTGGGCTCGCTGGCTGGCTTGCCCGGCTTGGCTGGCTGGGCTGGCTGGGCTCGCTGGCTGGCTTGCCCGGCTTTGCTGGCTGGCTGGCTGGGCTGGCTTGGCTGGCTTGGCTGGCTGGGTGGCTTGGCTGGCTGGCTGGTTTGCCTAGCTTGGCTGGCTGGCTTGGCTGGCTGGGTGGGTTGGCTGCCTTGGCTGGCTGGCTGTCTTGGCTTTCTAGCTGGCATGGCTGGCTTGGCTGACTGGGTGCCTGGCTGGCTTGGCTGGCTGGGTGGCTTGGCTGGCTTGGCTGGCTTGGGTGGCTGGGTGGCTTGGCTGGCTGGCTTGGCCGGCTGGGCTGGCTGGCTGGCTTGGCTGGCTGACTGGCATGGTTGGCTTCGCTGGCTTGACTGTTTGGGTGGCTTGGCCGGCTGGGTGGCTTGGCTGGCTTGCCTGGCTGGGTGGCTTGGCTGGCTTGGCTGGCTGGCTGGCTTGGCTGGCTTGGCTGGCTTACTGGCTTGGCTGGCTTGGTCGGCTTGGCTGGCTGGCTTGGGTGGCTTGGCTGGCTTGGCTGGCTGGCAGGCTTGGCTGGCTTGGCTGGGTTGGCTGGCTGGCTGTCTTGGCCGGCTTGGCTGGCTGGCTGGCATGGCTTGCTTGGCTGCCTGTGCTGGCTGGCTGGCTGGGCTGTCTGGCTGGTTGGCTGGCTTGTCTGGCTTAGCTGCCTGTGCTGGCTGGCTGGCTGGGCTGTCTGGCTGGTTGGCTGGCTTGGCTGGCTTGGCTGGCTTGACTGACCGGCTTGGCTGGCTTTGCTCTCTTGGCTGGCTTGGCTGGGTGGCTGGCTTTGCTGGGTGGCTGGCTGGCTTGGCTGGTGGTCTGGTTTGGCTGGCTGACTGGCTGGGCTGGCTGGGCTCGCTGGCTGGCTTGCCCGGCTGGGCTGGCTGGGCTGGCTGGGCTCGCTGGCTGGCTTGCCCGGCTTGGCTGGCTGGCTGGCTGGGCTGGCTTGGCTGCCTTGGCTGGCTTGGCTGGCTGGCTGGCTTGGCTGGCTTTGCTGGCTGGCTGGCTGGGCCGGCTTGGCTGGCTTGGCTGGCTGGGTGGCTTGGCTGGCTGGCTGGTTTGCCTAGCTTGGCTGGCTGGCTTGGTTGGCTGAGTGGGTTGGCTGCCTTGGCTGGCTGGCTGTCTTGGCTTTCTAGCTGGCATGGCTGGCTTGGCTGACTGGGTGCCTGGCTGGCTTGGCTGGCTGGGTGGCTTGGCTGGCTTGGCTGGCTTGGGTGGCTGGGTGGCTTGGCTGGATTGGCTGGCCGGCTGGGCTGGTTTACACGGCTGGCTGGCTTGGCTGGCTTGGCTGGCTGGCTGTCTTGTGTGGCTGGCTGGCATGGCTGGCTTGGCTGACTGGGTGGCTGGCGGGCTTGGCTGTCTGGGTGGTTTGGCTGGCTTGGCTGGCTGGGTGGCTGGCTGGCTTGGCTGGCTGGGTGGCTTGGCTGGCTGCGTGGCTTGGCAGGCTTGGCTGGCTGGGTGGCTGGCTGGCTTGGCTGGCTGGGTGGCTTGGCTGGCTTGGCTGGCTGGGTGGCTTCGCTGGCTTGGCTGGCTAGGTGGCTTGGCTGGCTTGGCTGTCTGGGTGGCTTGGCTGGCTTGGCTGGCTGGGTGGCTTCGCTGGCTTGGCTGGCTAGGTGGCTTGGCTGGCTTGGCTGGCTTGGGTGGCTGGGTGGCTTGGCTGGATTGGCTGGCCGGCTGGGCTGGCTTACACGGCTGGCTGGCTTGGCTGGCTTGGCTGGCTGGCTGTCTTGTGTGGCTGGCTGGCATGGCTGGCTTGGCTGACTGGGTGGCTGGCGGGCTTGGCTGTCTGGGTGGTTTGGCTGGCTTGGCTGGCTGGGTGGCTGGCTGGCTTGGCTGGCTGGGTGGCTTGGCTGGCTGCGTGGCTTGGCAGGCTTGGCTGGCTGGGTGGCTGGCTGGCTTGGCTGGCTGGGTGGCTTGGCTGGCTTGGCTGGCTGGGTGGCTTCGCTGGCTTGGCTGGCTAGGTGGCTTGGCTGGCTTGGCTGTCTGGGTGGCTTGGCTGGCTTGGCTGGCTGGCTGCCTTGGCTGGCTTGGCTGGCTGGGTGGCTTGACTGGCTTGGCTGGCTGGGTGGCTGTCTGGCTTTGCTGGCTGGGTGGCTTGGCTGGCTTGGCTGGCTTGGGTGGCTTGGCTGGCTAGGCTGGGTGGCTGTCTGGCTTGGCTGGCTGGGTGGCTTGGCTGGCTTGGCTGGCTTGGGTGGCTTGGCTGGCTAGGGTGGCTGGCTGGCTTGGCTGGCTTGGGGGGCTGGCTGGCTTGGCTGGCTTGGCTGGCTAGGCTGGGTGGCTGGGTGGCTTGGCTGGCTTGGCTGGCTTTGGTGGCTTGGCTGGCTAGGGTGGCTGGCTGGCTTGGCTGGCTTGGGGGGCTGGCTGGCTTGGCTGGCTTTGCTGGCTGTGTGGCTGGCTGGCTTGGCTGGCTTGGCTGGGTGGCTGGCTTGGCTGGCTTGGCTGGCTTGACTGGCTTGGATGGCTGGCTGGCTTGGCTTGCTTGGCTGGCTGGTTGGCTTGGCTGGGTTGCTTGGCTGGCTTGGCTGGCTGGCTGGCTTGGCTGGCTGACTGGCATGGTTGGCTTCGCTGGCTTGACTGTTTGGGTGGCTTGGCCAGCTTGGCTGGCTGAGTGGCTTGGCTGGCTTTGCTGGCTGGGTGGCTTGGCTGGCTTGGCTGGCTGGGCGGTCCACTGGCTTGGCTGCCTGACTGGCTGGCTGGCTGGCTGGCTGGCTTGGCTGGCTGGGTGGCTTGGTTGGCTTGGCTGGCTGGCTGTCTTGGCTGGCTGGCTGGCATGGCTGGCTTGGCTGACTGGGTGGCTGGCAGGCTTGGCTGGCTGGGTGTCTTGGCTGGCTGTGTGGCTTGGCTGGCTTGGCTGGCTGGGTGGCTTGGCTGGCTTGGCTGGCTAGGTGGCTTGGCTGGCCTGGCTGGCTGGCTGGCTTGGCTTGCTTGATTGGCTTGGCTGGCTTGGCTGGCTGGCTGGCTCGCTTTGCTGGCTGGCTGGCTGGGCTGGCTTGGCTGGCTTGGCTGACCTGCCTGGCTGAGTGGCTTGGCTGGCTTGGCTGACTGGCTTGGCTGGCTTTGCTGGCTGGTTTTCCTGTCTTGGCTGGCTGGCTGGGCTTTCTTGGCTGGTTGGGCTGGTTGGCTGGCTGGGGCGGCTGGGCCTGCTGGCTGGCTTGGCTGGCTGGCTGGCTTTGCTGGCTTGGCTGGCTGGCAGGCTTGGCTGGCTGGTTGGCTTGGCTGGCTTGGCTGGCTGGAAGCTTGGCTGGGTTGGCTGGCTTGGCTGGCTTTCCTGGCTGGCTGGCTTGGCTGGTTTTTCTGGCTGGCTGGCTGGCTTGGCTGGCTTGGCTGGCTGGCTAGCTTGCTAACTTGGCTGGCTTGGCTGGGTGGGTGGCTTGGATGGCTTGGCTGACTGGCTTGGCTTGCTTGGCTGGCTTGGACATTAAATATAATATATTTGGTACATTAAATATAAACATTGTATACATTAAATATAAACATCTTTTATACATCAAACATAAACATTTTATACATTAAATGTAAACATATACATTAAATATAAACATCTTGTATACATTAAATATAAGAATACATTTGGTACATTTAATGTATACAATACATTAAATATAGACATTTTAGACATTAAATATAAGCATATATTCAGCACATTAAATGTAAACATATTTTATACATTAAATATAAATACTGTATATGTTAAATATAAATATGTATTTTCTATATTAAATATAAATATGTATTCTGTACATTAAATATAAACATTTTCTATATTAAATATAAACATGTATTTTGGATAGTAAATATAACTATACATTGTCTATATTAAATATTAACATGTATTTTGTATATTAAACATAAACATATATTTCCCATATTAAATATAAACATATATTTTTATGTCAAATATAAATATATATTTTATATATTAAATATAAATATGTATTTCCTGTATTAAATATACACATATATATTAAATATAAATATATTTTTCCATATGAAATGTAAACATATTTTAAACATTAAATATATTCATCTTAGATATGGCCCGTGTTGGAATGTGTAATAGATTGAGTATATAATGTCTACTCAATATAAAATTTATATTTATATATGCAGTAATGATTCAGGTTGATTGTAGTTAAGAAAAACAAGCTCCAAATTCGAAAGAAATATGTAAGAAGAGAGACAGGGAGAAAAAATAATGAGGCAGGTAAATGCAACAGACAATTCGAGACCCACAAGTGCAGAGCAGGCTTCCCAGACCCGGGTAATGTCTCCTGGGCTGATAGGAAGCCCTCAACCCCCCAAGTCCTTGTCAGCCATAAACCGCCTGAGCACAGAGCCAGAGGGACCATGTTGGGGCTGGGCCTCCCGACTTCAGTTCCTCTCATTCTGTGCAAAGGAAAAACAATTCAGAATCTACAGAGGTTTAGACGTGTGTAGATGTGGACAGAGAAGTCCGGGCACAGTGGTTTACTGCCCAAGAAGACAGTGAGTCCCCGGAGGAATAGAATAATATACATCATGCTAATATATGTCATCCCAGTACTTTGGGAGGCCGAGGTGGGTGGATCACTTGAGGTCAAGAGTTCGAGACCAGCCTGGCCAACATGGTGAAACACCGTCTCTACTAAAAATACAGAAATTAGTTGGCTGCAGGGGTGGATGCCTATGATCCCAGAAACTCGGGAGACAGAGGCAGGACGAACTGCTTGAACCTGGGAGGAGGAGGTTGCAGTGAGCTGAGATCATGCCATTGCACTCCAGCCTGGGGGACAGAGCAAGATCCCGTCTCAAAGAAAAAAGAAAAAAAGAAGTTGTGAGTGCTAAGTTCTCTCTGGATTTTCAGGAGGCCAGTTCTCCAGTCCACGGTGTCCTGGGAGGACAGGGGTTCCTGAGGGTGAACAGAGCCTGTGCCCGGTCAGGTAGGATCACATGTCCCTGAAGTTCAGAACCCAGGAGAATGGGGAGGGTCCTGGGGGTTCCTGCTGCATGGAGGGAAGACCCTCTTTCCACAGGGGCCCCAGAGAGCGAGAGGAAGGAGGAGGGCAGGTCAGTGAGTGTGATGGTCACAGTGGAGAGGGAAGCAGAAAGAAGTGTTCCCACAACAAGACACACACAGTGTCCACGCTGAAGCTACAGAGAGGACCTCTCCACCTGTGTCTGCCGCAAAGCAGTAGGGCGTCTTCTGGCAGCCCAGAGTCACCTCCAGATCCCACCTGCACCATGCTTCCTGCGGGGACTGCCTGTCTTCCTAATACACTGTCTTCTGACCAGTCTTCCAGACAAATCACCGGTTGCTATATATATATATTTTTTTTTTAATAGCTAATATCTTACACTGATATATTTATATTATATATAAATATTTTTGTACTTTATGTTTATGCTATATATACAGATGTAGTTAGCTATTTATGTTATATATAATATAAACATGATGTATATTCTTATATTTCTCTGGGGACTCACTGTCTTAATAAACTGTCTTCTGACCAAATTCTTCCAGACAAATCAGCTGTTGCTATATATATATATATATATATATATATGCTATATATTTTACTGCATAGAATATATAATATATTATATAGCATAGAATATATTATATATTATATATTAATTATATAATATACATTACATATTATATATAATATATTATATTATTATGCTATATCTTATATATTATATATGTTATATATGTATATATATATTATATATACACATATACACATACATACACACATGTATATTTTAATAGCTAATATCTTACACTGGTATATTTATATTACATATGATTATATACAAATATTTTTGTACTTTATGTTTATGCTGTATATACAGATGTAATTAGTTGTTTATGTTATATGTAATATAAACATGATGTATATTCTTATTTTCCTGTGAGGACCCACTGTCTTCTTAATACACTGTCTTCTGACCAAAGTCTTCCACACAAATCAGCTGTTACTATATATATATATATAATATTTATATACACATATACACATACATACGCACATATGTATATTTTAATAGCTAATATCTTACACTGATATATTTATATTACATATAGTTACATACTAATATTTTTGTAGTTTATGTTTATACTATATATACAGATGTCGTTAGGTATTTATGTTATATATAATATATTAACATGATGTATATTCTTATATTCTTCTGGGGACTCACTGTCTTCTTAATACACTGTCTTCTGACTAGAATATTCCAGACAAATCACTGGTTGCTCTCTCTCTCTCTATATATATATTTTTTAATAGCTAATATCTTACACTGATATATTTATATTACATATAGTTATATACAAATATTTTTGTACTTTTGTTTATACTATATACACAGATGTAGTTAGCTATTTATGTTATATATAATATATCAACATGATGTATATTCTTATATTCCTCTGGGGACTCACAGTCTTCTTAATACCTGTCTTCTGACCAGACTCTTCCAGACAAATCAGCTGTTGCAATATATATATTTATTTATTTTTTAATAGCCAGTATCTTACACTGTGGCTCATGCCTGTAATCCCAGCACTTTGGGAGGCCAAGGCGGGTGGATCACCTGAGGTCAGGAGTTTGAGACCATCCTGGCTAACACAGTGAAACCCCATCTCTACTAAAAATACAAAAATTGATTGGGTGTGGTGGTGCATGCCTGTAATCCCAGCTACTCGGGAGGCTGAGGCAGGAGAATCGCTTGAACCCAGGAGGCAGAGGTTGCAGTGAGCCGAGATCGTGTCGCTGCACTCCAGCCTGGGCAACAGAGCGAGACTCCATCTCACACACACAAAACATCTTACACTGATGTATTTATATTACGTGTAGCTGTATATAAATATTTTTGTACTTATATGCTGTGTACTTATATTCTATATATTATAAAACATTTTATAAAATTATACATGTATAAAATGTTACATAAAAATTTTAATACCATTTTATTGCATATATTTCTAAATTTAATATAATGAAATTTTATATATAATAATGTATAACATTTCTAAATTTATTATAATACAATGATATATAATTATTTTCTCATATTATAATTATACATAAGATAATTTATTATAAATAAAATTTTATATAATCTACATTTATTATAATAAAACATATAACACATTTCTAAATTTAATACAATAAAATACTATGTATAATAATTTATAACGTTTCAAAATTTATTATATAATTTTATTATACAATTATTTTGTACATAATTATATATAGTATATAATTGTATTTATAGAAATATAATTATGCATATACAATATGTAATTTTATTTTTACATAGTATATATGCATAATTATGTATTAACAAATATAATAATAATTTTATATACTTATTTACATTAAGTTACATATTATATAAATGATGTTATATGTTATATATATTACATATATTTTTGCTTAATATATTAAATTTAATCTATAAAATTATGTATTACAAATAAAAGTGTATTTTACATATACACTACATATAACTTTATTTATATAAAAATATAAAAGTCACATGGTTAAGTTAATAAAATATATTTATATCAATCTATTCATATAAAATATACACAATGCATATTTATATAAATACAAAGTATATAAAACTTTTACCAGTAGGATGCAAAGAGTTGCTGACCGTCTGCAGAAATCCTGAACCTCTGGAAGCAGAATAAAATCTTACCTCCCAGTCTGCTTTGAAAGGAACAGTAAAGCAGTCCCGAACCCCAAACCCACCCTAAGGGGAGATGGGGGAGTTGGGATGGACACGTTGACCAGTGAGGACTTTCCTTTGCTGGTTTTGAGGTGTCTTAGCCCAGAAGCTAAGACGGGAAGTGATTCTGGAGCAGGTGAGCTGATCACAAGCCTGAGCCAAGAATCCATGGAGCTCATAAATAGCAGAAGCCAGGACCCTGTGCAAATCCTTCTGAAATATCCCCCGTTTACTGGGCTCCTAGGGGTGGGGAAGAAAAATTCCCTGACATTTCGGCCTCAGGGAAAGAGAGAGACATCCCACTGGCCGGAAGCCTCTGCTATTTTTCAGAAGACACCTGGGGCATCACCCTTTCCCAAATGACGGTGATTTTCAGAGTGGTTCACTTTTTGGAGAGACATTTCTGCCCTGGAGATCCATACATATTGAATCCAAACGAATACTTTTTAATTAAAAAAAATTAAACATTAGAAAGTTCAATATTGAGGCAGCTACGAGTTTGAATTCCTCATTTTTCCTAAATGCATATTGTCAAAATCTGTATTGCATTTAGTAACTACCTATGTTTCTAATGTATATAAGGTTACACAATGTTTTCTTCTTTTTCTCCTCCTCAGGGTCAGAATTTGAAATAAAAGTTTTGGAAAGAAAAAACACTCTTGTCTGTTTGTGCAAAAATAAAAGAACCCATATTTTAAGAATATTTTAAGATAAATACAAATTGTGTGTGTGGGGGGGTTGCTTATAAGAATTCTTCATATCCTAAATCAAAGATAGATCTTGTTATTAACCAGAAAACAAAATGTGTGTGTATAAATGTACAACACTCTTACACTCACACAAACACAGGCACACATGCGCACACACACATTCACGCACTCACTGATGTACTCACACAAACACAGGCATTCATGTATAAATACACACCTAAGCATGTATTTATGGAAATATAATTATGCACATACAACATATAATTTTATTTTTACATAGTATATATACATAATTATGTATTAACAAATATAAGATCAATTTTATTATATACTTATTTACATAAAGGTATATATGATATAAATGATGTTATATGGCATGTATATATCACATATAACTTTGCTTAGTATATAAAATTTAATCTATAAAATTATGTATTACAAATAAAAGTATATTTTACATATACACTATATATAACTTTATTATTTATATGAACTATAAAAATCATATGTTTATATTAATAAAATATATTTATTTATATCAATATATTAATATAAAGTATACACAATGTATATTTATATAAAAATTTTTAATTAAAAAATATTCATTTTGGTTCAATATGTATGGATCGCCAGGGCAGAAACGTCTCTTCAAAAGGTGAACCGTTCTCAAAATCACCGTCATTTGGGAAAGAGTGATGCCCCATCCGTTTTCTGAGAAACAGCAGAGGCGTATGGCCAGTGGGGTGTCTCTCTCTTTCCCTGAGGCCGAAAAGTCAGGGAATTTTTCTTCCCCACCCCTAGGAGCTCTGTAAACCGGGGATATTTCAGAAGGATTTGCACAGGGTCCTGGCTTCTGTTGTAAATGAGCTCCATGGATTCTCAGCTCAGGCTTGTGATCAACTCACCTGCTCCAGAATCACTGACACAAATGCAACCACACACTTACACAAACACACATCAACACGAAGACAGAATCACAAAACACACTCATAGAAACACATGGACACACAAAGACATGCACACTCACACAAACGCAGGGACACACACACAAACACAATTACAAAAATGTGTGTTTTTTTGCACACGTGGGTGCACATGCACATTGACATTCTCACAAAGCACACAAACATGTATACATACAAAGACACTCATAAACAGAATCATGAAAACACTCTCATATAAACACGTGGATGGCTACTCACCCACAAAGACGCTCACATATGTCATACACACTCATACACACACTCAGAATCACACAAGCACACACAAACACATAAATACAGTCACACACTCATGCAAACACAGTCACAAAAAGACTCACATAATCATGTGGACACACAAACATAAAAATTCACACACCGGGGCCGGGCAAGGTGGCTCACGCCTGTACTCCCAGAACTTTGGGAGGCTGAGGCGGGCAGATAACTTGAGGTCGGGAGTTCCAGACCAGCCTGGCCAACATGGTGAGACCCCGTCTCTACTCAAAAATACAAAAATTAGCCAGATGTGGTGGCGTATGCCTGTAATCCCAGCTACTCAGGAGGCTGAGGCAGGAGAATCATTTGAACCCGGGAGGCAGAGGTTGCAGTGAGCCAAGATTACGCCACTGCACTCCAGCCTGGGCAACAGAACGAGACTCTGTATCAAAAAAGAAAAATTAGCCAGATGTGGTGGTGGGTGCCTGTAATCCCAGGTACTCAGGAGGCTGAGGCAGAAGAATCATTTGAACCCGGGAGGCGGAGGTTGCTGTGAGCTGAGATTGTGCCTTTGCACTCCAGTATGGGTGACAGAGCGAGACTCCGTCTCAAAAAAAAAAAAAAAGAATTTATACATTGCCATACAGATTCACACACATACATTCATATTCACAAACACACAAATACGATAAACACAGGGGCACACACAAACACCATCACAAAAACACACTTCCATAAAACACAGGAATGCACGCTCACACAGAAACATGCATGGAAACACACGTTGTCTTACAGACTCACAGAAACACTCATCATCACATAAACAGGCACACACAGCCACACAAGCACACACCCACACCCACATCAACACACACACTCCCACACGGCACCCACGCGCTCACTCACACAGGTAGAACAGGCCTGCATTACCTGATAACGCAGTTAAATCAGACGTGATGCTGCCTACCGAGGAGACCTGGAGGCTTCCCATGAATGGGCTTTCAGAAGAGAGGTCTCTGGGTGCATTTGGTGACACCCCAGGCAGTGGGGGAGACGTCCAGGCTGGAAGGCCAGCCACAGCCAGCTCTGCTCAAGGATGCCACGTCCATTTGCTTCAGTAGGATATGCACCCTGGTAACCCAGGTTCCTGCCTCTCCAGGAAACCCCACTGAGGTCAGCACATCCCCCCAGGTTTAGAAGGGGTCTCTGGGTGCATTTGGTGACACCCCAGGCGGGGGGGGACATCCAGGCTGGAAGGCCAGCCACACCCAGCTCTGCCCGCAGATGCCATGTCCATTTGCTTCAGTAGGATCTGCATCCTGTAAACCCTGGTTCCTGCCTCTCCAGGACACCCCACTGAGGTCAGCACACTGCCCAGGTTTAGAAGGGGTCTCTTGGTGAAATGTGGTGACACCCCAGGCAGAAGGGGGGACGCCACAGCCAGCTCTGCCCGCGGATGCCACGTCCATTTGCTTTAGTAGAATCTGTACCTTGGATTCCCAGGTTCCTGCCTCTCCAGGACACCCCACTGACGTTAGCACACCCTCCAGGTTTACAAGCGGTCTCTGGGTACATTTGGTGACACCGCAGGCAGAGGGGAGACGCCACAGCCAGCTCTGCCCGCGGATGCCACGTCCATTTGCTTCAGTAGGATCTGCACCCTGTAAACCCTGGTTCCTGCCCCTCCAGGACACCCCACTGAGGTCAGCACCCCCCACCCCCCACCCCCAGGTTTGTCCAGCTTCGCTGTCTGGGGAGAGACACAGAAAGACCACATTCGGTGGAATTCTGGCTATAACCTTTTGTGGCCGGCAAGAAGGATCACCAAGCTGTCCTGTTACCTTGCTGGAGTGATCACTGGTTTCACGCTTGGCCCCCGTGCAGTGAGTGCCTGGGCCAGGCTCGATTTCTGGAGCTCCGGTGAAATTTGGGCTTGGAGCTCACGCCTGCACCATCCAGAAAGCAGAAGGCAGCCGGCCCGGGCTGTACGGTTTGTAGAATCAGAGAGAACACTGTTTGCCTTCATGTCTGTACCACAATAAATCTGCCAACTGCAGTCAAAGTCTCTGGATTCCTGACCCCTCATTTTATTTTGTCTATTACGGAGTGGAAGGAGTGAGAAAGATTTTGCTTCCTATTTTGTTTTGCAAAGTGTTTCTAAGAAAAACAACCCATGTTCTGAAAATGAGATTCTGAGTGTCCCCTGGGCGTGATGAAAACAAATTTTGGGAATCCAAGGGCCTGAGAGGCAGAGTGAATGTCATTTGCATTTCCCTGCGAATGACAAAGTCACTTTTTATTTATTATTATTATTATAGATTCAGGGGATCCACGGGCAGCTTTGTGACCTGAGGATATTGTACGTTGCTGAGGTTTGGGGTATGAATCATCCCGTCACCCAGGCACTGAGCATTGTACATTCCTGAGGTATATAATGTGTACTAAAAATAAAATGCATATTTATATATGCACTAATGATTCAACTTGATTCCTTGTAATTAAGAAAAACAAACCCCAAATTCTAGAGGAGTTCTAGAATATATAAGAAGAGGTCCAGGTGCAGTGGCTCATGCCTGTAATCCCAGCACTTTGGGAGGCCGAGGCAGGCAGATCACCTGAGGTCAGGAGTTCGAGACCAGCCTGGCCAACATGGTGAAAGCCCGTCTCTGCTAAAAATACAAAAATTAACCAGGTGTGGTGGCGGGTGCCTGTAATCCCAGCTACTTGGGAGGCTGAGGTAGAAGAATTGCTTGAATCCAGGAGGCAGAAGTTGCAGGGAGCCGAGATTGCACCACTGCACTCCAGCCTGGGTCACAGAGCGAGACTCCATCTCAAAAAAAAAAAAAAAAAAAGAGAGCGAGAGAGAAAACAAACAAGCAAGAAAATGCAACAGAAAAATCCGTGACCCAAAGCTCTCTCCAGTTGCTGCTTTCTGCCTGAAATTCAAAGAATCTCAGGGTAGTTTTTCAACCCTTGTACCCCCGCCCCTGCTTCCTGCTCTATTAGTACTGAGGGTCTGTGGTGCCCCTTCATTGTATCCAGGTGCAGGCAATGTTTAGCTCCCACCTATAAGCGAGAACATGTGGTATTTGATTTTCTGTTCCTGGCGTTAATTCACTAAGCATAGTGCCCTTCAGCTTCATCCACGTGACTACAAAGGGCATGATTTTATTCTTGTTCATGGCTGTGTAGTATTCCATGATGCGGAAGGACCACATTTGCTTTATCTAATTGAGAACATGTGGTATTTGATTTTGTTTCTGGCATTAATTCACTAAGCATAATGCCCTTCAGCTTCATCCATGTTGCTGCAAAGGGCATGATTTTATTCTTGTTCATGGCTGTGTAGTATTCCATGATGCAGAAGGACCACATTTGCTTTATCTAGTGAAGAACATGTGGTCTTTGATTTTCTGTTCCTCATATTGATTCACTAAGCATAATGGCCTCTGGCTGCATCCATGTGGCTGCAAAGACAAGATTTTATTTTTTTCATCACTGTGTAGTATTCCGTGGTGTAGAAGGGCCACATTTGCTTTATCCAGTTGAGGACATGTAGTATTTCATTTTCTGTTCCTGGCATTAATTCACTAAGCATAATGTCCTTCAGCTGTGTCCATGTGGCTGCAAAGGACATGATATTATTCTTTTTCATGGCTGCGTAGTATTCCATGATGCAGAAAGACCACATTTGCTTTATCTAGTGGAGAACATGTGGTATTCGATTTTCTTTTCCTGGCATTAATTCACTAAGCATAATTCCCTTCAGCTGCATCCATGTGGCTGCAAAGACATGATTTTATTCTTTTTCATGGCTGTGCAGTATTCCATGGCGTAGAAGGGCCACAATTGCTTTATCCAGTCAAGAACATGTGGTATTTGATTTTCTGTTCTTAATTCATTAAGCATAATGCCCTCCAGCTACATCCATGTGGCTGCAAAGGATGTGATTTTATTCTTTTTCATGGCTGTGTAGTATTCGATGCTGTAGAAGAACCACTTTTGCTTTATCCGGTACCCTACTGATGGGCAACTAGGTTGATTCCATGACTTTCCTATTGTAAGTCATGCTGTGACAAACCTTACAGGGCTGGGCACTATAATCCCAGCACTCTGGAGGGCCAAGGTGGGCAGATCACCTGAGGTCAGGAGTTCAAGACCAGCCTGGTCAACATGGTGAAACCCTATCTCTACTAAAAATACAAAAACTAGCCAGGCATGGTGGCGCATGCCTGTAATCCCAGCTGCTCAGGAGGCTGAGGCAGGAGAATCACTTTAACCCAGGAGGCAGAGGTTGCAGTGAGCCAAGATTGCTACTGCACTCCAGCATGGGCAATAGAGCGAGACTCCATCTCAAAAAACAAACAAAAAAAAAGGAACTTTACCATGCATGTATCTTTTTGGTAGAATGACTTCTTTTCCTTTGGGTAGATGCCCAGTCTTGGAATTGCTGGTGCAAATGGTGGAGCAGTTTGGATTCAGGAGGTACATGTACAGGTTTCTTACATGTGGACGATGTGTGATGCTGAGGTCTGGGGTATGAGTGATCCCATCACCCAGATAGTGAGCATAATACCCCACAGTTGGTTTTTTCAACTCTTGTCCTTCTACCTTCCTCTCTCCCCCTAACTAGAACCCAGTATCTGTTCCCTTCTCTGTGTCTACCTATACACAACATTTAGCTCCCACTTATAGTGAGAACATGCAGCATTCTGTTAATTTACTTAAGATAATGGCCTCCACACTGTTCACAATAGCAAAGATGTGGAACCAACCCAAATGCTCATCAGTGATAGACTGGATAAAGAAAATGTAGCACATAGACACTGTGGAATACTATGCAGCCATGAAAAAGGATGAGTTCATGTCCTTTGCAGGGACATGGATGAAGCTGGAAACCCTCATGTTCAGCAAAGTGAAACAGGAACAGAAAACCAAACAGTGCATGTTCTCACCATAAGAGGGAAGTGAACAATGAGAACACATCGACCCAGAGAGGGGAACATCACACACTGGGGCCTGTTGCAGGGGTGGGGGACTGGGGGAGGGACAGCATTATGAGAAATATCTAGTGTAGATGATGGGTTGATGGGTGCAGCAAACCGCTATGGCACATATATATCTATGTAACAATCCTGCACATTCTGCACATATACCCCAGAACTTAAAGTAAAATAGAAAAAATAAAAAATAATAAAAATAATTTAAAAAGATAATGGCCTCCAGCTACATCCATGTTGCTGCAAAAACAAACAAACAAAAAAAACAAAAAAATGATTTTGTTCCTTTTCAGGGTTGCGTAGTATTCCATGGTGTAGATGTACCACATTTTCTTTGAGGGTAGAGGGTGGGAGGAGGGAGAAGATCAGCAAAAATAACCTGTGGCTGGGTGTGGCAGCTCACACCTGTATTCTCAGCAGTTTGGGAGGCTGAGGTGGGTGGATCACCTGAGGTCAGGAGTTTGAGATCAGCCTGGCCAACATGGCAAAACCCTATCTCTACTAAAAGTACAAAAATTAGCCGGGCATGGTGGTGCACGCCTGTAATCCCGGCTCCTCTGTAGGTTGAGGCAGGAGAATCTCTTGAACCCAGGAGGCAGACATTGCAGTGAGCCGAGATCGTGCCACTGCCCTCCAGCCTGGGCCACAGAGTGGGACTCCATCTCAAAAAATAATCATAAAAATAATAATAATAACCTGCTAGGCTTAGGACCTAGGTTGATTCCATTACAAAAAAAAAAAAAGAAAAAACTAACTTTTTAAAAGAAGGATCTCTCTGTTCAAAAACAAAACCAATGCCCTGTCAGGAAAGATGTTCTGTGTTTCTGGTAAAGCTGGAAGGAACCTACAGGAAGGAGTCACCCCATAAAACTAGTGGAGCAGCATTACCTTTTGAGGTGAGGGCTACTTCTGTTAGGCCACCAGGATGAGTGCCTTCCTGGGGAGTGTGGTTCATCCTATACCATCCAGGAAGCAATTCCTGCCCCCAAATCACTTGCCAGCTTCTGCCCCGTAAGTAAAATCCCCAGCAAGCGGGCAGCAAGGAGCTGCTTGCCTTGGAAGTCAGCTGAAGTCTCTGCCCACCACCCAGACTGTGTCCTCTGGGAAAGGCCAGGTCTTCCAGTTGGATGGTTTTCACATTAGCGGCTGCTTAGAATCATCAACATTGGCCAGGCACGGTGGCTCATGTCTGTCATCTCAGCACTTTGGGAAGCTGAGGCGGGCGGATCACAAGGTCAGGGACCAGCCTGGCCAACATGGTGAAACCCTGTCTCAACTAAAAAAAAATACAAAAATTAGCTTGGTATGGCTGGGCATGGTGGCTCATCCCTGTAATCCCAGCACTGTGGGAGGCTGAGGCGGGCGGATCATGAGGTCAGGAGATCAAGACCATCCTGGCTAACATGGTGAAACCCTGTCTCTACTAAAAATACAAAAAATTAGCCAGGCACGGTGGCAGGCACCTGTAGTCCCAGCTACTCGTGAGACTGAGGCAGGAGAATGGCGTGAACCTGAGAGGTGGGGTTTGCAGTGAGCCCAGATTGCGCCACTGCACTCCAGCCTGGGCGATATAGAGTGAGACTCTGTCTCAAAAAAATTAAAATAATAAAAAATTAGCCTGGTGTGGCGGTGGGCACCTGTAATCCCAGCTACTCAGGAGGCTGAGGCAGGAGAATTGCTTGCACCCCAGAGGCAGAGGTTGCAGTGAGCCGAGATTGCACCATTGCACTCCAGCCTAGACAACAGAGTGAGAATCTGTTGCAAAAAAAAAAAAAAAAAAAAAAAAAAAAGGAATCATCAACATTGCCTTGGCCCAATCTCTTCCCAGACTTGTCAAATATTTACCACTGGACCTCCATGTTCTAGTTTCAAAGCTCTGCTGGCCACAGTGGCTCATGTCTGTCATCCCAGCACTTTGGGAGGCTGAGGTAGGAGGACTGCTCGAACCCAGAAGCATGAATCCATCCTAGGCAACATAGTGATAATAGTGTCAAATGAGAGCCAGTGTCCAGTAATTCCCCAAATATCTGAGAATTTTCTTTTCTTTAAGTCACAGTCATCCTGGCAGAAGGCTGTAGGTCCCTTTGGGGAAGACTGGGAAAAAGATTAACAATGTAAATTTTTGGCAATGTAGCAGCGTACTTCCCCAAGATCACCCAGCCTCCCCTTCACTTAAGGGGTTGTGGGCCTGTGAACTGGCTCAAGTCTGGGAATTGATTGAGGGTTTTAGATCTGTGTTTCATTAATTTGAGTTAGTCTTTTATTCAGTTGACCTAGAATTCTTCATTTTTTAAACAACAACTAAGACTTTGGTACAGCCCATTAGCTCTCCCTGTGGATACCATGGACTACACAATGCCATGGGTGTCTGTGAGTCAAACCATTCTGACTGCTGCTTTGACACTGCTTTCCACTGTGGTGACCACACCCACCTCATCTTTGGTGATTAAGGACAGCCCATGTTCCCTGCCACCCCAGGATTCAATTATCCTCATTTTACTTAAAGATCCCAGTCCAGTGGCTGCAGTTCCTGCTGTAACATTTTGCCTACTGAGAGCACAAGCTCAAAGCTCTTCCAGGATACTGGGCTCATCTCACAATATTCTTTCTCATGATCGTTGTGAGGAGTATGTTCTGTAGACCCTTCAGTGTGAGTGAGCAGGTCTGACATAATAAATCCAGTCTCCCTGAGTTTTTGCATACCTTTCTGTACATATAAACCAAGGAAGTTGTGGCATCTCAACTTTATGTACCTTAGGTAAACTCTGATTCTGTTTCAGCCAACCAACCAAGTCACCAAACAAATAAGCAAACAGCCAACCAATCAACCAACAAGCAAGCAAGCAAGCAACAAACCAACCAAACAACCAAGCAAGGAAGCAAGCACCACCAACCAAGCAAGCAACCAACCAAGTAACCGATCAAACCAACCCTTGGAGCCCTTTCTAAAGCTTTGACCTACAACTCTGAGTCCAGAATCTCTGTTTAGTGGGCCAACATTAATAAATTTAGCCTAATCCAACTTTATGTTACTTTCACCATGGTGCCACACACTTAATATCCATTCCCACATATATTCTCCAGATTTCCTTCTGTATAAATTGCATGTGTGTGTGTGTGTGTGTGTGTGTGTGTGTAGAAAGAGAGGATCAACTGAAAAATCACACAATTTTATAAATTTAGAAAAGAGAGCTTTATTTCTTATAAAGGTTTGCAGTCTGCAAGGTGGCCATTATGACAGGCTGGGAAGTGTGGCCTACAGCCAAGGCCAGAGGCAGGCATTTCCAGGGAGGGAGGGAGAGGACAGGAATTTGAGCCAAATGAGTTGGCTACATATACATACTCAATAGGATATCAGAGGAGCTATATCATTTTATGAGAATACTCATAAAAGAGGTCCTAACACATGCATATTCAATAAACATGCATGTTCATTCTGGGGTGGAGACTTGACATTTAAATGTATTATAATTAGGCCCTACACATCAAAAAGTGAAGCAGGGACATGAAGGTACTCAGCCTCGTAAAGGCACAGCCTCTAAAACTGGCCAGAACCAGTCCATGGAGGATGGTCTCTTATCAGGAGAAAGTTACTGAAATCAGTCCCTTGTCCAGAGAAAGCTGTCGTTAAGGTTAGTGGGGCAGGAGATCAGTTACTCAGCATCTGTGAACTGGGTGAGTTGTAATTGTTTTAATCTTCTCTCACAGCCATCTCTCACAGCCAGTGCTTGCTTGGCTGCTAGAGAAAAATAAAACCCATGTGGTAGCTAGAATCTAGTTAATTCTTTAAGAGTAGGGTACAAGACTTAACCCTCGCCTGGCATGGCCCTAGGTCCTGTTTATAATTTGAGGTCTTATTGCCACAAAGAGTCTGTTCTGTCAGTCTCATGATCTCTATTTTAACATCAATGCTGTTCAGTTGTTGGGTCTAAACCATAAGAGGGAGGGAGGTACAGGGAGGTATGTCTGACTTCCTGTCCTGTCATGGCCAAGAACTGAATTTTAAGATTTATTTGAGGTTCCGTTGGCCAACAGGGGGTCTGTTAAGTTGGGTGGGGGGCTTAGGATTTTAGTTTTAGTTCTCAAGGGAGATAAAATAATTTAATCAATTGGCCCCTGCGACTGTGGGACTAACATGGCTATGATCTGTCGGACAGACTTCAGGGTGGCACCCAGGCAAAATTCTATGCTGTAGTAAATGCATCATGCACATTTGTAACAATATGTACATAACAATGTCACAAAATACTTTCACGGTGACACCTAGATTAGTATTTTATTGAATAGCTGATGATATAAACTGGCTCATTTGATGCCAAGACTGACCATTACCACCATACCAAGGTCATCACTGATCAGAGGCCTAACCCAAGGAGGGGGTCATGTGCAGACCCAGCAGTGGGGAGGAAAGATGCTGCAGAGGAGACAGATGCCCACAGAGGCCCCTGAGCAGATACCATGCTCACTAAGTGGTAAGTATAGACTCAACGTAGGCTGTAAGGTCTCCCCCTGTGCAAATGGGACATCCACTTGAGAGTCAAGGGTCTGTTTGGGTGGCAGGGATAGCCACTTCTGAAGGTAGAAAGGAAATAAGCCACCAAATTGGTATCTTTCTGTGAAATGGACATCGTGCTTAGAATCTCCATTTTCCCCACAACCTGGAGGAATAAGTACTGTCATGTGCATTTTGTAGCTGAGGAATCTGATGCAACAAAATTAAATTACTTGCCTAAGCAATTAGCAATTAACCAAGTCTTTCTGACTCAGAAACTCAGCTGTTGCCTGTTCATATCCAGCCCCTGTATTGGGGTCAAGATCTGGCCTGTTCTCAATGCAGCAAGATCCAGGCAGATCACACTGGACTCCCAGCACTGAATCTGGCTCAAGGGGACATCAAATTTGACTGGGTCGTGGGGCTCAGGAGCATCACTCTCAAAAATAGTGGTACAGGAAGAGGCGATGACCCTAAACAGCATTTGCAGGCAGATCCCATGTTAATCATAAGGGTCAGGACTCTCTCACTTTTCTGTCTCTCTCTCTGTCTCTCCTCTAGGGCTGACCCCACATTGGACACCACTGCATCCATGTCCATCACACACCACAGCTGCCTTTTCTTCTGCCTGCTTATGGGAAAGTCCCCTCCTCTCCTCCGTTTTCTTCTCTTCCTGCCCTATCACACCGTGCACTTCTCCCTTTCCTTAAAGAACCACCATCAACTTTAGGAGGAGGGAAAGGGGTGGCTCTGGCAGGAAAAGCCAGAATCCCCTCTAGCCAGCAGAGAGAGAGGAATGGCTGCATGTTTTCTCCCCCAATCCAAGGCACTAGGTTTTGGCTAGGTTGCAGGTTCCAAGCTGCTCTCCTGCTGTGTCGGTGAGTTCTGGTTAACCTGCAACCTCCTGATGTGGCCACTGCAGTTCATCGAGTCTTCAGGGACTCCCCATGGCCTGGAGTACTTTGCCTTGCTTACACGGGAGAGGAGAATGGATTTATAAAGAACATCATCTAAATCCAACTTGACCATTGTGTGGCCACACTTGCTAGATTGCTTTAGTCTAAATCTAGCATTGTAGAAAGACGGGGGAGCTTGGAGCTGCACAAACCCCGGTCTGGAACTGGCTCCTTACCTTGAAAGGTGAATAATCCTGGCAGGACTCTTAGCCTTCCTGGGCCTCAGTTTCTTTATCTGTTTCTTGGGAAGGAGGATCTCTGCTGGTTGGTTGGGTGATGTGGGGGCTGTGTGAAAACAACTTGTCAATACAAGCCAAAACAGGAATATTTCTCCACAGAGTATGAAGGTCAAATGAGAGAATACATTTAAATTAAATGGAAAATTTAAATGGCAAAAAAGGCAAAGCTGTATTGAAAGTTCTGAGCTTCTCTATAAGGAGCTTTTTGACTATGTAAGAATCCTATACTCGTTCCCCCTAAATATAAAAAAAAAAGTTGAAGGAGGCAGAAGGGAGAGTGATGCACGATGGGCGAGGACTTCACCTGCTGTTGCTGGCTTTGAGGATGGAGGAAGGAGGCCACAAACCCAGAAGCTGGAGCCCCTAGAAGCTAGAAAACGCAGGGACCTGATTCATCCCTTGAGCCTCCAGAAGGGACATAGCCCCACCAGCACCTTGACTTTAGCCCAGTGAGATCCTCTTAGGACTTTTGGCAACCAGAACTATAAGACGGAAATGGAAGCCACTGAGTCTGTAGCTGTTTGCTGCAGCAGCAATAGAAAACTAATGCAGAGCCCAAGAAATCACTGGTGATGAGATGGGGAAGTGGGCTCAGGAGGTCTGGATCTGTGATGAGATGGGGAAAGTGGGGGAGGTCTGGATCTGTGATGAGATGGGGAAAGTGGGCTCAGGAGGTCTGGATCTGTGATGAGATGGGGAAAGTGGGCTCAGGAGGTCTGAATCTGTGATGAGATGGGGGAAGTGGGCTCAGGAGGTCTGGATCTGAGTTGGGGATCTGGAGTGGAAGGGGAATTCATTTGTTCATTGTCTATCCTTTTGCATTGATTCAGTTTTTTTTCCATATATATATATGTGAATTTCACAATAAAAGTTTTTTCCAAAATAAAAGAAACAAAAGGGGCTTTTTGCAACTCAATTCCTATCTATGTCTGAGTCCACTTGTATTGAATGAGTCTTTCTGCTAACGTCCTTATATTTGGGTGACAATCTGAATGTCAGTGACCAATCAGAGCAGAGGCAGACCTTGGAGTGGGCAGGGCATCCTGAGGGCCCTGATTCCTGCCATGAGGCATAACCCTTTAGATGCCAGACCATGGGGAGGTCCAGGGGTTGCAGGGGAGGGCTGTGCATCTGCAATGACTCTCAGGGGGCTCCCGGTGGTGGCAATTGGTGAATCTGCACGGCAGTGTTTCAATATTGTCACAGCCCTGCTGTCTCTCATGCTCTCAAAAAGCATTTCTCTTACCTGTGACAGACTTCCTATACCTAACAGCTTGCAAAAATGTTCCAGGTTAACGAGAATAATCTCTCGGAGCCATACCTCCCTGCTTGGGGTCTCAGTTTCCCCAACTGTCTCCAGACAAGTTAGGCTAGAAGGCCCCTGAGCCTCAGCCCCTCTATACCCCTCCTGTCACCCAGACCTGATCTGGGGCTTGCACCCTGGGTGCAGCATGACAGGGGTGGGCAGGGTCTGGCTCTGGGCCAGAGGACCCTTTCTGATGGACTTCAGCTGTTGGCCTTCCAGGGGAGACTGATCAACCTCACAAGAGTCATACGGTGAGTAGCGGTGGGCAAATCCATCCCCCTCATCTTAGATTTATGGGGAGACAGAGAGAAAGAGGAGACACTCCAGGAAGACCTGCAGGTGGGAGTACCAGGTTGAAACCAAGGACACCTTCCTGGAGGAGCTGCTGTTTGAGCCAGCTCTGAGAACAGGTGGGGACAGGACTGGAGAGGAGAAGGGTGTCCCCTATGAGCAAAGACTGGCCACCACCCAATCTAACACCCCCACAGGGCCCCTGTGGCATCCCTGTCCAGTCCCTGTCACCACCCAGTTTTTCCCTCTGGACCCAGGAATTCAAAGTAAGCAAGGAGGTCCGCTGCTCCAGTTGGCTGCATATAATTACAACCTTGAGCCCAAGCAGCACTTTGGGTCCTGGTTTGGGACCATGAAGCGGCTCGGTGAGACTGAGAGGTAAGGCCAGGGCAGGAATTGGGATAGTGGGATTGAACTCTCCCTGGGGGCCAGCCTCAGAAAGCCTGTGGCCATGGCCTCTTGGTCAACATCAGATCCTGTGGTCTGGCAATGCCTGGGGTACCCAGACCTCACTCTGGACAGGCCCTGGGAGGGGGCCCTGGTGAGATTCCTGGCAGCCTCACAGCCACTCTTCTGTCCATAGCTACAACATGTCATGCCAGCTGGAGGCTCCATCCCAGTTGGCTGGGAGCACAAAGGCCAGGAAGATAGACATCACCCACCACAGGAGCCAGTCGGGTCCTGAACCAGGGCGGGCAGAGGTTGGCTGCCTTGGGATATGGGTGGGCTCAGGGAGTCAGACAGCAAGGGACTAGCCTCCCATCCTACTGCTGACCAGCCCTGTGACTGGGGAGAGTCACCTTACTTCTCTGGGCCTCAGTTTCCCCCTCTGTGGAGTGACACTAAATGATCTCTCTGGAGACTGGGATCAATAGGGCACTGGTGATTGACCAGGCACTCAGCACATGCCTGGAGCACACGGTGCAGGGCTGTGGTGGGGAGGTGGCCTGAGTTCCTGGGGAGTCACCCATGTGTGCCTGCCGTTCTGACCAGCCACCAGGCACTCAGGGCAGAGCCCACTACCAGCAGCAGCTCACACCCCGATACCAGCTCAGAGGCGGCCCCTAGCTCAGCAGCAGGGACATCACGGACACTTTAAGCTGCTACTAGGGTGGCTTCTCCAGCTCCCACGTGGAGAGGGGTCCCAGCTGAGTCCCACTCACGTGGAGTCTCATGCCCATGAAACTGCCATTCACCACTGGCCAGGCTCATGAGGCCGCATGAAACGGGGGTCACTGGGCAGGAGATATCGGGGGAACAGAGAGGGTGGTTGAATTTTTGTATAATAGGCAGTGCAAGTGTTTACCGTTTGGGAGGGGAAAGGTTTGTTATTATTAGCAATGTTACACTTGAATATTATACTAAAATCCAGTTTCTCTATAACCTGGGAGTTGCTCTTTTGTTCTTTCTTTTCCCATCTTAATTAAAATGAGATGCAGACTCTCACGGTCCACAGTCGATTAAGAAATCTTGCACGGCCATCAGGTTATGTCTTGGAGAGCAGAGTTTCAGTACCATCAGCCTGGCAAGGAGCCGAGCCTGCTCCTCAGAGCTGCCGGGACTGCGAGAATTGGCATGTTCACAGGGCACTGTCACAGCCTCTGAAACATGCTGTCTTTAAAGACGTTTGCAGGCTGCATGCGGTGGCTCACTCCTGTAATCCCAGCACTTTGGGAGGCAGAAGCGGGGGGCTCACTTGAGGTCAGGAGTTCGAGACCAACATGGCCAACATGGCAAAACCCCATCTCTACTAAAAATACAAAAAATTAGCCAGGTGTGGTGGCAGGTGCCTGTAATTCCAGCTACTTGGGAGGCTGAGGTAGGAGAACTGCTTGAACCCAGGAGGCGGAGGTTGCAATGAGCAGAGATCACACCACTGCACTCCAGTCTGGGCAACAAGAGCAAAACTTCATCTCAAAAAAAAAAAAAAAAAAAAAAAAAACACAAAGACATTTGCAAGGACCATGTCCTCACCCAGAATGGTGCCTGCCTTTCTACAGTTTTTCAGGAAGAGGAAACATTTTCTGCTTCTCTCGCTGAGGTTTTTTTTAACCACCCATTAGGAACCTATAGATTTCAGGATCGAACACTGGGATTCCCTCAGCACTAAAGGAGGAAAATTGCAAACAGAGCTGAAAGTGCAATGTGCAAAGGTGAGGCTAAGGAAGGTTCTTAGCCAGTAGACCAAGGGCAGGAAGGACACTGCCTCCTCAGTCTCCCACTAGGGAACTTGTGATTCGTCTCCCCTGACCTCAGAATTCCTTGTCATGTTTGTTTTGTCTCCAAGGGAAGGGTTTGAATTACAGAATTTAAGGCTAGAGTGAGCCTCGTGCAGTTAACATTAACCCTCTCTCTCCTTCGCTGGCCGAGGTGAAGTCCGGGAACATGTAGTTCTGACGTCCACTCTCTCGGGGGATCACCAGTTCACCCATCTCACCTGGCAAGCTGGGCCCTAGTTTGGCGACAGGCATCTTCCACCCACCTGGGAGGCAGGGTTCAACACTCTGCCTCTGACCTTGTTTCCTTCTTCTGCCATCTGCTTAGGCAGCCAGAAGGGGTTGTCCAGCCAGCACCTGGGCTTTGGCACTCCTCAAGTAGGTGGAGGAAGTTTCAGGCACCTGGCTCCTCAGGTGTCTGCCATCCAGGTGCTCTTCAGGCCTGCCCAGCAGAGCTCTCTTGATCCAGCTAGAACTGGCCAGAACTGACTCACTCAGGAATGTGTAGACTTTGGCATCAGGGGCTGCTTTAATTTGCACAATTTCCAAATACCTCTTTTTTCTTCTTTTTCTGATGAGTCATCTCCCTAGACTTGCATTTTAAAGAGATAGATAGTTATCAGGTTCCAGAGAAGACATGGTAGAACATTTATATCTCAAAGACACAGAGCTGAGACTTCAGTTTTAGATACTATAATTTGCCTAAACCAAAAAGGAAGGTGTAGGTAAAGTTCTAGTCAAGACAGGATGGCCAGGAAAAACACCTTAAACCAAGGGACGGCTTGCTTTGCTGATTTAAGCCAATGGCTTCTTTATCATAAGACTTCCCAGTGATTTAGTCCTCCCTCTCTTCCAGTGCACAGAGACATACCCCTCCTTACAAATAAAAATGTTCTTTATAGATGTAAATTTATTTTACAAAAATGTTTCAAAATGACCAGATGAAAATCATCCTTATGCCAGAAAGACTTGTTTTTTTTTTTTTCATTACTAGAAATGAAACAGTAAGTATTTGTTGTATTGACATACTTAGGCTTAGACCTATGTTTAACATGAAAGCCTAATAATAGCACTGTGGTTAGACTGCAGCCTATTTTTCCAAACCATCATTTTATTATTAAGGAAACGAAGGATCAAATACCTTTCATTCATCTGATATGATCCTTTAAAACACATTCCACTAATAAGTCCCATTTGGAACAGCTGAAAATCTTTTAATAAAACTTTTTAAAGATGAGCTCATGGCTTAGTGTAAATTTCACAAGCTTAATTAGGTCAAATGGAAGGAACTCAGATGAGTAGTTGCCCAATCAGAGCCCATTTGTAAGTCATCAGACCCCTCCATGACCTTAAAACTCCACTCTGACTTAATTATTGCAAACCTATATACAACAAAGTGAAAGGATTAATTTTCATTCATCAACCTCTCAATCCCAGATTTTCAAAGAAAAAACCTATGTAAGGAATACTTACCAAAACCAGACAGGAAAATTAGAGCCTGCATACTTTAGAGTCAAATTTGTTCCACTACAGCCAGGTCGCATACAATTACATCATTTGGTTCTTCATACACTCTAGAACTGACTAGGACAGAGTTTAGCATAGAAAAACTGTAAGAAATTGGTTCTGAAACATAGAAATTGCAAAGTTCAAAAGGCTATGAAAAAAACTAATGTAAATGAGAGACTCCCCTCCTTTTGTTTTAAAGAAATAGACCCATCAGAGAAATGCAAATCAAAACCACAATGAGATACCATCTCACACCAGTTAGAGTGGTGATCATTAAAAAGTCAGGAAACAACAGGTGCTGGAGAGGATGTGGAGAAATAGGAACACTTTCACACTGTTGGTGGGACTGTAAACTAGTTCAACCACTGTGGAAGACAGTGTGGCCATTCCTCAGGGATCTAGAACTAGAAATACCATTTGACCCAGCCATCCCACTACTGGGTATATACCCAAAGGATTATAAATTGTGCTGCTATAAAGACACATGCACACGTATGTTTATTGCGGCACTATTCACAATAGCAAAGACTTGGAACCAACCCAAATGTCCAACAATGATAGACTGGATGAAGAAAATGTGGCACATATACACCATGGAATACTATGCATCCATAAAAAATGATGAGTTCATGTCCTTTGTAGGGACACAGATGAAGCTGGAAACCATCATTCTCAGCAAACTATCGCAAGGACAAAAAACCAAACACCGCATGTTCTCACTCATAGGTGGGAATTGAACAATGAGAACACTTGGACACAGGAAGGGGAACATCACACACCAGGGCCTGTTGTGGGGTGGGGGGAGGGGGGAGGGATAGCATTAGGAGATATGCCTAATATAAATGATGAGTTAATGGGTGCAGCACACCAACATGGCACATGTATACATATGCAACAAACCTGCACATTGTGCATGTGTACCCTAGAATTTAAAGTATAATTAAAAAATAAAAAAAGAAAGAAATAGATGTTCTGTAAAAATATACACAATTTTTACAGACAAATACATTTATAAGTTGTTTTTGTCTTAAAAATTGGGGATATTTCATATTTATAACTAATTATTGAACCTTAAGTTTTCTTGGCCATTTCTAGGCTAATAAACTAAGAATCATGTAAACTAAGCCAAAGTAGAATAGACATAAAAGTCCTGAACACTTCAACTTCTATCCTTCAAGAAGTATACCTCGCAAAGCTCATTTGAGAGAGGAAAATCTTTCCTCCACCCTCTGTTTTACAGCGCTGAGGCTTCTCATCACATTTCTATGACTTGTAGCTTAAATCCATGTTACATGGTCACTGGCATTGTTAGTGCTTCTCTTTTAACACTGTAGGAGATAATCAATTTGGTGGTGTATTTAATTCTATCACTAGAGGATTGTAAAATTACATATATTAATACCTCACTTTAGAGGCCACTTAATTTTTTTCCAAGGGGATATTTGACTATATTTCACTTGTGTCTTATTTAATGATTTTATAATTTAAACCCTAAATTATAAATCTAGAATTTAGAAAGTATATTTCCCCACTGGATTACATTTTTGGAAATATTATTTTATATGTGCACAAATATTACAAAATCACTGTAGACACCTGAAAACTATATTATCTTTTAAAGGCAATATTTACATTAAACTGGTATAACAAAATTGTTTGGTGCATTTTTTCCAGTACATTTTGTATATATTATGTTTAACCTTTTTTTATTCAGCAAATAATTTTTGAGTATCTACTAAGTGCTAGGTTCTGCATTACTAACTGAATTTAAAGAGTGAAATAACAGACATGGTCTCAGACAATAAAAATTAACATTAGGTCACCTATTTATATATTTTTAAATGGTAATTATGAAAACTTTTTGAGATTTTTAACTAGATAACATTATAATAATACACTTGATGTTGTTAATATTTGCCAGTGAGCAAAAAAGAAAATAAAAAGATGGTTTTATTCAATATACACTTTAAAATTGCAGAAAATAGTCAAGTTTCTCTGCTTTGCAGTTGAATGTCTATGTGTTTTTCTCTGCAACTTGGCTTTTGTGGAGTGAAACAATTATTCTTCCAGCCCAATAAAAGCAGAAGAGTAACAATAAATCTGATATTTTAAATGCTTATCAAAAGATAGTAGACATATTATTTCAGAATACTGAGTTCAATAAGTTGACCTACAAAAAAAGCCAAACTGACAGTATTACTGAATAAGGAAAGGCCCAAAGAGACAAAATATTTTTTATTTTGTAACCTCGGTATGACACAACTTACCCTAACTATAAAGACCCTAAATGACCAAGATGGGTGCTTATAATATGGAGAGTAAAAAAGTCATTTCACTTTTAGCTTTTTTATTTCTCTCAGAATAAAAAGTGTATAAGGAGTTGATAAAGAAGTTGATACTATAAGTTAGTACTACAATGACAGCACTTTTCAAGAAAAGACTTTTTTCTCTCTTACAAATATCATGTTAGCAGTATTTGTTTTCTCCAGAAATAATGAGGAAATAAAAACATAAGTATGTGGGTAATTAGTTAGTTTCTTAAAGAAATGAGTTAGGCAACAGGCTAATAATGTATACTTCACTGGCTTTTGAATGCCAACAATCATATTCTTTATAAAGCACAGAGAAGATTTTTCTAAAGAATAAGTATGTGAACCTGAAAAGTAATCACCACTTGGTAGTGACAATATGGATAGGGTGAAGGGTGTCATCAAGAAGCAATGAAAAGATACATTTGCAGTTAAATTTGAAAACCATGATGTTTAATACATATAGTAATAAAGAATACTTTCTCCTGTTTCAAAATCATTTTAGAATTTAAGATAGAAGCTAAAATACCTAGGGATAATGATATGACTATCAAAAATTAAAAATTAAAGGACATTTTGAGTATTATAAGTTAAGAATGAGAACTTATTACCCAATGAACAGGGGATAATTCATTATGCTCCATATCCATTGAATTAAAAGACAGGCCCATTACGTGGATAATTTGAAAGTTTAATTTTATTTAAAAGTCTTGTTTCATTCATCAAGCAAAATGATTAGCTCCCAGAAATATTCTAGGATTGCATATCCCCAACTCTGTAGGAAGTATAGAAAGAATGTTATAAGGGCCACCATCTAAACATTATTATGTAAATAATTTAGTACCATTCCATTTGCCTTTGTAGATTTAAAAATGTAAATGGCTTTCTCATATTAGGAAACATCACTTTTCAAAACCCAGATAAACATAGTACATTGCAAGAGAATAATTATTTTCTTTATTAAAAAAGAAATACTGGATGCTAAGTCCAAAAGACATAAATTATTTTATACTAATAACTACTAACATTTTATTCATGAAAATATAAAGGTCAAAGATTTTAAAATGATCTTTAAATGATTAATAACATGTTGATCTTTTTCTTCTTTCTGTAAACCTTTTTGAGTCTTAAAAATACTAAACTATACAAGCAATATTAAATGGTATATAAACTTGGATTAAAATATTCAAATTTACTAGAATGTAGACATTGGAAAGAATGAAAATAAACAGAAGCATAAAGCAGCAGCTATAAAATTAAGAAAGCAACTAAGAGTGTTTAAAGTACATATTCATCTGTAGTCTAATGTCTACCATAAAAAATGACTCTTCTCAGTAAAACACAAATTGTTCATGAAGGGAAAAAGCATGTTGTATTAGAGAATATTCAACATAATTTCTTTAGTACTAACTTGTGCCTGGAGTATTATTGGTTTTTCTATTATGAACTTATGCACTTGATAATTTTTTTCATAAAAATTGTATGTACAACTCTGACTGTACTAAAAATACAAAAATTAGCCAGGCATGGTGGTATGCACCTGTAGTCCTAGCTACCTGGAGGGCTGAGACAGGAGAATCGCTTGAACCTGGGAGGTGGAGGTCGCAGTGAACCGAGATCATGCCACCTCACTCCAGCATCAGTAACAGAATGAGATTCCATCTCAAAAAAAGAAAAGAGTGTAATATCGGTATACACAGGTAATATACTGAATGAAACAAATAGAATAATTTGAAGAGGTATCTTGATGAACAAGGAGTCATTAGAAAGGTTGTATTCATGTCTTTGAAGGAAATTGCAATGTGAGAAATTAATACTTTGACTACTATACTAAAAGTTTATTGCTAACATGTATTGAGTTATTAACGTGTGTTAGGCAGAGTACCATATAATTTACAAGTGTTATCTCATTTATTGTAGGTAAAATGTAATTTTGAACTCTGGGAGTATAAATGAATTAGATAGAATAAAATTCTATTTAAATGGCCATCAGTAAATCGGTATCTAGGAACAGGGTGATACAGTGCCCAAGTTTTCTATTCTTACTAAATGTTGTGTTTCATTTTCAATGTTTTCTTGGATATTGCTCTTTTTTGGTGATTTTGATTTTTTTTATTTTAGAAAACTAATAAATTGACTCTTCTTGGTACTGACTCGGGTTTTATAGAAGAAGAAGTAATTAAATTCTGTACATTTACCTTTACCTCATTTTTTGTCTTTTAAATTTATTTTAATTGACATATAATAAATGTACATGTTATGGGGTACAGAGTGATATTTTGATATATTTATGCAATGTGTAAAGATCAAGTCAGAGTCATTATCATATCCATTACCTAAATCATGTATTATTTCTTTGCAGTGAGAATATTCAAAATCTTTTATTTTAGTTATTTGAAAACACACAATAAATTCCCGTTAACTACAGTCACCCAACAGTGCTGTAGAGAACTAGAACTTCTTCCTTCTCTCTAGCTGTAATTTTGTATGTATTAACCACAGTTTTCTTATACTCTTCTTTCTCCTACTCTTTCCAGGATATGGTAACCAAAACTCTACTATCTACTTCTATGAGATTAAAAATTTTAGCTTCCATACATAAGTGAGAACATGTAGTTATGTGGTGTTTATGTTTCTATGCCAGGCTTATTTCACCTAACATAATGCCCTCCACTTGCATTCTTGTTGCCACAAATAACAGGATTTTGTTCTTTATTATGACTAAATAATATTCCATTATATATGTATGTCACATTTCTTTATCCATTCATCTGTTGATGGACACTTTTGTTGATTCCATATCTTGGCTATTGTGAATAGTGCTGTAATAAACATGGGGGTGCAGGTAACTCTTTGATATACTGATTTTCTTTCCTTTGGATATATACTGAAAACCATATGATTAAATTAATAAACACAATAAAAGCGTTTGGCAAAATTAAATATTCTTACATGACAAAAAACCTCTCAACAATTTAGTATAGAAAATATATGCCTTAACACAGAAGAACATAAAGGACAAATCTACAACTAAGATCATACTGAGTGTGGAAAAGGTGAAAGATTTTACTGTGAACAAGAAAAAGATTTTACTGGAACAAGAAAAGGATGCCTATTCTCACCAATCATATTTCACATAGTGAAAGTCTTAACCAGGACAATTAGGTGAGAGAAAGAAATAAAGGACATCTGAATTGGAAAGGAGACAGTCAAATTGTCCCTGTTTAAAGACAATGTGATCTTATACACGGAAAAAAATAAGACTCTACCAAAAGCTTCTTAGGGTGATACATGAAATTAATAAAGTTGCAGGATATAAATCAACATACAAAAATCAGTAGCATTTCTATATATTGATAGTAAACTAGCTGAAACAAGAAATTAAGAAAGCAATTCCTTTTACAATAGCTACAAAAATGTACTTAGAAATAAATTTAACCAAGGAAGTAAAAGATTTTGACAACAAAAATGACAGGTATTAATGAAAGAAATTAAAGAAAACACAAAAAAGGAAAGACATCCATGTTTACAGATTGAAATAACTAATATTCTTAAAATGACCCACTATCCTATGTGATTTACAAATTTGGTACAATCACTAGCTTGTATTTTTAAAAGCACCTTTGCTGCATATTCTTAAGACATTCAACAATGCCTGGATTTAAGTTTGAGGTATTATTATATCTATTTTATACTGGGCACAATATAATGTTATCAGAGGTAACGGTTTTGATTGGTCCTAGGTCATACAGTAATATATACATTGTGATTTATAGACATGCTGTCTTTTAATACTCAGGCATTTAGAAAGTTCATTTAGAAAAAGTTATAAAAACTTGCCTTCCTTTCTGACTATATCACCTAAAAATCCTAATTTAAGAGGTAATAACATTTTTTATTTGATATACAATTTATCAACACAATAAAAATCTAACAATTATCATGTGCAGAGTGTGAAAATCTCATCAGATTAAGGAACACAAAGACATCTTTTTCATATTTCGAATGTAAAACTGTTTTGGAAACTGTTATTTTTAGAAACAGTTAAAAACATTTTTTCATTAGTTTTTCATGTAAAATTATGACAACCAGCATGAAATAACTGTCATCACAGAAGCATGGTATATTCGATTCCAAAACATATTCTTTGTAAGTTTTAATATATTTATGTATTATTTATACTTAGATTGTAACCCATAATGTTACAATTTATGTTACAATATTATTTTTCCTTCAACTCTTAAGAATATTCTTAAATAATAAAATTAAAATTAATGAATTATAATTTTTGTTGCTTGGGAAAAAGAGTAGACACACACGTGACAGTGCATCACTTCACCCCATCATTTCATCTCATCATTTCATCTCATTTCATCTCATCATTTTATCCCATCATTTCATCTCATTCCATCTCACCTCATCATTTTATATCATCTCATCATTTCATCTCACCATTTCATCAAATCTCATCTCATCTCATTTCCATTTCATTTTCATTATTTCATTTCACTATTTCATTTCATCTAATTTCATTTATTTCATTTTGTCATTTCATATAATCTCATTTCGTTTCATCTCATATTTTTGATATCATTTTTCATATCATTTTTCATCTCATCATTTCATCTCAATTCATTTCATCTCATCATTTCATCTCCTCATCTCATCATTTCCTCCTTTCATTACATTTCATCTCATTTCTTCTCATCTCATTTCAATTTCATTTCATTATTTCATCTCATTTCATTATTTCACCTAATTTCATTATTTCATCTCATCTCATCTCAATTCATCTCATCTCATTTCATCTCATCATTTCATCTCATCATTTCTCATCTCATCATTTTTCATCTCATCATTGAATCTCATTTCATTTCATTTCATCATTTCAGCTCATCATTTCATGTCACATCTATTCATTTCATCATTTCATTTCAACATTTCATCTCATCATTTCATCTCATCTTTCAATTTCATTTCAATATCATCATTTCATCATTTCATTTCATCTCATTTCATTATTTCATTATTTCATTTCATTTCAAATTCATCTCATCATTTCATCTCATCTCATCATTTTTCATCTCATCATTTCATCTCATCATTTTTCATCTCATCATTTTTCATCTCATCATCTCATCTCATCATTTCATCTCATTTCTTCTCATTTCATCTCATCATTTTATCTCATTTCATCTCATCTCATTTCAATTTCATTATTTCATTTCATTTCACTACATTTCATCTCATCATTTTATCTCATCTCATTTCATCTCATCATTTCTTCTCGTCTCATCTCATCATTTCATCATTTCATCTCGTTTCATCTCATTTCATCTCATCTCATCTCATCTCATCATTTCATCTCATCCTTTCATTTCATCTCATCGTTTCATCTCATTTCATCTCATCTCACCTCAGCATTTCATCATTTCATCTCATCATTTCTTATTTCATCTCATTTTATCTCATTTCATCTCATATCTCAATTCAATTTCCTTTCATTATTTCATCTCATTCATCTCATTTCATTACATCTCATCATTTCCTCTCATCATTACATCTCATCTCATCTCATCATTTCATCATTTCATCTCATCATTGCATCTCATCATTTCATCTCATTTCATCTCATCATTCATCTCATCATTTCATCTCATCTCATCATTTCCATTTCATTATTTCATCATTTAATTTCATCATCTCATTTAATTTCACCTCATTTCATTTCATTTTTTCATTTCATTATGTCATTTCATTTCATCTCATTACATTTCATCTAATTTCATTTCATCTCATTTCATCTCATCATTTCATTTCATCTCATCATTTCATCTCATCTTTTCATCTCATCATTTCATCTCATCATCTCATCAACTATTTTCATCTTATCTCATCATTTCATCATTTCATCTCATCATTTCATCTCATCTCGTATCTTCTCATCTCATTTCAATTTCATTTCATTATTTCATTTCATTATTGCATGTCATCTCATCTCATCATTTCATCTCATCACATCTCATCATTTTATCATTTTATTTCATCATCTCATCTTATCATTTCATCTCATCTCATTTCAATTTTATTTATTTATTTCAATTTCATTTCATTATTTCATTTCATTTCATCTCATCAGTTCATCTCATCATTTCATCTCATCATCTCATCTCATCATTTCATCTCATCATTCATCTCATCATTTCATATTTTATCTCATCTCATCATTTCATCTCATTTCATCTCATCTCATTTCATCATTACATCTCATTTCATCTCATTTTATGTCATCATTTCATGTCATCATTTCATCACATCTCATCTCATCATTTCATCATTTCATCTCATTTCAACTCATTGCATCTCATCTCATCATTTCCATTTCATTATTCCATTTCATCATTTCATTTAATTATGTCATTTCATCTCATCATATTTCATCTCATTTCATCTCATCTCATCATTTCATTTCATCTCATCATTTCATCTCATTTTATCTCATCTCATCATTTCATCATTTCATCTCATCATTTCTTCTCATCTCATCATTTCCATTTCATTTTCATTATTTCATCGTTTCATTATTTCATTTCATCTCATTTCATTATTTCGTTTCATTATGTCATTACATTTCATCTCATTTCATCTCATCATTTCATCCATCATTTCATTTCATTTCATCATTTCATCTCATGATTTCATCTTATCTCATCATCTCATTTCATCTCATTATTTCATCTCATTTCATCTCATCTCATTTCATCATTTCATTTCATCATTACATCTCATCATTTCAACTCATCTTATTTCAATTTCATTACATTTCATAATTTCCTTTCATTATTTCATTTCATCTCATTTCATTATTTCATTTCATTATTTCATTTCATTTCATCTCATTTTTCATCTCATCATTTTTCATCTCATTTCATCTCATCATTCATCTCATTTCATCTCATCATTTTATCTCATTATTTCATCTCATCTCATCTCATTTCAATTTCATTATTTCATATCATTTCATTATTTCATTTCATTTCATCTCATCATTTCATCTCATTTCATCTCATCATTTCATCTATCATCTCATCATTTCATCTCATTTCATCTCATCTCATCTCCTTTCAATTTCTTTTCAACTTTGTCATTTCGTCTCATCATTTCATCTCATCATTTCTACTCACCATTTCATCTCAAAATTTCATCTCATCATCTCATCTCATCTCATCACTTTGTCATTTCATCTCATCTCAAGTCATCTTATCATTTCATCTAAGTGAAATGATGGAATCATGAAATGAAATGGATAGGATGCCCTCAGTGATGTTAAATTTAAAAATTGTTTCTTTTCATGTATGCATTTTTATATTTATATGTATTTATATTTATATTTACTTATATTTCTTTTTACTTATTTTTATTTATGTTTTTACTTATTTCTTTATTTATAGACAAGGTCCTGTTCTGTGGCCTAGGCTGGAATGCAGTGGTGCATTCACAGTTCACTGCAGCCTCAAGCAAACCTCCCACCTTAGCCTCCCAGGTAGCTGGGACCCCAGGTGGGCACCACCACACCTGGTTAATATTTTATTATTTGTAGAGATGGAGTCTTGCTATTCTGCCCAGGCTGGTCTCAAACTCCTGGGCTCAAGCAATCCTCCTGCATTGGCAACCCAAAATGCTGGGATGACAGATGTGAGCCACAGTGCCCAACCTATTTATTTATTTATTTATTTATTTATTTAATGAGGACAAGTTCTCACTATGTTGCCCAGGCTGGTCAACTCCTGGACTCAAATGATTCTCCAAACTTGGCCTCTCAAAATGTTGGGATTACAGGTATGAGCCACCATGCCTGGCCTAAAAATAGTATTATATTTTTGTATCATATAATTTTCAATTAGGTAATATGAATATTCTGTACAGGAAATACGCCCTTAATTACATAGGAATAAACATTTGTTACACTGAGAAAAATCTAATAGAGCTAAAAATAAAAATTAATTTGGAAAGGTCATTAGATACTCATACATTCTTACGTTTATACATTCTTTCATATATTCATATATTCTTTTAACAGTATCAATGGTTTGGAGTTATGTGTACAAAACCATGACCTATATGTAATACAACTAATAACAAGCACTTACAATTCAAGGCATATTATATACAAAGCTTTAACTTCCTATCAAAATATTTTGGTTTTTTTCTTTCTGTTTTGGCAGATACTATGAACACAACATTCAACTCACAGACACTATGGAGCCCTTACTAAGCATAAAGTACTGTGAAAGGCCAGGGCTAGGAGAGAACTGAGACAGGGCCAGGGATAGGACAGAACTGGGGCAGGGTCATGGCCAGAGAAAAACCAGGGGCAGGGTCATAGCCAGGGACATGAGAGGACCAAGGCCAGGGCCAGAAGCAGGGCAGAACCAGGGCCAGGGCAGGGACATGGCAGGGCCAGGGCCATGGCAGGATCAGGGTCAGCAGAAGGCCAGGGCAGGGCTAGGGTAGCACAGGGCCAAGGCAGGACAGGGTCAGTGTAGAGCAAGAATGGGCCAGAGTATGGCAGGGCAGGGACAGGGAGGTCCAGGGCCAGAGTCAGGTCCAGGACATGGACAGGGCAGGGCCAGAAACATGGCAGGACAAGAAAGGGGACAGGGCAAGGGCAAGGCCAGAGAAGGACCATGGAAAAAACACGGCCAGGGAGGGTCCAGGGTAAGGGCAAGGCCAGGGCAGAACCAGAGCCAGAGCAGGCCAAAGGCAGGGCCAGGGCAGGGCAAAGCCAGGGTAGGCCAGGGCCAGTGTAGGGTGAGGGTAGGGCCAGGGCGAGTTCAGGGCCAGGGCAGGACTAAGATAGCACAGGGCCAAGGCAGGGCCAGGGCAGGGCCAAAAGGAGGGGCCAGGGCCAAGCATAGCCAGTGTCAGACCTGGGGATTGTCAGGGCCAGGGTCAGGGTCAAGGCTGGGCCAGGGACAGGGCCAGAGCAAGGACAGGGCCAGGGAGAAGGCAGAACCAGAGAGGATCCAGAGCAAGGCCAGGGTCAGGGCAGAACCAGGACCAGGATAAGGCAAAGCCAAGGCCAGGGCAGGGCAAGGCCAGGGAGAAGGCAGGGCCGGGGCAAGGCAGTACCAGGGCAGGGCAGGACCAGTGCAGGGCCAATGCAGGGTGAGGGCAAGGCCAGGGCATGGAAGGGCAGGGCAGGACCAAGGAAGGGCCAGGAGAGGGCCACGGCAGGGTCACGGCCAGAACAAGGGTATGGCTGGGGTCAGGAATATGGTAGGATGAGGGCTGGGCCCAGGCTGGGACATGCAGGGCAGAGCATGGCCTGTGCAAGGCATGGCCAGAGCCAGGCCATAGATATGGGAGGGCAACACCAAGGCAGAGTCAGGGTAGATCCAGGGCTGAGCAGAGTCAGGGCAGGTCCAGAGTCGAGGCAGAGCTAGGGCCCAAGCAGGGCCATGGTAGCACCAGGGCAGACGAGGGCAGGGCAATGGAGGACTGTGCCATGGCAGTGCCTGGTCAACTCCGGGGCAGGGCCAGAAGCAGGACAGGGACAGGGCCAATGCTCAGGCCAGGGACAGGGCATGACAGGAAGTGCCAGAGCAGGGCTGGGCCAACGTTGGGGCAGGGCAAATCAGACCAGGACACCTCCAAGTCCAGCTCTGGCCCTGCCTTGGCCCTGGCCCCTTCCTGGCCTGACCTTGTCCCTGGCCCTGCCCTATCCATGCCCTGTGTGTTTGACCAGTGTTTTATAACCAGAATCCTACAAGAAACTTAAATTAGTTCTTTTTGTGCATTTTTAGTAGAGATGGGGTTTCACAATGTTGCCCAGGCTGGTTCCAAACTCCTGAGCTCAAGCCATCTGCCTGCCTTGGCCTCCCAAAGTGTTGGGATTACAGGAGTAATCTGGCCAAGTATTTAACTTCTTTATGCCTGTTTCCTATATTTGGAAAATGGGGATGCTTTAAGTACCTAGCACATAGAATTATTGTGAGAATCAATGCCTCACATATTTACATATTGATAAAATTATATTATATTCATAGAACACTACTGGAAGCAAAGATAGTATTAGTTAAAATTTAGTGATTACTGCAAATATTATTACTATTACAAACAATATAGTATAGACATTACTACTAATATAGTTATCTTAAAAATCTAAAATAAAAATTTTATGTAATAGCCTAATGTAATCTCTCCTGCTCTGCCCTGGTTCAGCCCTAGTGCCGGCTCTGCCGCTAGTCCTACTACATCCCTGGCCCTGATCCTTCCCTGGTCCAGCCGCTGCCCTGGCCCTTCCCATCTTCAGGCCTTACCATGGCCCTACCCTGGTCCTGACCCTGCCCTGGTCTGGTCCTGACCCTGGCCCTACCCCAGAGAAGGGGTATGGCAGAGCCAGGGAAGGGCCGGGGCAAATAAGGGACAGGACACATCCAAATCCAGGAAAGGGCCAGGGCCATGACAGAGCCAGGGCGAGTCCTTGGCAGGGCCAGGTTCCAGGCCAGGGCCAGGAAAGGGTCATGACAGGGTCACTGTATGGCCAAGGTCCAGGCCAAAGCCAAGGCAGTGGCAGGGTCAGGTCTGCATAAGGGCAGGACGAGAGCAAGTGATATGGCAGGGCCAGGGCCAGGGCTGTGCCAGGACAGAACAAGAGCAGAGCAGGGCAGGACCAGAGCCAGGCCATAGAGAGAGTAGGGCAAATGCCAAGGCAAGGCCAGGGTAGTGCCAGGTCTGAGGCGAGGTCAGGGAAGGTCCAGGGCTGAGTCAAGGCTAGAACCAAGACGGGGCAAAGGCCGAGGCAGATCTAGGGCACAAGCGGGGCAGATCTAGGGCACAAGCATGGCAGGCTAGGGCAGGGCAATGGCAAGACCAGGTCATGGCAGGGCCAGCCCAGGATAGAACAGGGCACAGGCAGGGCAGGGCCAGGGCCATGGCTGGGGCAGGACAAGGACCAGGACCGGGGTCCAGGCCAGGGCAAGGGTATGGCCAGGGCAGAGGTAGGGCCAGAGCCAGGGTCTGGGCAGGACCAAGGCAGGTCTATTGCAGGGCCAGGGTTCAGACCAGGGCCAGAGCAGGGCTGGGACAGGGCCAGGGCCAGAACCAGGAAAGGGCAATGTCAGAACAAGGGCCATGGCAGGACCAGCAATGGGGCTGGGGCCAGGACAGGGACAGGGACAGGGTCAGGGATAGGGCCAGAATAGCATGCCAAGGTAGAGCCAGGCCAAATTAGGGCCAGGACAGGGTCAGGACCAGGGCTGGACCAGGGTATGGCCTTAAGTAGCGAACGGCCAGGGCCAGGGTCCATGCCAGTGCCAGCGCCGGTCCAGGGCAGAGGCAGGGCCATGGCCAGGTCAAGGACAAGGCTGGGGCAGGGCCAAGGTCTGGGTCAGGGTAAGCACAAGACCAGGACAGAGCCAGGGGAGGGACAGGGCCATGGTAGGGCCAGGTTAAATCAGGGACAAGACACCTGCAAATCCACTTCAGGGCCAGGTCAGGGCAGGGCCAGTTCAGGGCCAGGGCCAAGACAGGGCCAGGGTCACGGCTGCCAGGGTCATTGGCAGGGCCAGGGCCATGGCAGGACCAGGGTCAGGAGCAGGGGTCAATGCCAGGCCAAGGCCACACAAAGGACCAGGTCTGTGCTAGGGCCAGTGTGAGGGCCAAGGCAGGGTCAGGGCAGGGACAAAGGGAGGGCAGGGCCAGGGCAGGGTGGAGCAGGCCCAGGGTTGCACAGGGTTAAGGTAGGGCATGACCAACCAGGGCAGGTCTATGGCTGGGGCCGGGGCAGGGCCAGAGCCAGGGCAGGGCCAAGAGAGTGGCAGCTCCAGGGCAGGGCCAGGGTTAGGACCACGGACATGTCCAAGGCCAGTGCCAGGGCAAGGGCAAGGGCAGGGGCAGGGCCAGGTTCATCTAAGAACCAGGGACAAAGCCAGGCCCAGAGCTGGGCCAGGACAGGTACCTGGCAGGGCTAGGGTCTGGGACAGGGCCATGGCAGGGCCAGGGCCACAACCAGGTCTGTGCTATGGCCAGGTCCAACACAGTGCCCAGGTAAGGCTAGGGTGAACGCCAAGGTAGGGCCAGGGCAGGGTCAAAGCTAGGCTAGGGCCAAGGCAGGGCCAGGGCCGGCAAGGCAGGGCCAGGAAAGCATAGGGCCAAGGCAGGGCAGGGCCAGGCCAGTGCCAAGACCTGGGCAGGGCCAGGGCCAGGACAGGTCCAGGGCAGGGCCATGACAGGGCCAGGGGCTGCGTTAGGGCAAGGGCAGGGCCAGGGCAAGGTAAGGGTCAGGGCCAAGGCCAGGGTAGGGACAGGGCAAGAAATATGGCAGGACCAGGGGCAATGCCAAGGCCAAGGCTGGGCCAGGGCTGAGCCAGGGCTGAGTCAGGGCAGGGCAGGGCAGGGCATGGTATGGCCAGTACAGGACAGGACAAGAGCTGGTCCACACAGAGAGCAGAGCTGATGCCAAAGAAGAGCCAGGCTAGTGCCGAGGCTGAGGCAGTGTCAGAGCATGTCCAGGGCAGGGCCAGGGCCAGGGCCAGAACCGAGCCAGGGCACAGCCAAGGCAGGGTAGGGCAGGGAAATAGCATGGCCAGGTCAGTACTGGGACAGGGCAGAGCAGGGCAAGGCGATGGTAGTGGCAGGGCAGGGACAGGCCAATGCAGAGCCATGTTACGCCGGGGCCAGAACACCTCCAAGTTCACTTCAGGGCCAGGGCTATGGCAGGACAAAGACCAGGGCCAGGATCAGGGCCAGGTCTGTGCTAGGGCCAGCTCCAGAGCAGGGTCTAGCGAAGACTAGGGTGAGGGCCAAGGTAAGGCCAGGGCAGGGTCAAAGGCAGAGTAGGGCCAGGGCAGGGTGATGACACATCCAGAGCACAGCAGGGCAGGGTAATGGCAAGACCAGGGGCAGACCACTGCCAGCTCAGGGCCAGGGAAAGGCCAGTGCAGAGCCAGGAAAGGGTCTGGGTCTGGGTCAGGGCCAGGAACAAGGCAGAGCAGGGCCAGGGCCATGGCAGAGTCAGGGCAGGTCCTTGACAGGACCAGGTTCCAGGCCAGGGCCAGGGCAGCAGCAGGGGCAGGGCCTGGATAAGGGCAGGGCCAGGGATATGGCAGGACCAGGGCTAGGGCCAGGGCCAGGCCATAGTGAGGGCACGGCAAAAGCCAAGGCAGGGTCAAGGCAGGTCCAGGGCAGGTCCAGGGAGCGGCCAGCACCAAGCAGGGCCAAAGCACAACCAGCTCAGGGTAAGGCAGGGCAATGGCACCACTGGGCCATGACAGGGCAAGGTCAGTGCCAGGAGAGGGCAGAACAGGCAGGCCCATGGTGGGGCCAGGGCAGGGATGGGCCAAAGCAGGGCCAGGACATATCCAAGGCCAGGTCAGGGCCAGAACAAGAGCAGGACCATGACCATTGGCAGGGCCAGTGCCATGACAGGACCAGGGTCAGGACAAGGGGCAGGGCCAGAGCCAAGGTCAGGCCAGTGCAGGTTCAGGGCAGGGCCAGTGCCAGGGCAAGACCAGGGAAGGGACAGGGTAGCACAGGGCCAAGACAGGGTCAGGATGGGACCAGAGCAGGACAGGGCCGAGAGTCCAGGTAACAGTAGGGCAGGTACAGGGCAAGGCAGGGCAGTACAGGGCCAGATCCACGGCAGGCGCAGGGCAAAGCCAGGCCCATTGCCAATGCACCAGCCCTCCCTACAAGGCTCCTACCACCTGGTCACTGCTGCAGCCCGTCCATTGCTGTAAGCCTGACCCTGGCTGCAGCCGCCTGCCCTCCTAGCGTGGCCGCTCTCCTACCGCTCTGGTGCACTGCAGTCTCCGTCACTGCCACCCACCTGTAGCGAGGCGAGCCGTGGTGTTGCAGGCTCTAGGTGTCTCCTCCTCCTCCTGGCATGGAGCAGCTGGGCGGGCAAAGCCAGAAAAGCCTAGAGGAAGATGTGAGGGGTGGAAGGGTTAGAGCCTCACCTTGTCATGCCGGCCACTGGGTGGCAGGGGCCAGTTTCAGCAAAGGCACTCACACCCACCCTCCAAAGTCCAGCCTCTCCTTTTGGCCCAAGCTGGCCGGGAACTGAGGTCTGGGGTGGGTGCTGGAGACACCACAGCACCCAGCTCCCCACTCCACAGGAACCATTGGGCCCACTGGGGCTGCACTCCTTGGGGAGCAGGAGAAGCAGAAAAATTCAGACCCAGCCAGCCCTCTGCACCCAGGTGCCAATTCCTGTTCTGGACGCTTCCACGCACAGGGCCCTGTCCCCCGTGGTGTCCCCAGGGGTGCCTGGCAGCCTCTGAGGCACAGACCCAGAGTGCACAGGCCCAGGAACCACGGTGGGTGTGGGGGCTCTGCCATGCTCAGGATTCCCATGCAAACGCTGCGTGCCCTGCCGCATTCCAGTATGACCAAGAGTGGGTCGCCCTCTGGAGTGTGGAGTCAGGGAGAGGAGAACCACTCCTTCCTTGGATGCCAACTCTGTTGACCGCCACCAGCAGTGCAGCCTGATAGCACCGAACTCGTCCCCCACTCCACGGCTAGTCCTGCCCTCAATAGCACCCCCCACCTCTGTCCCCCAATGCCGCCAGTAGCGTATACCTGATAGTGCCCTAACCTGTTCTCCTCCATGGGCATTGCAGCCCCAGAAAGCACCCATAACCCACCTTCCCTGCCGTGGGCAGTGCAGCCCTGTACAGTGCTACCAACTAGTACCCCTAATGCAGGCAATGACACCCTGGATAGCGCCCCCAACCCACCCCACACTGCGAAAGGTGCAGCCCTGGATAGCCCCTGTCCTACCACTCTGGTCATGCTGCAGTCTCTGTCACCGCCACCACCAACCACAGTGAGGCAAGCCAGTGGGCCGCAGACTCTAGCACCCAGCAGCCAGGCATGGAGCAGCTCTCGCTGATGGCCGGCTCCTACCACTCTGACCACGCTGCTGTCTGTCTCTGTGGCCATCTTCTTTCACTACAAAGGAATAAAAATAGGTATCAATAAGAAAAGTAATTTTGGAAATAATACAATCACATGGAAGTTAAACACTACCCTCCTGAATAAATGACTAGCGGGTCAATGAAGATACTAAGACAGAAATTCAAAAATTTCATGAAACAAAGGGTAATGAACACACAGTATACCAAAACTTGTTATGCAGAAAGCAGTACAAAGGCAGAGATTTACAGCTATAAGTGCCTACCATCCAAACAAAAGAAAAACTTCAAGTAAACAATACATCTTAAAGAACTAGTAAAGAACAAACTAAACCGAAAATAAGAAAATAAATAAGATCGTAGCAGAAACAAAATTGAAATAAAAACCTCACAAGATTAAACGAAAAGTTGGTTTTCTGGAAAGCTAAACAAAATTGACAAACTTTTAACCAGGCTAAGTAAAGAGACAAGATTCAAATAAATAAAATCAACAGATTAAAAAAAGGAGACATTACAACTAATACTTCAGAAATTCAAAGGATCATAACTGGCTATTATATGCCAATAAATTGGAAAGCCTAGTAGAAATTGGCAAATTCCTAGATGCATACAACCTACTTAGGTTAAACAACGAAAACATCCAAGACCAGAACAGATTGGTAACAAGTAATGAGATTGAAGCCATCAGAAAAAGTCTCCCAGTAAAGAAAAGCCCAGGAACTGATGTCTTCACTGCTGATGGCTTCACACCAAACAATTTAAAGACCTAGTACAAATCCTGCTCAAACTATTTTGAAAAACAGGAGGGAATACTTCCAAACTTATTCTATGAGACCATTATTACTGTGATACCAAAATCAGACAAAAGCATCAAAGAAGGAAACTACAGGCCAGGATCTCTAATATTGATGCAAAAATCCTCAACAAAATACCACTGAATCAAATTCAGTAATACATTAAAAAGATAATTCATCATGATCAAGTGCAATGTATCCCTGGGATCAAGGGTCACTCAACATACAATGTGATACATCATATCAACCAAATAAACGACAAAAACAGTATCATCACGTCAACTGAAACCGAAAAAGCATTTGATGAAATTCAACATCCCTTCATGCTATAAATCCTCAAAGAAACGGGCACAGAAGAAACATACCGCAACATAATAAAAACTACAGGAAAGACACCCACAGCTAGAATCATATGGAATGGGGAAAAATGGAAAGCTTTTCCTCTAAGATCTGGAACATGATAAGGATGCCCCCTGTCACCACTGTTGTTTAACATAGTACCAGAAATCCTAGCTAAAGCAATCAGTGCAGCCCCTGATATGGCCCCCAACCCACCCTGCCCCCTACCACCAGCAGTGTCGCCCCCCCCCCAATAGCACACCCAACGTAGGCAAACCGCCCCGCCTCCCTGCACCATGGGCATTACAGCACCCCATAGCGCCCTCAACCCGAAACCGCCACACCACCCCCCACAGCCGCACAGTGCAGCCCTGGATAGCACACTTAGCCCACCTCACTGTTGCCAGCAATACAGTCTGGGATAGTGCCCCCAACCGGCTCCCCGCCAAAGGCAGTGCAGCCCCGGTTTGGGCCCCCAAACCACCCCCCGGTGCAGGCAGCACAGCCCCAGATAGCACACCCAACCAGCCACCCAAGACGGGCAGTGACGCCTGAGATAGGGCTCCCAACCCGTCCCAGGCCACCCGCAGTGCAGCCTGGATAGTGCACTTACCCCGATGCCTTTCTACGCTCTGGCTGGCTGCAGTGTCCATCGCTGCCACCAACCACAAACAGGGCTGCAAACAGGAAGTATTTTATTCACCGTCGATGCGGCCCCGAGTTGTCCCAAAGCGAGGCAGTGCCCCAAGGTCTGTGCAGAGCAGAACGCAGCTCCGCCCTCGCGGTGCCACCGGCCCGCCCGCCCGCCCGGGTCTGTGCTGAGGTGAACACTGCTCCGCCTTCGCTGTATCTCCGAAGTCTGTGCTGAGGAGAACGCAGCTCCGCCCTCGCAAAGGCACACAGCGCCGGCGCGGGCGTGGCGGAGAGGCGGACAGCAGCGGCACGGCGGAGAGGCAGACAGCGACGGAGAGGCGGACAGCGGCGCAGAGGCGGACAGCGGCGGCACGGCGGAGGGGCGGACAGCGGCGGAGAGGCGGACAGCGGCGGCGCGGCGGAGAGGCGGACAGCGGCGGAGAGGCGGACAGCGGCGGCGCGGCGGAGAGGCGGACAGCGGCGGAGAGGCGGACAGCGACGGAGAGGCGGACAGCGGCGCAGAGGCGGACAGCGGCGGCACGGCGGAGGGGCGGACAGCGGCGGAGGGGCGGACAGCGGCGGCGCGGCGGAGGGGCGGACAGCGGCGGAGAGGCGGACAGCGGCGGCGCGGCGGAGAGGCGGACAGCGGCGGAGAGGCGCACAGTGCCGGCGCTGGCGCGGAGAGGCGCAGGCCCAGGCTCCACTCCCCAGCTGTGAAAGGGTAAGAACTGAGGGTGGCTGAGACTCGGGGTTGTTCAGGGCGGGGTGGGCTCTGGACCCAGCAGGCCTGGCACCCAGGTCAGGGCTCCAGGGGAGGCCAGGTGGGCGAAGGCCAAGAAGGGGCTGGGGCTGGTCAGGAAGGGCTCCTGGTGACCAGAGCACTTTGCGTGAGCCAGCGTGGGAGGAAGGTGGGCTGGATGAGCCAGGGAGGCGCCGGGAGGGGCCTTGGCAGAGGCGACCCCCTCCGTCAGCCCCCAGGCCACTGAACCCTGGGTAGCGAGAACCGACAGGGGAGACTGCAGACAGAGGAGTGGAGGCTCCCCGGCTTTGGGGGCTCTGAGTGGAAGCATCTAGGGGGTCCCTCAAGAGGCCCCCAAACGCTTCCCCATGGTGAAAAAAGAAGGCGCAGAGAGGGGCACGGCGCCGGCGCCGACGCAGAGGGGCGCACAGTGAGATTTGCTGTGATTTCTTTTATTGCCCCAAATGTACTTCATCTTGGTAGATTTCTATTGGCTTTAAAAATGTGTGTGTTTTGCTGTTGGGGAGTGGGGTATTATACGGATGTCAGATTTTGCTGGTTGACTGTTCAGATCTTTTGTAAATCCTTGCTCCTTTTCTGCCTAGTTTCACTCTGTCACTTACACTAGAGTGCGGTGGCACGAACATGACTCACTGCAGCCTTGACTTCCTAGGGTCAAGTACTTCCCCTGGCTTAACCTCCTGACTAGCTGGTACTATAGGTGTGTGCCGCCACACCTGACTAAATTTAAAATTTTTTGGAGAGATGAGGCCTTGCTATGTTGCCCAGGCTCGAACTCCTGGCCTCAAGCTATCCTTTGTCTTTGCCTCCCAGAGTTCTGGGATTACAGGCATGAGCCACTGTGCCCGGCCTCTGCCTAGTTTTAACAGTTGCTAAGAGGAGGATGTTGAAGTAGATGTCTTCTTGGTGGGTCAATCCTTTTGTCATTAAGCAGTTGTTATGGTCACTTCCTTTTCACCCCATTGGTGAAGGAGGGGTCCCTGCCCTAAAGTGTAGGAGATGGCTGAACACGACACCTGGCGTGGATGGATGAGATTGACAGCAGTGTTTTAGTCACATATACCCACAGCTCAGAGGAGGACACTGCATGCCACACAGGGTCAGATGGGCACCGCACTCTGTAGCGGAGTGAGGGCTGCAGGCTGAGGAAGCAGGCAGGCTTGATAGTAACAAGAGCACACAATGACCAATGGTTCCCGAGGGGGAATGCAATTGGCTTGTTTGAATAAATTCATGGGCTGGCAGACAGGTGAAGTGAAACTTCTTAGGCTGAGGTGCAACTGTTCTGGCTGATAAAAGAACTAGCCAGGTGGGGAGCCTTTCCTGTTGGGTGGCAGGGTAGGGGGTGTCTGGTAGAAACAGGAAAACCCACGGCTAGGCCTTTGGGGCCCTGTGAGGCTCAAAGATGTCAAGGCAGCATAGGAAATTTTAGATCTTAAAATTCAACGAAGACCCTCTCCAGCTCTGGTAAATTATTTTGCTTGAAGTCTACTTCATGAGATATTAATATATTCACTCCTGCTTCCTTAAAAAATTAATGATTTCACAGGATATCTTTCTCCATTCTTTTACTTTCAACCTACTTAGGTCCTTAAGTGAGTTTGAAGTTTCTTATGAACAGTATTTAGTTGGGCCATGTGTTTATTATAGGCTCTCCATCAATCTGTCTTTTGGTTTATTTAGACCATTTACATTTAAGGTGCTTATTGTTACATAATTGCTTATGTCTGATGTTTTTATTATTTGCTTTTTTGTTTCCTTTTTCTTTCCCTCCATCTTGATCTATTTCTGTATAATGTTGTTGCGTGTATCTCTTTGTATAGTCTTAAAGTGTTTGCTCTGGATGTTACAATATGTGTATTGTAATATAGTAGTCTACTGGTACCAGTATTTACCACTTCAAAGTGTGGAAACCTGCCTTGCATTTATGTCTCTTTACCTTTTCCACTTGTATAAATCACTGGCTTGAGTATTAGGTGGTGGTATAGTTTTTGTTTCAGTCGTCAAATGTGATTTTAAGAACTGTGGATTGTCTCGCGTATGTATCCACATTTCTGGTCTTTCCTTTGTCCCTCCTCCCGTAGTCCCATATTCATCCCTTCTGCATAAGAACTTTCTATAGCCATTTTTTATTTTGATTTTTTTGTTTTAATTTTTTGTATTGTGGAAATGACAGAACATATTTCTGTAGCCACTTTTTAGCATGTCTAAATTGACCAGTGACAAATTCCTATATTCTCTTCCTCGGAGAATGTCTTTATTTCTCTCTTCATTTCTGAAGGGTAGTTTCATGGGATATAGAATTTGCAGCGAACAGTTTTTTGTTTGGTTGGTTTTTTTGTTTGGTTGGTTTTTTTTAAGCACTTGAAAATGTTGTGCCACTTCCTTCTGGCCTCCATGGCATTTGAATTGGCGTGTCCCTACAGGCATTCTGCCATTTTTGGTCTTTGTTTTTAGTTTTGAAAGTTTAATCAGTGTTGCTTTCTTTTGGTATACTTTGAGGTTTGCTCAGCTTCTTGAATCTGTAAGTTTATATCTTTCACCAAATGTGGGAAGCCTCAGGAATTAGTTATTTGCATGCTTTCACAGCTCTGGTCTCCTGTGGGACTCAGATAACATAAATGCGTGGTCTTTTGTTATCGTCCCACAGGTCCGTGCAACTCTGTTCATTTGTTTTCAGGTTATTTTCTCTCTATTGTTTAGACCGGGTGAATTCTGTTGATCAGGTTTCAGCTTCTCTGATTCTCTCCTCTGTCGTCTCCACTTTTACTCAATAGAGCCCATCCAGTTAGATTTTTTTAAAATTTCTTTTACTGTATTTTATATTTCTGTAATTTCCATTTGATTCTTCTTCAGTTTCTTTGCTGACGTTTTCAGTTCTTTGATTGTTGCCATAGGATTTGTAGTTGCTTGTTGAAGCATTTTTATACTGGCTGTTACAAGTGATGAGTCAGATGGTTCCAACATCTGCCTATGTAATTTTTTTTATTTTTGCAGGCAGTCCTCCTGTTTAGGTTTAGTCTGTAGGTCTTGGTCTACTTTGTGGGCTGTGATTGCAATGGCAATTTAATTTCAGAGCTTTCATGGTGTTATTTTGGTCTGTTTGGCTTATATGTATCACTGGGATTCTCCCACCAGTCCCTTCTGTTGCCCACCTGAGGGAACAGGGGAGCTGCCCCAGGCTGGGCCACCTGCTGCAGCTAGGTGGGTGGGGAATGGTGGTGGTCTTGGTGTGTGGAGCTGGTTTTCTTGTTGTGGGGAAGATCTCCTTTGATCTGCAGGGACTGAGTCTGCCTGGGTTGCCTTCTATTGCTACGTTGGGAGTTGGGAAACTCTGGGCCTGGGTCACCTTCCTATTGGATGAGGTCCAGGGAGACACCTGGCTACTATGCATTCCCTAGTCCTAGAGTCCCTCAGCAGCCTTTTTCTGTCCACCTTTTGGAATTCTCCATTGATCCTCTCCTGTCTATTATTTCTACAATTTGGGTTACATTTCTTAGGAGGGTATAATGTGTTATCTTCTCTAGACCAGAAATCCTTAGTGGTGGTTTCGGGTTGTAACTGTGCTAAAGGGAGAATTGGCATATTTGTGATGTCGAATCTTTCTTTTCAAATGAGGACGTATCATTATTCAGTATATAATATTTACAACACCTACTTCCTTGGGTTGAAGAATGTGGTTAAGGCAAGGAAAGTACTTAACGCAGTGCCTGGTGTGGAGAGCACTTACGAGTGTTGGTAGTGATGCTATTCCTTTTGTCCTTTGGTAGCCTATTAAAGCTTTTCTTCTTTTTTAAAAAATAAAGTTCCGGTGCACTTCTTGTTAGGTTTATTCCTATTTTATCCTTTTTTGCTTTTATTACAAATAGGAGCTTCCTATCTTTTATAATGTCTACCTGGTTCTTTGGCCCTTATGTGAAAATGTTTTAATAGCCTTCTAAATATTGCTCTCCCAAATGAGTTTTAACTTGCCTCTTTCTTTTGTTATCCTTTTTTTGAGACAGGGTCTCACTCTGTCACCCAGGCTGGAGTTCAGTGATGCAATTATGGCTCACTGCAACCTCTGCCTCCCGGGCCCCCAAAGTGCTGGGTTTACAGTGTGAGCCACTGCACCCAGCCTTACTTGTCTATTTCTTTTAAGAGTGGGAACTATAATTGAGCCCAGAGCTCCAAAAACAAATGAAGGAATGAATAAGTGAATAAGCTCTTCCCATGGGTTTGGTGTGGTTTGGGGCTCTACTCTTAATCTAAATGCTATGTTTTATATAATCTAAAATTTCCCCTAGGTGTGTTACATGATTGTGTTGTGTTGAACTTACATTGAGACTCCTTTTCACATGTACTGGTTATCAGCGTGGGACTTTTCCATTCACTCTTTGAATTATTCGTTTGGGGGACACAGATAGACCTCTGTGTCTTTCATAAAGAGTGTCCATTGGCCGGTTGCAGTGGCTCATGCCTGTAATCCCAGCACTTTGGGCGGCTGAGGAGGGCACATCACGAGGTCAGGAGTTCGAGACCAGCCTGGCCAATATGGTGAAATCCCATCTCTACTAAAAATACAAAAATGTTGGGAGGCCGAGGCGGGCGGATCACGAGGTCAGGAGATCGAGACCATCCTGGCTAACACGGTGAAACCCCGTCTCTACTAAAAATACAAAAAATTAGCCGGGCGTGGTAGCGGGCGCCTGTAGTCCCAGCTACTCGGGAGGCTGAGGCAGGAGAATGGCGTGAACCCGGGAGGCGGAGCTTGCAGTGAGCCGAGATCGCGCCACTGCACTCCAGCCTGGGCGACAGAGCGAGACTCCGTCTCAAAAAAAAAAAAAAAAAAAAAATACAAAAATGAGCCAGGCCTGGTGGCAGGTGCCTATAATCCCAGCTACTCGGGAGACTGAGGCAGTAGAATTGCTTGAACCTGGGAGGCAGAGGTTGCAGTGAGCTGAGATTGTGCCACTGCACTCCAGCTTGAGTGACATAGTGAGACTCCGTCTCCAGAAAAAAAGAAAAAAAGAAACAAAAGAGTGTCCATTATCTATACTGGAAAAATTGAGATTGGGATTTTGACATGAAGTGCGGAAATGTGGATTGGGTCCATTTAGTTTACCTAAACAGATGATGAAATACTAACCGTTTTATGAAGCATTCCCTAGTGCAAAGTTTTGCCTGTGTGTCTAGTGACGGGAGCAGTGAGAATGAGGCTTGGAACACAGAGCGCATTGTGGGCCTGTCGTGGGTGGGGCCAGCAGCACATGCATGCCGGGCTCACAGAGCAGCCTTTGGGTGTTCTTTTCCCAGAGGAGCTCTATGGTGACTTTGAAGACTTGGAAACAGGGGACGTGCACAAGGGAAAATCGGGCCCCGATACTCAGGTATGTCTTTGTTGTAGCTGGCTGTTCTTGGTCATTGTGTTCTGAGAGAGGCCCATATTGAGAAATGCAAATCTTACTTGTGATGTGTGAAGATTGCAGATGGGATGGATAGATTCCTTCCTAAAGGGTGGGGATGTGGAGACCAAAGAGAAGCTTTCTTGTTTACTTGTTAAGTTTTGGACGACAGTTACTACCGTTTCTTGCCGTAGTCATTTGCCAAGTCCACTGTGATTTTTCACTCACAGAAGTCTTAGCTTCTCAGACTTACATTCAACCATTGCCATCATTCTCCTCTTTTTAAATTTAAGTGTCATTTAAAAGAATGAAGTCCCTGTTCTCCCTAATATTTCTTTAGAACAGGGTCTGGGAGCATCTGGGTGAGGGACATATCTGTTATTTTTATTCTAGTTTGTGTTCCCAGCCAGCTTAAGGAATAGCAGCTAATTGTAATGCAGATGTAACAATTTCATGTAGCAGTACCATGTTATTCAGAGACCAAGGTTATGTTGTGTTTTGTTTTGTTTTATTGATAACGATAACAGATTTTTGCTAAGATTTTTGTTTAAATAGAACTTTAAAAAATCTAACGTTTAAAGAAAAGACCTTCATAAACATACACAAAATTTTTTCTCCTGGAAATTTAAGAATGAAGATATAGAGAAACAAGAAAGAAATTGACCCTGATGAAGAAGAAAGTGCCAAGAAAAAGCATTTGGATAAGAAGAGAAAATTGAAGGAGATGTTTGATGTGGAATATGATGAAGGAGAAAGCACATATTTTGATGATCTTAAAGGAGAAATGCAGAAACAAGCACAGGTGAGAAACCTCAGTTCCTCTTAGCCCCTTGTCAAGACTATCACATAGTGCAGGAATCCCTGACTTTCTTTGGGTCCCTGCTTCCTATCCTGCTTCTGTGCCTTTCAGTTGGACTCCTGGGTAGATGCATGTGAGTGTGTTTATTCATGCAGTGAGCTCATTGTTTCTACAGTCAGAAGGTCACCAGAAAAAGATCCATACCTATTTTGTAACAAGAATTAGGAAACCGAAATGACTGAGACATGGTCTCTACTTTTGAGACTTTTACAATGTAGTGATCTAAGACAGTGTGTTCATTTCAGTGCAAGCCAATGCTGCCTATTCTGATCGCTGCTCCCTGATTTGAATGGCAGGTGATCAGTGGCCTGTGTGGCTTATGGACACACAAGAGCTCCCAGGGGAAGTGCTCTCAAAACATCCTGGTCAGAGTTCAGAAGGACATGTGGAGTATAAGGTCAGATGCGGAGATAAGGGAGATGGTGTGGCCCTCCTGCCTGGGGGTGCTGAGCAGGTTGCTGGAGGCGGTGATCTCACTCTGAAGGAGACAGACACAGAAACGTGTGTACAGTTGATGGTGAGCATCTGAGTTGCGTCTTGTTAGTGAGGCCAGGAGTGCCTGTGTAAGCTGGAACAGATTAGGTGTATGATTTGTGAAACGGAGTTTCATCCTAGGTCTTCATCTAGTCAAAGGACTGTTTCCTGATTAGGCATTAGCTTAGTGGTTGCTAGTCTGTGTTGACCTTTGAAAGGCATGACTAGGCTAACTCTGAAGTTTTTGCTTCACACCATTTACAATTTAAAATTACCTAGAGCCTTGTGTGCCATTGGAAAAGACTGAATGTTTCACTCTGAAATGGGAGTCCTTGGAGGGTTTTGAGCAGAGGAGAGACATTCAGGTAATCAGATCACTCTGCCAAGAGATCAGTCTGGTAGAGATCAGTCCGGTGGCACAAACCAGAGGGCTGGCAGTGGAGATGAGACAAAGAGTCAAACCTGGATAGAGTTTATTTGGAAGCTGGGTCAGTAGGATTTCCTGGTGGACTGAATGTGGGATGTGTGAGAGGAAATGAGGATGGCGGCTGGAAATTCCTGGAAGGATGGGTTGTTGCAGGTTAGATAGGAAACTGTCTGCAGATGCAGTTTTGGGAAGATGATGTTTGGTTTGGCTGGGTATCATGCAGACAAGCGGAGCGTCAAGTCTGGAGAGACAGGTCTGGCCAGGGACTTAGATGTACAGCCGTCAGCATGTAGATGCCACTTAACTCTGTGAGGTAGCCAGGGAGTGAGTGCAGAGTGACTGGGAGGAGCAAGACTGGCATGGGCGAGATGGGGCGATTGCGGCTGTGAGGCCTGAGCAGTGCCGAGGAGGGAGAGGGAGAAGCAGTGTGAGCATGCAGGCACGCAGGAGTCCAGTTGTACATGGAGGCGAAGCACTGTTCAGATCCCGCTGCAGTGTTAACTACGGTAAAGGCAGAGTTGACCACTGGAGGAGTCCTTCAGCGTGGAGGCCTTCAGCAATCTTGGCAAGCACCAATTTTCATGGATGTAGGAGAATGGGAGCAGAGGAACTGGAGGCTGCAACTGCAGAAAACTTTTGTGGGGTTTTGCTGCAGAGAGAAGCAGAGAAATGAAGCAGTTTTTGGTGGAAGAAGTGGAATCAAAAGGTTTTGAGATAAGAGAGAGAACAGAGGGAAGAGCTGTTGGAATAAAATCCAGGAAGAGTGGATGGTGTCTAGTGAGCAAGTGATGTGTGGCCCGGAGTAAAGGCATGGACAAATCATCTGTGCCTGAGCTGCCCGTAGAACTTTCTGTGATCATGGAGATGCACGTCTGTGCTTCCCAGTATTGTGACACTGGCCGCAGGTTGATATGGACCACTTCCAGTGTGACTAGTGTGATTGAGGAACTGCATTTTTAATATTATGTAATTGTAATTAATTTTAATTTAAATAGCCACACATAGCTCCTCTATGGGCCAGGTCAGAGCTCTGATAAGGCTGGATATGGGAGGAAACCCTGGTAGAGGGTTGACCATAGAGGTTCTTTTGGTTTTGGAGTGAATCAGGAAACAGCCATCAGCTGAGTGAAGGTGAGGGTGGTGGTGGGTGTTTGAAGACAAGAGAAAAGTGTGAAAGAATTGTTTGGAGAGGAAGGAAAGAAGGTGTGGACTGGGGATGTTTCCAATGTTTGAGCACGCAGGGCTCCACAGTTATCTACATTTGCTGTCCCTTGGAGCAGGAGAGAAGAAAACGGTTGGGACATATTCTGAGCAGACTGTAGAGGTAAAATGTGTAGGTTTTTTTTGTTTTTTTGTTTTTTGAGATGGAATCTCGCTCTATTGCCCAGGCTGGAGTGCAGTGGCACGATCTTGACTCACTGCAACCTCCGTCTCCCAGGTTCAAGCGATTCTCTCACCTCTGCCTCCTGAGTAGTTGGGACTATAGGCAGGCACCACCACACCCAGCTGATTTTGGTATTTTTAGTAGAGACGGGGTTTCACCATGTTGGCGAGGCTGGTTTTAAACTCCTGACCTCATGTGATCTGCCCGCCTCGGCCTCCCAAAGTGCTGGGATTACAGGCATGAGCCACTGTACCCGGCCAAATGTGTAGTATTTTTAATAGGATAAAGCCTACATAATTTTGTCCACAGTTCCTTTACTTAGAAATTGCTCATTTGTTCATGTTAATCCTATGTTTATTACAGATAACAGCATACAGGTTCCCCGCCCCCCGCCCCGTCATGTACAGTTGAATCATGCAGAATTTGAAGATCAAGATGATGAAGCCAGAGTTCAGTATGAGGGTTTTCGACCTGGGATGTACGTCCGCGTTGAGATTGAAAATGTTCCCTGTGAATTTGTGCAGAACATTGACCCCCATTACCCCATTATCCTGGGTGGCTTGGGCAACAGCGAGGGAAATGTTGGATACGTGCAGGTGGGTCCTTTTGCTGCATATTTGGTGCCTGAGGCTCTGTGGATTTCCCCTCCATCAATCATCTTACCCTCTCATCCCCTTCAGATGCGTCTGAAGAAACATCGCTGGTATAAGAAAATCCTCAAGTCCCGAGATCCAATCATATTTTCTGTAGGGTGGAGGAGGTTTCAGACCATCCCGCTCTATTATATCGAAGACCACAATGGAAGACAAAGGCTTCTAAAGTATACCCCACAGCACATGCATTGTGGAGCAGCCTTTTGGGGTAAAATATGATTACAATAACTTGCCTATTGCCGAGATTAAACCTTACAGGCTGCGTTATTTTAGCTTTGTGCTTTTCCTTTCATAAAATTCCACTCCTAAGATTTTTCTCTTTTCTGGGAGCGGGGAGGTGGTTTGGAGTATATATGTAAATCTATATCCAAATCTAAATGTCCATATCCAGTATGTTAAACTAGAATCTAAAATTTGTGGTTTGCTATATTTCTTTTTTTCCTTTTCCTTTAAGACCCTATCACTCCACAGGGAACTGGTTTCTTGGCAATACAGTCTGTCAGTGGCATAATGGTAACTATCTTGGATGATTTCTTTTACAGATTGGTTTGAGAAATATATCCTGAATGTGGGTTATTATGTACATGAGACTTTAAATTGAAAATTACTCATTTTTATTAATATAAAGTAAATTTCCCTTTGCTTTTAATCTTCGTACATCCTTTTCAGTAGGGTGTGGGATTAGAGGAGGGGAGGTGGAAGAATTATAATGGTACATTTCCTATTTTTGTGCATCTTTTGCATTTATTTATCTAAGCAAGTATTTAAGCAGTGCTCACCATGTGCTAAGCACTATATGAGGTTATGAGGAGCCATCAGAGACCACCCAGACACAAGACTCCCTGCAGCTGTGCTGGGGTAGCAGTCTGTTCACTCCATTTTCATTTGACCAGTCACGCAGGGCAGGGTTTACTGGTCCCATTTAACAGAGAAGAAAGCAGAATAATGAGCAGATGGAATCTTCCCTGGAGGTCCAAATTTTAATTTCCTAAACATTGCAACTGTATTTTTCTTTTCCATTTCGTTCCAAATAAATCATTATAGTAAAATTACATTCCTCTGAAATCACTCTCAGGAAAGTACTCAAGTAGCCTTTTTTTTTCTTTCTTTTTTTTTTTTTTTTTTGAGACAGAGTCGCACTCTGTCATCCAGGCTGGAGTGCAGTGGCACGATCTTGGCTCGCTGCAACCTCTGCCTCCTGGGTTTAAGCGGTTCTCCTGCCTCAGCCTCCCAAGTAGCTGGGATTATAGATATGAGCCACTGTGCCCAGCCTCAAGTCACCCTTGTTAGTTTGGCTTACCAACTTTAAAGTTTTGGATTGCTTTTGTCAAACCACTGGGTTGCAAGTTCAGATGGTCTCTCTTGTTTTTCTTAGCTAATTGTCAGTAAAATTCACTTTGGTAATTTATTGTGTCACATAGAATTGAAGTTTTTCTTTTGCTAATATTATTCCTATTTTCAAATTTTGGGGTTCCTGTTAGCCTGATTTTCGGATAGCTGCCACAGGAGTTGTCCTTGATCTGGATAAATCCATAAAAATTGTGAAGAAATTAAAGCTAACTGGTTTTCCACTTCATTTATTAAGGTCTGTATATCTATATATTCTCATATTTATAAATCTCCATATTGTTTGAGAAAAGGAATGAAATACCTCTAAAATATGGGCCTCATTTTTAGAAAAGTGTTTGAAATCTTTTATAAACTTCATATTTTGTTTGCTCCTTTATATTCTGTATTACTTAAATATGCTCAAAAAAGCAGTGGTAAACAGCTATTTAGGAATTGAGGCTGTTACTCCTGACTTCCATGTGAGACTGCCACAGAACTCATATTGAAAATATGTCATTTTATCCACTAGGTTTTGTTTCCTACTTTTTAAATTTGTGTTAAGAAAGGGAAAAAAATCACAAGTTTGTCTAACTCGGTAGAAAAATCGACAAAGCATTTGCAGACAACTTGGCAAGGGTACAGAGAAACGGACGTACTGTTTTTCAGTATTTGGGGAGGGTGGTTTGAGCAGCATTTATTGACAATTTCATTAGTGGGGATGTTTCTATTGAAAACACAGAGTTAGGAAGTCATAAAATGTTCTTGCAATATAAGGTAATAATACCACCAGCATTTATCTTACTGTTTTCATGTTCTAAGTGCATGCATCTGAGTAAAAGGATCTGGGCTGCAGTCCAGTCTGAGAGATGCCAGCAAAGGCTTCCTAGGCCAATTCAGTCCAGTAAATCCCTCTTCGATCTTCTCTTCCACACAGACAGCAGTGATGAGCATGCCCATGAACTCACATGATTATTTTGGGGAAAATGAAAGAGTTGTATTCTTTTTGAGGTAGTAATTCCACTTTCAGGGGCAAATACATTTTGATTATTTTATCACCCTTCAGTGAGTTGTTTTTGTTCTTTAATCAAGGATGTATGTTTGAAGTAAGAAGTAAAGCATAAAGTATATGATTTTGTGTGTGTGTGTTTTTTTATCTTGCTACACCTGTAGGGAATGTTTAATTCTGCCTTGGACGTGGCCAAATTTGAAGGTGCTGTGATTTGAACTGTCATTGGGATAAGGGGGCAGATCAAGAAAGCACTCTGAGCTCCAGAAGGAGCTTTCTGGGCCAGCTTTGAGGATAAGCTGCTGATGAGCGGTGAATGTCTTAAGTAGTATTCAGGGCAGGGTGTTACCATTCATGCTTGACTTCTAGCCAGTGTGATGAGAGGCTGGAGTCAGGTCTCCAGAGAGTTGAGCAGCTCCAGCCTTAGATCTCCCAGTGTTATGCGGTGTGCCCATTCGCTTGTGTCTTCAGCCCCCTGGCCACACCCAGTAACAGTTCTGTGATCTATGAGAATAGTTCCCTTAGCGACCTTTCCCTTCAAATACTTTGCAGCCAGGTAGAGAAGTTTGGAGTGAAGGTTTTGTTCTTTGTTTCTTCGCAATATGGATATGAATCTTCTTTTGAAAATGTTAAAGTAAATTACCTCTTTTCAGATATTGTCTTCATGCGAACTTGGTATCCTGTTTCCATCCCAGCCTTCTATAACCCAGTAGCATCTTTGTTGAAACCAGTGGGTGAGAAAGACACCTGGTCAGGAATGCGGACCACGGGCCAACTCAGGCTCGCCCATGGTGTCAGACTAAAGGCAAACAAGGACTCTCTGTATAAGGTACTGGTCGTGTGTGTGTTAGTAGAGATGAAGCCTGTGCTCTACAGACAGGGAGTCACACAGACACTTTTCTATAATTTCTTACGTACTTTGAATGTTCAAGTATAAAGTCTAACGTTAAATTTGATTGAACAATTGTATATTTTTGGGATATTTTGGAATGGAACACCAAAAAATGGTAATAGTGGTTCTTTCTGGATTGAAGACAAACTTTTCCTTTTTAAAATAAATTTTATTTTATGTATTTGAGGTTGACAATATGATCTTAAAGGATACATATAGATAGTAAACTGGTTACTATAGTGAAGCAAATTAACATAGCTACCATCTCACATAGTTAGATTTTTGTTTGTGTGACAGGAACAGCTAAAATCTACTTATTTAACAAAAATCCCAAAGACAATATATTTTTATTAACTATAGCCCTCATGATGTACACTAGATCTCTAACTTGTTCATCCTACATGTCTGCTACTTTGTATTATTTTAATGTACATCTCCCCATTTCCTATTGGTCATTTCCTATTTGGCCCATTTTTCAACTGGGTTGTTTTTCTGCTATTAAGTTGTAAGAGTTCTTTACTGATTTTTGGATATTAACACTTTATCAGATATGTGGTTTGCAAATATTTCTTCCAGTCTGTAGGTTCCCCTTTCATTTTGTTGGTTGTTCCTTTGCTGTGCAGAAGCTTTTTAGTTTGATGCAGTCCTCCTTGTTTATGTTTACATTTGTAGCCTGGCTTGTGGTGCGATATCCAAAAAATTATTGCTAAGGCCAATGTCAAGAGGCTTTCCCCCTATGTTTTCTTCTAGGAGTTTTATGGTTTCAGGTCTTATTTGGGTCTTTGGTCTTGTATCTGTTTTGAGTTGATTTTTGTGTATGGTGTATGATCAGGGTCCAGTTTTATTCTTTTGCATGTGAAAATCCTATTATTGAAGAGACTATCTTTTTTACCATTGTGTTGTCTTGTTTGCCCTTGTCAAAAATTAGTTGACAGTATATGTTTGGATTTATTTCAAAGGTCTCTGTTCTGTTCCATTGGTCTATTTTTTTGTTTTTGTGCCAGCACCATACTGTTTTGATTACTGTAGCTTTGTAATACAATTTTAAATCAAGAGGTGTGATGCCTCCAACTTTTTCTTTCACAGTAATCTGTTGGCTGTTTGGGGTTTTTTGTGGTTCCATATGAGTTTCAGGATTGTTTTTTCTTTTCTTTTTTTTTTTTTTTTTTGAGGCAAAGTCTCACTCTGTCGCCCAAGCTGGAGTGCAGTGGCATAATCTCGGCTCACTGAAACCTCTGCCTCCTGGATTCAAGCAATTCTTCTGCCTCAGCCTCCCAGGTAGCTGGGACTACAGGCACATGCCACTATGCCTGGCCAGTTTTTGTAGTTTTAGTAGAGACAGGGTTTCACTATGTTGGCCGGGCTGGTCTCCAACTCCTGACCTCGTGATCCGCCCGCTGCGGTCTCCCAAAGTGCTGGAATTACAGGCATGAGCCACTGTGCCTGGCCAGGATTGTTTTATTCTGTTCTGTGAAGAATGCCATCAGAACTTTGATGAGGATTGTGTTAAATCTGTATATTTGCTTTGGGTAGTGTGAACATTTTAACAATATTAAGTCTTCTGATCCATAAACATAGGATGTCTTTTCATTTGTTCATGTCTAAATTTCTTTCATCAATGTTTTATGGTTTTCAAGTGTACACATCTCTCACCTTCTTGGTTAAATTTATTCCTAAGTTTTTGTTTTTCTTTGATGCTATCGTAAATGAGATTATTTTCTTGATTGCTTCGTCAGCTAGGTTATTTGTATATAGAAATGCAACTGATTTTTATATGTTGAGTTTATACCTTGCAGCTTAACTGAATTGATTTAGTAGTTCTCACAGTTTTTTGTGGAATCTTTGGAGTTTTTTACATAAAGGATCTTGTCATCTGCAAATAGAGATAATTTTACTTCTTTAATTTAGTTGCCTTTTTTTCTCATCTGATTGCTCTTGCAAGTACTCTATTGAATAAAAGTGATGAGGCTGGCCATCCCTATCTTGTACTCAATCTTAGTGGAAAAGCTTTAGTTGTTCCCCACTAACTATGATTAGACTGTGGGTTTTTCATAAATGGTCTTTATTATGTTGAGGAACTTTCCTTCTATACATAAACTATTAAGAGGTTTTATCAAGAAAGGTTGCTAAACTTTGTTAAATGCTTTTACTGCATCAATTGAGATGACCATGTCGTTTTATCTTTCATTGTGTTAATGTGATATATCACATTGATTGATTTACATATTTTAAACCAGTCTTGCATGCCAGGGATAAATCCCACTGAAACACGATGTATAATGTTTTTGATGTGTTGTTGAATTCTATTTGCTAAAATTTTTTTAGGATATTTGCATCAGTTTTTAATTTATTGGAGAAGTTGACCTGTAGTTTTTCTTTGTTTGGGGTGTGTGTGTGTGTGTGTGTGTGTGTGTGTGTGTGTGTGTGTTTTGGTTTGGCTTAGGTATTAAGGTGATACTGGCCTGGTAAAATGTGTTTGGAATTATTTCCTCTCGCTCTGTTTTTGCGAAGAGTTTAAGAAGTAAACTCCCAGGGGATGGGAGTGACTCTGGACATGGGAGTGACATGATAGTGACTCTGGAACCTGCCGTGGTGGGACACAGCAGCATCTCAGTCTCTGTGAGGCCAGATGCAGCATCAGCAAGGACCCCAGAATGGTGGAGCCCTACTGTGGCTTGGGCCCTTAGGGGCAGGGACCAGTGCAGCAACTACTTCTCTCCCTGGGGAGGCAGGTGCCTGGGCAACTCAGATTCTCCAGAGCTAGTCCAGTTCCAAGGAAGCAGGGTTCTACAGTTGTTTGTCCTGAAGGGCAAGGTACCCCAGTTCAGCCAATGCCATTTTCCTAGGATATGGGGGTGCCATGTTGGCTCATCCCTGGCAGGTGTGGCTGCTCAGCTCAGCCAAGACACTGATTCCCTGTGAAGCAGGGCAGCGCTTCAGCTCTCGTGCAGTGGGGGGTGTGACTGCTCAGACTGGCCAAGGCACTGATTCCCTGGAAAGCAGGGCACCAAGTCAGCTCAGGCTCCAAGGGGCAGGGCACAATGGCAGCTGGGAGGGGAGGGGCACAGCAGCGTAGCCCCACAGGTGGGGTGTATGCTGTGATGTGGACATCATTTGTTCCCACCAGCCATTTGAAATTTCATCCATTTGAAATTTGATTCCAAATGTGGTGGTGTGGGAGGTGGGGCCTAGTGGGAGGTATTTGGGTCACAGGGCAGATCCTTTATGAATAGATTAATGCCTTTTCATGGGACTGGATTAGTTACCAGGAGTGGATTGTTATCAGAGTGAGTTCAGCTTCCTAGACTCTCGTGTTTCCTCTCTTGCCATGTGAGCCCCTTGCGTACACCTGTTTCGCCTTCCACTTTCCCCATGAGATGAAGCAGCCCAAGACCCTCGCCACTTGTGCTGCCCGATCTCGGACTTTTCAGACACAAGCAGGGTGAGCCAAATAAACCTTTTTTATAAAATAAGTTACCCCGAGTCTCAAGTATTCTGTTACAGCCACACTAAATGGCCTAAGACAGTGTAACAGCGGCTCGGGGGTGGTGGGCCACTAGGTGGGTGTGATATACAGCAACAGAGCCTGAGGTTGGAAGAAGGGTGCGGTGGCTGCTCCCCCTGGGTGGGACATGCTCCCGAAGTGGTCCAGGTCCAGGAGGGCACGTTGCAGCAGCAGCTGGTCCATGGGGGTGGGGCACAATGTCAGTTCCTTCTCTGAGGGGAGTGCTGGGGCTACTGGGCCCCTCTTGCTTCCTTTTCCCTGCAGGGAGATATCCCCTCTGCTTCAGGCTGATCCCTCTGGGGGAGTGGGTGGTGGGGGCCAGATGTTTCCTTCCCTCCTTTATGTGACTGTCTTGGTTTTCTGTGCTCTACTGGATTTCTGCTACTCCTTGATGCACTCTGGGGCTCTCTTTTAGTGACTTTCATCAAAATATAGTTGTTTGCTGCTTTGGGTGTCTTTGTCAGGGGATGAGTGCAAGGGGCTATTGATCAGCCCCTTGCTGGCGTCACTCCCTCTTAAACTTTTCACTGGGTACTCTTTTGAACTATTTTTCCCCCACCGTATCCATGTATTTTTTAAACGTTAATGTGCTAATTTCTACTGAAGCAATGTGGATTTTTCTGAAAGTTTTAATGTTTTAATAAGCTTTTTATTGAAATGTTAATGTACATACAGAAGAGTGCCCGAATCATAAGTGTGCATCTAGATGGACTGTAGCACACCAGGCTGCCACGCCCTGGACCAAGCAGTAGCCTTGACCTGTGGCCTCTCCCAGGCACTGCTGCCCCAACACACAAAATAGCTACTTTCCCAGTTCCTGATGTAGATTTGTTCTGCCTGGTTTTGATTTCTATAAAATACAGCACATTCTATTTAGCCTGGCTTATTTGGTTCAGTATTACAGAACACATCCATGTTCTTGTCTGTGGTAGACATTGATTTATCGTCATTGTTGAGTTCCATTATATGACTGTGTCACCATTTTTCCATTGATGAGTAAAATGATTTCCTATTTTTGGCTGTTATCCCACGGCCCTGAACACTAGGTCTGGATATGGGACTTGCAGGTATGCAGGGGCAAACGTGCTTCTGCTGGAGGATCCCTGGGTGGGGTGGAGACTCCAGGGCACCTGTGCTCTGCTTCAGTGTGGAGGCTTCTGTGTCGTGTTCTGGGAGCACAGTGTCTTGGCCTCCACCACCAGCAGCAGCTTAAAGAGTTCCTGCTGTTCCACATGCTTGCCAACAATTGGCCTCTTCAGTTTTTGTTTTTGTTTTTTTTTAGGTTTTCAGTGCCTGCCTGGACTTCTGTTTTCATTTAGATTTTGGTTTCTTAGAACTTTCGTTATTCTCTTCACAGCTTAACAATGCATTTGAATAGATTTGTTTTCATGTGGAGTATTCAGTTTTGTAATAAGAGGGTTGTTCAAGGCATCAGTCTGCCACTCTGCTGGAAATAGAAGTCTCCCAGGCATTTCTTTTTAAAGTAGTTAGTGAAATTTTGAACCATCTTACATGAATTTTTATTAAAATACACTTCAGGATGTGGTGCCCATTATCCATTCTACTCTTTTGTAACAAGTAGATTTCTCTGCATTCTTGAATTTGAAAACAACTGGGGTTCCTAAACAGAGAATATGGAATATTATTGGGGATGATGTCTTTAATAATACATTTCAAGATAGGAGAAACCTTTTCTATATAGTTGACTTTAATAAAAGCCTAGGGCAAAACTTTCAATATATTAACAGTATTTATGAGGCAGTTAAGAATTTGGGTCATCTCCGTCTCCACTAAAAATACAAAAAGTTAGCCAGGTGTGGTGGTGGGCGCCTGGGCTACTTGGGAGGCTGAGGCAGGAGAATGGTGTGAACCCGGGAGGCGGAGGTTGCAGTGAGCCGAGATCATGCCACTGCACTTTAGCCTGGGCGACAGAGCGAGACCCCGTATCAAAAAAAAAAAAAAAAAAGAATTTGGGTCATCTCAATTAAACATAGAATTTAAGATTACGTTGAAAATTCAGTACAGAGTATTTTGCCTTCATCTGTTGTTTGAGTCTCCCTTCTTTTAGCCATCCTTCCATCAGAAATAGAATACCAAGTTAAACTTCTTAATTAGAATCAGGAATCAGGACTCTTTGGCTGCTGATTGAAGGAAGAACTGTCCTTAAATCCAGAGTGGGCCGGGCATGGTGGCTCATGCCTGTAATCCTAGCACTTTGGGAGGCCAAGGCAGGTGGATCACCTGAGGTCAGGAGTTCAAGACCAGCATGACCAACATGGTGAAACCCCATCTCTACTGAAAATACAAAAATTAGCCGGGCGTGGTGGTGTGTGCCTGTAGTCCCAGATACTTGGGAGGCTGAGACAGGAGAATTGCTTGAACCTGGGAGGTGGAGGTTGTGTGAGCCAAGATCGCGCCACTGCACTCTAGCCTGGGTGACAGGGTGAGACTCCATCTCAAAAAAAAAAAAAAAAAAAAAAATCCAGAGTGTTTGGTAGTCAAGACAAAAAGCTAGATTATTTTTGTTAGTCTGGGAAATAAGCACCTTAGTGGCCCAAAGACAAGGCCTGAAATTTCCATGAAAAGAAACTGGGATCTATTCATCTGTTCTGTTGAGACCTCATAGTTCCATACCACAGAAATAGGCACAGTGGGTTTCGGGGGGAGAGTTGTAAGTATAAGCTCTCTGTTCCTCTATATTGGCCATCTATAGACCTTCTTTGGAGAAATGTCTATTCAAGTCCTTTGAATCAGATTTTTTGTTGTTGTTGAATTGTAGAAGTCCTTTTTATATTCTGGATATTAAACCCTTATCAGGTAAACCATTCACACATATTTTCTCTCGTTCTTCGGGGTGTCTTTTCACTCTGATAGTGTCCTTTGATGCGCAAAGGTATTTTAATTTTGGTGAAGTCCAATTTATTTTTTCCTTTGTTGCCTGTGCTTTTAGTGTCATAGCCAAGAAATTACCAAATTATTGTTTAGTTTTTTAAAAGTATTTATGTGGTTATTTGGCCGATACCTGTCTCTAATGATTGACGGCACTTCTTGAGCGCGGCTTTTAAACATGCAAATTTGATGTCACTTTCCGAGGCTCCTTCCATGGCATCCCTTTGCTTCTAGGCCGCAGCCCTTGTCTGGCCTCGCTGCTGCTCTGGCCCCTGCCCTCCTCTAGGGCCTCTCTTCTGCTGCCTCCAGCTCTGGCCACAGTGGCCTTTCATTCCTCAGTGCACTTGCCTGGGGTCCTCAACACTTGCAGTTCCCTCTGCCGGGAATGCGGCAGCTCCTACGTCCCCCTCCCGGCCTCCACCTCCTCGCTGCTCCTTCGGACGCTGGTCCTGAGACCACTGGTCGGTGCGGCCTTCCCTGGACCCTCTCCAAACTCCCCAGTACTCCTCCACACTTTTCTCCAAAAAACCAGTGGCACTCAATTGTGCCGTCCAGGGACCCCTGGGATTTTCACGACCCTGTCAGTGGCTGAGTGAGGTTGAGTCAAGAATGTTTCGTGACAATAAGGAGATGTTATTGATCTCTTTTCACTGGAAGTGGGAGCGTCTTGCGGGGGGACAGCGGGCTGAGGATGCAGCTGTGTTAGGACGTGACAGCTCGCACAACTGAAGCACCGCCACTTTCCCACGGTTTTTTTTTTTTTTTTTGCTTTGGAAAACATTTCTCACAAAATATGCAACTTATGTTACCATGTAATGGGCTTGCTTCTGTTATTTTAAAACAAACTAATAAATCTCTTAAATGTTTCTCGGCTTTATTTTTTGTTGTTATGGTTCGTTTTCTTCTGTTTCCCCCAGCTTTATGAAAGTTTAATTGACAAACTTGCCTATCTTTACTGCTAACAGCGTGCTGCTTTGCTGTATGTGTGCCCTGTGGAATGCTTCGTGGTGCTGCTGCACACCTCCATCACCTACTGCGGTGAGGGCCCCTGGGATCTGCGCTCCCGGCGCTGTGCCCTCGCCCCACCGCTGTGCCTGAGCGCCCCCCCATCCCGCCCGGGGACCCGCGCCCGCTCCTGGAACCGCACCCATGGCCAGCACCCTGTCCCCAACCCCGCTTTAGTTTCCACCCACGCGAAGAAACTCAGCCTCGGTCCTGTTTAGGCACGGAAAGGGCTGGAGAACCGCGTCCTTCCGAGGCGCCCCCAGCGCGGCTCCCCACAGCGTGCAGGACCCCGGACTGTCGCGCCGCGCCTGGGGACGCACAGGAGGTGGGATCCAGGAGCGAAGCCCCTGCAGCGTCCCAGACTGGACGTGGCCCTGCACCCCCAGCTGCTGGGCTGGCCGGGACATGCATGAGATCGCGCGCTTTACAAACTGTTGTTCTTTCTGGGAAAGTTAAAGAACGCGCTGCAGCCGCTTCGCCTGCTGCTGAAAGGAGCCAGGCAGGGCTGGTCACTCCGCGCCACGCCCCGTGCGCCAACACCGGAAGGTGAATGTTCAGAACATTTTTATCATTTAAAGCCAGTATACCGGCTGGGCGCGGTGGCTTACACCTGTAATCCCAGCTACTTGGGAGGCCCAGGCAGGAAGATCCGATTGAGCCCAGGAGTTCCAGAGCACCCTGGGCAACATGGCAAGACCCTATCTCTACAAAAAAAAAAAAAAAAAAAAAGCCGGGCGTGGTGGTGCGCACCTGTGGTCCCAGCAACTCGGGAGGCTGAGGCGGGAGGATGACCTGAATTCAGTAGGTCTCCAGCCTGGGTGACAGAGCGAGACCCTGTTTACTAATAAATAAAGCCAGTGTACCTAAAATACCATCATAACATGGAATCAGTATAAAAATGATTATTGAACTACTTGACATTCCTGTTTTGTGCTAAGTCTTTGAAATTTGGTGTAGTGTTTTGTTTTCTTTTCTCTTTTGAGACAGAGTTTCGCTCTTGTTGCCCGGGCTGGAGTGCAATGGAATGATCTCAGCTCACTGAAACCTCAGCCTCCCAGGTTCAAGCGATTCTCCTGCCTCAGCCTCTGGAGTAGCTGGGATTACAGGTGCCCGCCACTACGCCCGGCTAATTTTTTTGTATTTTTAGTAGAGACAGGGTTTCGTCATGTTGGCCAGGCTGGTCTCGAACCCCTGACCTCAGGTGTTCCGCCTACCTCAACCTCCCAAAGTGCTAGGACCACAGGCATGAGCCACTGTGCCCGGCCCGGTGTGTACTCTTATAACACCTCTCAATTCAGGTCTAAATTTTGTGGGAAATAATCTATATTTAGGTTTCACAGTATTCACAGTTGAAAAAATAGATGTATATCCCCTTGTTTCAAATGTAACTGAACCTAGTCCCTTGTTTGAAATTCAAATTAATTGAAATTAAAAATTTCCAGTTCTTGGCAGCAGTTGCACATTTCAAGGGCTCAATTGCCCCATGTGGCAGTGGTCCCGTAGAGGACGGCACAGCTCTAGACATGGTGTAGGAAGTTGGAGAAGGCTTCCTTAGGGAAGCAAGTGATGGTTGAGCCATGACCAGAAGTTGGTTAACTTGGCAAAGGCTGGGAGTTGGGGAAGCAGAAGAGTGTGTCAAGCACAGGAATGTTATGTGGAAAGGCCTGTGACACAGGGCATCATGACGCCTGCAAGCCAGCGTAGCTGGAGCCAGGACAGCGGCAGAGTCCTAGGAGCTGGGGAGGAAAATAGAGAGGCAGGGGATGAGGCCGCCTTAAGATGCTATCTTCATCCCAAGACACCAGGAAGCCCTGAGAGAACATTTAACCGGGACAGCATGGTCAGATTTTCATTTTTCAAAAAGCCCCTTTGCTACTGGGTGGAGATAGTTTGCAGGGAGTTCAGGGGGAGGAGGCACAGAGAGGGAGAAGTGGTGGGTGCTAGAGCTCTGAGAGGTAACATTGGAGGGGTAGTGGGTCTGGGGGTTGTGAGGAACAAGGGGTTTTCGGGGAGTACCCCAGGGCCCCCAGGTGTCTGGCTGGGATGCCAGGTGGAGTGATGGGCACCTGTGGGACAGCCAGGTAGAGACATCTGAGGCGGAAGCTGGGGAACTGTCTGGAACTCCGGTTGATGTGCTACCTGGGCTTAAGATGTACTCCCAAGCGTTACCAACACCTACACTTGGGAGTGGGTACATTATCCAGGGAGGAGCCAAGATTGAACACAGGTGGGTTTTTGTTCAGCATTTTAAAAATTTTTAATTTTTTTTTGTAGAGACAAGGTCTCACTATGTTGCCCAGGCTGGCCTCAAGAGTTCCTCCTGCCTTGGCCTCCCAAAGGGCTGGGATTACAGGCGTGAGCCACCGGTCCCAGTCTGTTCAGCACTTTTTCCACTAGCTTAGTATCTCCACACACCTCAAAGAGATCACCAAGTCCAACTCATACATGCAAACCAGTGCTCAGGAAGTCCACATGATCCTGCTGTGGTTCATTTGACCAAAACCGAGTGGTGGAGCTAAGCAAGGCTGTTTCACAGAAGCCAGATATATAAGTGGCCTCAATACGGAGGGCAGTCTCCATCTCCCAGTGTCTCTGACTGCTGCACGCACACTTGGCAACCTGTGCTCAGGTCAGGGATAGTCTGGGTGGGGGCTCCAGTTTCTGCCACTCACCAGTGATGTGACTCTGGGCAATGTACAAAATCTCTTGGGTTTTAAGTTTCTTATCTGTAAGATGGGGATAATAAACCAATCTTGCAGCATGTGAGGATTTAATGAGACTACAGTTCCCATGAAGGGGATGGGGTGCCAACCTTCCCACACAGTCAAAAATCCACATATAGGCCAGGTGTGGTGGCTCACGCTTGTAATCCCAGCACTTGGGGAAGCTGAGGTGGGTAGATCATGAGGTCAGGAGTTTGAGACCAGCCTGATCAACATGGTGAAACCCCGGCTCTACTAAAAATACAAAAATTAGGTGTGGTGGTGCGCACCTGTAATCCCAGCTACTCAGGAGGCTGAGGCAGGAGAATTGCTTGGACCCAGGAGGTGGAGGTTGCAGTGAGCTGAGATCTCACCACTGCACTCCAGCCTGCAGGACAGAGCAAGACTCTGTCTCAAAAAAAAAAAAAATCCACATATAACTTTCAACTCACCACAACTTTTGTTAATAGCCTACTATTGGCCAGAAGCCTTACCAATAACATAAACACTCAACACATATTTTGCATGTGATTTGTATTGTATACTGTATTCTTACAATGAAGTAAGCTACAGAAAAGAAAAAGTACTAATAAAATCATAAGGAAGAGAATGTATTCACTATCACTAAATGGAAGTGGATCATCATAAAGGTTTTCATCCATATCGTCTTCACATTGAGTAGGCTGAAGAAGAGAAGAGGTTGGTCCTGTCATCTCAGGGATGGCAGAGGCAGAAAAGGTCAGGGAGATGGGAAGGAAGTCAGGAGATGCACACACACTGAGAAATTCATCGTTATTTCTGTCTGACATTTTTGCTTTTTCATTTCTCTAAATATGTTTCTTTATGTTACCAATCTTTCTTCCACCATTTGCTTTAGTTTTGGTGTCCGTACCATAGAAAGGTCCATGTGGTAGAAGTCACAAGTAGTCTTGAATAATCAGAACTCCTCTGCCAGATTGTCAAATGTCAACTTATTTTCTGGCACTGCATCTACATCCTCTTCCTCATCATCTGGCACTGATTCGAAAACACTCATCTCCATCAAGTGGTCTTCTGTTAATTCCTCTGGTGTGATGTCTCTTCACTCTTGAATTTCTCCAAGATCCATATCCTGAAAGCCTACATTCCCCACCTTTTTTGCCACAGGCACACTCTCTTTCATGATTTCCTTGATTGGCCCTGTTGTAAATCGGGACCAGTTTTCTCCAGTAGGAAGGCTGGGCACTGAGAGCCTTCGAACCTTCTGCTTCACCTTTTGACATATAGGGCCCAATTTTAATGCATTTAAATGTTGCCTCCACTCCAAAATGAATATGGGACGTATGTAATGTGTGAAATAGGTGTGTCTCACCCCCTTCATGAATATTAATAGAGCCTTCTATAATCTGTTGAATATGTACGTTTAGCCAACCCTTTCAGCATAACTTCCTGTCTCATCTTTCCCTGGAAGTGCCTGCTTTTGGTCTTTGCTGGAGGCTACACTTCCCAGCCTGTCAAGATGGCCAGCCTGCAGGCTGCAACCTTTCTAAGAAATAAAGCTTTTGGGCTGGCCCAGTGGCTCACGCCTGTAATCCCAGCACTTTGAGAGGCTGAGTTGGGTGGATCACTTGAGACCAGGAGTTTGAGCCCAGCCTGGCCAACATGGCGAAACCCCATCTCTACCTAGAAAAAAATACAAAAATTAACCAGATGTAGTGGCATGTGCCTGTCTTCCCAGCTAATCGGGTGGCTGAGGCAGGAGAATTGCTTGAACCTGAGAGGCAAAGGTTGCAGTGAACTGAGATCGCACCACTGCACTCCAGCCTGGATGATAGAGCTAGACTCTGTCAGACAAAAAAAAAAAAGAAAGAAAATAAGGCTCTTGGCCTGGCACAGTGGCTCATGCCTGTAATCTCAGCACTTTAGAAGGTCGAGGTGGGAGGATTGCTTGAGTTCAAGAGTTCGAGACCAGCTGGGCAAGATAGTGGGACCCCTGTCTCTACAAAAACAAGTTTGAAAATTAGCCAGGCATGGTGGCACACACCTGTAGTTCCAGCTACTTGGGAGGCTGAGGTGGGAGATTGCCTGAGCCCAGGAGGTTGAGGCTGCAGTTAGTCATGATTGTGCCACTGTACTTTAGCCTCTCCAAATTTGTAGATCTCATAATTTTAAGTCACCAACCTCCACCAGTCTCATTTTAGGTTGTCATATAATGACATCAGTTTTTCTTGAATCATATTAGAGTCTATAGATACGCTTTTCTTGTAGATATCCTTCACCCAGATAAAAGCTGCGTTTTCTCTATTTCTCTGTCCTTCCTTCCTTCTTTCATCTTTTTTTTTTTCACCCTGACAGAGCCTCGCTTCCAGGCTGGAGTGCAGTTGTGTGATCTTGGCTTACTGCAGCCTCCACCTCTTGGGCTCAAGTGATCCTCCTGCCTCGGTCTCCCAAAGTACTGGGATTAAAGGCATGAGCTACTACATCCAGCCAAAAGCTACATTTTCAAGACTAGATAAAAAGGTATTTGGCAAAAAGAGCAAAGTTTCATGTCTGCTAGCATGGCTGCAGTGATGACACTGCGAATTTCCTTTTCTTATTTTACAGCGGTTCTTAGGCTGGATTAATTTATCTTGAAATGGTGGGCAACCACAGCTGCAGACCTCAGTCTACAGTACATATCAATCAATCCATCTTTTTCTTGTACTGTCTTTTCTCTGCTTCTTGGCAGCACTTCCAGCATCACTAGTGGCATTTCGTACATGTCTTCTTCAGGTTTATTGTATTGCACTAAACATGAAAAATACATGAGAACCACAAGAGATTACTTTTCACTGTGATACACAATCTACAGGAGAGACAAGTGCTCACGTGGAGATGGCTAGTGTCACATGGCATTTTAAGTGGACACTGGACACCTGAGCTCACTGCAATAGTAGCAGGAGGGGTGACAGAATTATTACAGTAGTACAGTGGGCTCCCATTAATTTATGCAATTATGACTTAATACTGCATCTTTACATTTGTTTACATTTCTCTTGACTGGCACCATGTACTGTGTTTGTGTGCATAACTTTTGATAAATTTTAACTGTTTATAATTGATATATGTATGTTTATAAATGATATATGTATGTTTTATGGTGGTAAATGATAAAAATATGCTAGTATTTTATGCATTCATGACATACCTTTTTCTTAACTTTTTCAATATTTCTAGGCTACAAGGTTCATCTGCAAGTTTCTTCAAATGGTTGCAATGCTTACTGCAACCTCCATCTCCTAGGCTCCAGTGATCCTCCTGCCTCAGCCTCCCAAAGTGCTGGGATTACAAGCATGAGCTACTACATCTGTCCAAAAGCTGCATTTCCAAGACCAGGTAAAAAGGCATTTGGCCAAAAGAGCAAGGTTTCACATCTGCTGGCATGGCTGATGTGAAATTTTCCAATACATTTTTCCAATATATTTATTGAAAAAAAAAGTGGACCAGGTGTGGTGGTTCATGCCTGTGATCCCAGCAATTTGGGAGGCCAAGGTTGGGAGGGTTACTTGAGTCCTGGAGTTCAAGACCAGTCTGAGCAACATAGCAAGACCCCGTGTGTGTTTTTTTTTTTTTTTTTTTTTTTTTGAGACGGAATTTCGCTCTTGTTGCTCAGACTGGAGTACAGTGGCATGATCTCGGCTCACTGCAACCTCCACCTCCTGGGTTCAAGTGATTCTCCTGCCTCAGCCTTCTGAGTAGCTGGGACCACAGGTGCATGCCACCACACCCAGATTTTTTTTTTTTTTGTATTTTTAGTAGAGATGAGGTTTCCCTATGTTGGCCAAGATGTTCTCAATCTCCTGACCTCGTGATCTGCCCATCTTGGCCTCCCAAAGTGCTGGGATTACAGGCATGAGCCATTACGCCTGGCCAACCCCATGTCTATTTAAGAAGATTTAATTTAAAAAAAAATTTTTTTAAGAAAAAATCTGTATGTAGGTGGACCCATGTAGTTCAGACTTGTGTTGTTCAAGGGTCACAACTGTACCTGTGGTGACTGATACGAAACAGATGACCAAAAAATGATAGTTTTATTTCCCCATCTGGTCCCATTTAAAAGAGGTGTTTAGGTCTGAGAATTTTCACACGTACAAGGTTCCACAGTCAGGATGCCGAGGAATGGCACCCCTCTTGCTGGAGTCCAGCCCTCCCCACCCAACCCTGCTGACTGCTGATTTGCCTTCTATCCCTGTCACGCCATTGTCTCAGGAAGGTCATGTGAGTGGAGATATGCAGCATGGGCTCTTTGTAACTGGCTGCTTTCGCTAAGCATCATGTTTTTGAGATCCACCCCAATGCTCTGTGTGTCAGTGACATGTTCCTTTCAATTGTGGAATGGTGTTAGCCTACACAGGGAGACACAGGTGGTTACCTCTTCAGCCATGGGAGGACGTGTGGTTGTGTCCAGATTTAGGCGATTATGCATAGAGTTGCCATAAACATTTCTGCAGAGGTTTTCATGTGAACACAAATTTTCCTTACTCCAGGAAAATTCGTTATGGGACTGCTGGGCCATGTGGTTTAACAGAACTGTCAAACTGCTTTCCAGTGGCACCTCACTATGGTTTTGATTTGCATTTCCCTAGTGATTAGTGTCGATGGTCTCTCATAGGCTTTCTGTCTTCCACATAGAGCGTCCTCTTCAGTGAGGGTCCAAGTCTTTTACCCACTTTTGTTTGGATGGTTTTCTAACTTGATTTTAAGAGTTCTTTATATATGTCAGACTACTTTCTTCGTTGGATATGTGGTTTGTAGATATTCTCTCCCAGCCTATAGCTGTCTTTTCAGTGTCTTTTAATAGTGTCTTTTGCAAAGCTATATTTTTTATTTTGATCAAGTCTAATTGACGGATTTTTGCTTTTACATGCATTTGGCATCATGTCTAAGAACAATTTCCCTAACCTCAATTAATGAAGATTTCTTCCTATGTTTTCTTCCAAAACTTTAAACACTCTCTCTCTCTATCTCTCTCAGCAAATAAGGAGGAAAGTTTCATGACAATTGCAGTCCTGGTTTCTGTAGCTGGTCACATGGTCCTATAACTACCTTCTTGCACTCCCCAGTCTGTATTCCCTTTGCCTTCAGGAAGCCTCCACTGGTTGTGGTTTTTAACCTGGTGGGGGAACCTTCATTCCTGAAGGTTCTGGACCATTATTAATCCTGCCTAGATTGGGCTGTTGTGCTTTTCCATTGATCTTAATCACAGCGCATGCCACGAGGGCCCTCCTGTACCCCAGACATGCTCTTCCTCAGTCCATTGTGAAGCAGCAGGGCAGTTTCTCCTTGGTGATCTGGACCAGCCACCCCCACCAGCGTAGTTAACTCCTTCTTTACCTGTTGATCCAGAGGCATGAGGAGCTTGGTGCCACCAGATGGCAGCCTAAACTTCCAGCGCAATGGATCATCCCTCTGTCTTTTGGCGGCAGCATTCCTCCCTCTGGAACTAAGACCTCTAGGCCAGCAGAGCATAAGGTGGTGGGGACAAGGAGCAAAACTTTTGCTAGTGGGTCACTAGGGGTGATGGGGTTTCACCCTGTTGGCCAGGCTGGTCTCAAACTCCTGATCTCAAATGATCCACTCGCCTCGGCCTCCCAAAATTCTGGGATTACGAGCGTGAGCTACTGCACCCAGCCTAGTGCTAATCACTTTTTAAAAAGCCATTCTAATATGTAGTGATGTCTCATTGTGGTTTTAATTTCAACTTTCCTAATGGCTAATGTTGCTGACCATCCTTTCATGTACAAAGAATATTTGCTTTGGTCAAATATCTGTTCATGTCATTTGCGCATTTTTAATTTGATTACTTATTTATTTTATGTTGAGTTCTGAGAGTTCTTTATTCTTGACACAAGTTCTTTGTCAGATATGTGATTTGCAAATATTTTCTCTCATTCTGTAACTTATCTTTCCATCATCCCAATTGCGTCTTTTGCAGAGCAAAAAAAAATTTAATTTTGATGAGGTCCAATTTATCAATTTTTTCTTTTATAAATTGTATTTTGATGTCAAGTCTAAGGGCTCTGCCTAGTCCCTGATCCTGAAGATTTTCTTCTTTTTTTTTTCCTGAAAATATTACAGTTTGACATTTAAGCCCATGATCCTTGTGTTATGTTTTGTATAAAATGTGAAGGTCAGGCCAAGCCTCATCTCCTTGCCTATGGATGTCTGATTGTTCCTGCAGCACTTGTTGAAAGGGCTATCAGTCCTCTACTAAACTGCTGTTGCATCTTTCTCAAAAATTAATTAAGCATATTTCTGGGGTGGGATCTCTATCTTGCACCAGTAATTAATGTGTCTCTCCCTCCACCAGCACCATACTGAGTTGATTACTGTAGTTGTAGAGTAAGCTTTAATAATTGGTACAGTGATTTCTTCTATTTAATTATTCTTTTTCAGAATTGTTTCAGCTAAACTAGGTCCACTTCCTTTTAATATAAAGTTTACAATAAGTTTGCATATGTATACAAAAAACAATGCCAAGATTTAGAATTCTATTAAACCTGCAATTTGAAGGAAGCTGACATCTATGTTGAGAATTCCCATCCCTGAATATGGCATGACTCTCCATTTATGTAGATGTTTGATTTCTTTCAGCAGAATTTTGTAATTTGCATATATTCTCCTGTATATGTTTTATTAGATTTATTCCTACATATTAATACTTCATGTATTTTGAGCAGTTGTAAATGGTATTGCAGTTTTTATTTTGGTTTCCACTTGTTTATTGTTACCATAGAGAGATGTAATTTGTGTATCTGTGTTATTCTTGTGTATTGCAGCCTTGATATTCTCACTCTTTATATCAAGGATTTTTCTTTTGTTCCATGGGACTGTTTATGTAGATGATTATGCCACATGCAAGCAGTGATAGTTTTCTTTCTTTCTTTTCAATCTGCATACTTTTTATTTCTTTTTCTGGTCTTATTACACTGGTTAGAACTTCTAGTACTATCTTGAATTAAAATGGTGAAAGGGAACATTCTTGCCTTGTTCCTGCTCTTAAGGGGAAAGCATTCATTCTTTCACCATTAAGTGTGATGTTAACTGTAGATTTTTGTAAATGCTCTTTATGAAGTTGGAGGAAATTACCCTCTATTCCAAGTTTGCTAAGAGTTTATATCATGAATAGGTTTTGAATTTTGTCAAAACCTTTTCCTATGTCAATTGATAAGATCATTATGATTTTTCTTCAGTTTACAAAACAGAATATGTGGATTGGCTTTTCAAATATTAAAACAGTCTTGCATAACTTGAGTGAAATTCCTCTTGATTGTGGTCTACTACTCTTTTTATGCATCACTAAATTTGATTTGCTGACACTGTCTTGAGGATTTTTCCATCTAAGCTTATGAGCAAAATCAGCCTGCAAGGTTCTTTCCTCTGTCCCTGCCTCCTTCCTCCCTCCCTTCCTTCCTTCCTTTGTGCTGTCTTTGTTTTGTTTTGATATCAAAATAATGATATCATAGTCCTTTCTCTTCTATTTTCTGGAAGAGACTGTGTAAAACTGGTGTTGATTCTTCTTTAAATATTTGGTAAATTCTCCAGTGAAACCACTGGGTCTGGATATATTGTGTTCAGGAGCTTTTTAGTTACAAATCCAATTTATATAATGATTATAGGACTATTCAGGCTTTTATATATTTCATCTTTTCTGAGTTGTGGTAATTTGTGGTTTTCAAGGAATTGATCCATTTTTTCCTAGGCTGTCAAATGTATGAGCATAAAATTTTTATAGCATTTTTCATAGATGCAGCCTCTTTTGTGATATTTCTTGTTTCATTCCTGATATTGCTGATTTGTGTGTTATCTCCTTTTATCTTTGTTGATCATGCTAGAGGATTATCAGTTTTATTAATTTTTTGAAGAACCTGTTTTTTATTTCCTTAATGTTCTGCATTGCTTTCCTGTTTTTAATTTCATCAATTTCTGCTCTTCGCTTTCCGTCCTATTTGCCTTAACTTTATTTTACTATTCCTCTTTTAGTTTTTTGACTACTGGTTTGAGAACTTTCCATATTACTAATATAAGGATTTAGTGCTATAAATTTCTCTCTCAGCTCTGCTATAGCTGAATCCCTCAATTGTTTTTTAAGACAGGGTCTCATTCTGTCACCGAAGCTGGAGTGCAGTAGCACAATCTCCACTCGTTGCAGCCTCAACCTTCTGGGCTCAAGCAATCCTCCCTATCTCAGCCTCCCAAGTAACTGGGACTACAGGTGCATGCCACCACACCTGGATAATTTTTTGCAGAGATAGGGATTTCACCATGTTGCCCAGGCTAGTCTTGAACTCCTGGGCTCAAAAAGCGATCCCCCTGCCACAGCCTCCCAAAGTGCTGGGATTACAGGAGTAAGCCATTGCACCCAGCCTCATCCACAAATTTTGATATGCCATATTTTCATTGTTACTTGCTTTTTAAAAATTCCCTTTGAGACTTCTTCTTGTCCACATTGTATATAAATGTTTACTGCTTAATTTCCAAGTGTTTGCAGATTTTTCTCTTGTCTTTCTGCAATTTATTTCCAGTTTGATTCCATTTTGGTCAGAGGACACTCTTTGTATGATTTCAGTTTTTAAAAATTTGTTAAGGTTTGTTTTAAGATCTAGAGTCTGTTCTATAAGAGCTTGAAAATAATGCATAGTTTGCTGTTGATGGATAGAGTTTTCCATAAATGTTAATTTTACCCTATTGGCTAATAATATTGTTTAGTTATCCTATATTCTTGCTGATTTTTTTTCTAGTAATTTTACAAATTCTGAAAGTGAGATGTCGACATATCCCAACTATAATTATGGATTTTTCTATTTCTTTTTTAAGCTCTATCAGGTTTTGCTTCATGTGTTTTGAAGCTGTGTTGTTTGGTGCACATATATTTAGGATCAAGATATACTCTTGCTCTTTTGTTATTATGTAATATTTCTCTTTTGTTCTAGAAATTCTTTTTGCCATGAACTCTATCTGATATTATTATAGCAACTCCTGCTTTTTTAAAAGTTCCTGTTTGTTTGCATGAAATTTTTTTTTCTGTTTTTTTTTTTTTTTTTTTTTTTTTTTTTTTTTTTTTTTTTTTTTTTTTTGAGACGGAGTCTTGCTCTGTCGCCCAGGCTGGAGTGCAGTGGCGCGATCTCGGCTCACTGCAAGCTCCGCCTCCCGGGTTCACGCCATTCTCCTGCCTCAGCCTCCCGAGTAGCTGGGACTACAGGCGCCCGCTACCACGCCCGGCTAGTTTTTTGTATTTTTAGTAGAGACGGGGTTTCACCGTGTTAGCCAGGATGGTCTCGATCTCCTGACCTCGTGATCCGCCCACCTCGGCCTCCCAAAGTGCTGGGATTACAGGCGTGAGCCACCGCGCCCGGCCTTTTTTCTGTTCTTTCACTTCGAATCTGTTAAATACCTATGCCATGGTATTAGAACTGAATATCTTATGGACATCATATAATGGGTCATATTTTTGCATTTACTCTGCTATTTCTGTGTTTTTCCCAGATTTAACCAAACTGCAAAGTCTGAGGGCATGGTTCCTAAAATTTCCCTCATTCCTGACACCAACAGCAAGTTTTAGAGGTTTCCAAAGCACCCTAAGTTTCAATCATTTGCTGGAAGAACTCACAGAAGTCATTGAAAACTGCTGTACACATGGTTACTGTTTACTGCAGGGAAAGGATACAAATCAGAACCAGCACAGAGGGCAGGGCTAGGAGGGTCTGTGAAGCCTCTGTTGTCCTCAGGTGCATTACTCTCCCAGCATCCACGTGTGACAATACCATGAAGCACTGCCAACCTAGGAACCTCACCCAAGCCTTGGTGTCCGGAGTGTTTCCTGGAACTGCATTGTGCAGCCATAATTGACTGATCTGTTGGAGACTGGTTGGAACTCTGTCTTCATCTCTCCCTTTCCCGGAATCTGGGGCTGACAGCACATTCCTGGGAGGGCCCACCATGAGCCAGCTGGTAGCATAAACTTCAGGTATAGTCTGAGGGACCCACCATGAATAGCAAAGACCCTCCTGTCACATGGTCTTCAGGACTACTTGCCAGGAGCCAGGACAAAGGCTAGACCTCTTCTTTGGGCTAGGCCAAATTCTTTACCACACAGAAATCATATTTAGGATTCAAATGTGCCATTTTTATTTGCTTTCTGCATGTTTCTTATGTTTCCTTTATTCTGTTTTGTTTCACTTGTCATGGATTACTTAAACAGTTTTTAGCATTTCATTTTGAATTATTTATACTTTTGGGTGAATTGCTTTGTATCGTTTTCTAAGTGGCTGCTCTAGGATTGATTATAATATACCCATGTAACTTATCACAGCCTGCTGGCATCAATGTTTCACCACTTCATGAGAAATATCAAAAGCTTACTTTTATTTACTTCCCCTTTTCCTCCCCCACTTAAACATGTAATTATCATAAATATTTCCTGTTCAGATGTAGAGCACCGTAGCAGATGATGTTAATATTTTTTGCTTCAACCATAAAATACAATTTAAGAAACTCATCATAGTCTATTATACTTACCATATGATTACCCCTTCTGTTGTTGCTATTTCTGATTTCCTTATTTCCTTTTCGTTAGTAGAGCTTCCTTCAGCCATGTATTAAGGGTAGGTTTTCTGGTAACAAACTATCCTAGTTGTCCTTCCTCTTAGAATATCTTTATTTCCCCCTCATCCCTGAAGGATACGTTCACTGAATAGGGTTCTGGGCAGACAGTTTTTCTCAGCACCTGGTGATGGTGTGTCGCCCCCTCTGCCTCGTGGTTTTAGAGAAGCCCACCATCCTCAGAACCAGCGTCCCTTAATGCATCGTTTTTCTCTGGTGGTTTAAAAGATTTTTTTCTTCATCTTTCCTTTCCTGAAGTTCCGTTATGATGTGTTTATCCTATTTGGGGTTTGCTCAGATTCTTGAATCTGCAGGTTTACTTCTTTCACCAAATTTGGGACATCTTCAACCACTGTGCCTTTGAATACTTTTTCACCACACATTCCTTCCTCTCCTCCTGGGACTCTGGTGACAGGAACGCTGGGCCTTTTGTCACTGTCCCACCCATCCCCGAGGAGGCGTTCATTTCTCAGTCTCCTATCTCTCCATCGTTCCTATGGGCCAGCTCTATTAATTGTCCTTGAATCAAGAGACTCTGTTCTCTGTCGTCTCCACTCTGCTATTGTACCCAACTGCACATTTTTTCATTTAGTTATTGTATTTTTCAGTTGTATGATTTTCATTTTGTTCTTGTTTCAAGAAAATTCACCATTGTTTTCTGAAGCACTTTTATGATGGCTGCTTTAAAGTTCTAACATCTGATTTATCTTGGTTAATCTTATTTTGCTATTTAAGTTGTTTTTTGTTTTGCTCTGTTATGTTTTTGAGACAGAATCTTACTCTGATGCTCAGACTGGTGTGCAGTAGCATGATCTCGGCTCACTGCAGCCTCAAACTGCCGGGCTCAAGCAGTCCTCCTGCTTCAGCCTCCTAAGTAGCTGGCACCACAGGTGTGTGCCACCACAGCTGGCTAATTTTTAAATTGTTTGTAGAGACAGGGTCATGCTGTGTTGCCCAGGCAGATCTCAAACTCCCGGGCTCAAGCCATCCTCCTGATTGACCTTCCAAAGTGCTGGGATTACAGGTGGGAGCCCCCTCACCAGGCTTCAAGTTGCTTTTTATGTTTCCTGATATGACAAATAATTTCAAATATGTTCTGGAGATTTCGGTTATTATGTAAGGAAACTTTTTATCCTATTTGAACATTCCAGTTTACCATATAGGCCCCAGCCTGCTTTAGGGGAAATGTAGAGTCAATGACAATTTAGTTTTCAAAGCCCTCCCAGTGCTATTCTGGTCTCGTTTGTTCTTCTGGATCTGCTGGGGCTCTGGTTCAATCCCTGTGCATGTTGCTGGGGTTGCCCTGTGCGGCGGGGGTAGGTTAAGGAAACGCCGGGTGCTGGGTGTGGTCTCTGCGCCGTGGTCAGCAGAGCCTTTGTGGCCTGGGTGTGATGCTGAGGGCCAGGCTTGAGCGGAGCTGCTGTGGCATGGATCAGTAGGAATCTCCTCACTGGGTCTTCAGTGAGATACCCTTCTCAGTCCTTTCACCAGAGAAAATAGGCTCGTTTTCTTTTCTTTTTTGTCCCTGCAGGTTTTGGCAGTTACAGGTTGCAGGGTTCTCTGGGCCCATCCAGGAGATGAGAGAAAAAGAAAACTCAGGGCCTTGTACAGCGTCACCCCCAAAGTCCCGAGGTTCCTGGACAGCCTTTCTTCCTCTACACTTCCTATAGTCCTCTTATGTCTGTTAAATTTTTTCCAGGGTGTCTAGTTGTATTTAGAGGGCAGATGCCACCTCGTCATAGAATGCCGGGGTCCACTCTCCAGGCATTTGGAACGAGTTGCCACGAGGTCCTCGGGAGGGTGTGACAGTTCACACGCCCACCAGCAGCTTTCCACGTCTCCATTTCCTCTGCCCCTGACAGCATCTAATGTTATGATTTTTGTTTGTAAATTTGGCTTTTGGTTCCTTTATGAGGGGATTAATTAATACAGGCTGCTGGCTCCTTCCCACGAATCCAAACCTTGGAGATGCCATCAAAGGGATGACAGTTGATGGAGCCCAGAACCTAAGAGGACCCCTGAGAGCCTTGCGGAGGCTGGGCAAACGTGGTGGAGTCTGGGACAGGAGGGGAATCACAGTCTGAGTGGAGGAGGCCACACAGCACAACCGGGGCCAGACTGCAGCTCTCTGCTCCGGGGCCCACCTGGGGCTGTCATCTGCCAGCCCTGCTTTCCTGTAGAAGATCCCACCCGTACCAGCCCCAGGAATCTAGGCAAGGCCAGAGCACCTCAGGAGCCTCCTGGAGTGAGGGCCACGACACCTGGGCAGGCTGGCTGGTGGCCCCTGGGCAGCCTTCCTCCCCAGCCCAAGGACAGCCAATTACAGCACAGGGCAGCCCTGGACAGACAGCACCAGCTAGAAGGACAGGGGCGTTCCCTGCAGACCAGAGCAGCCCCCGGGGATGAGCAAAGAGGGCCCCAGTCATCCTGCCAGAGGCTCTGCCCCCAGGAGCCCCTGCCTGCCTCCCTGAAGCCCACAAGGAAGGTGTCAACTGGGGCCTAAGACGAAGGCAGTTGACCATACCCAGGGAACAGAGAGCGGCCTGAGGAAACGAGACAGCGAGGGGAGTGAACTCCGGGAGGGAAAAACCCCAAGGTTTTTCCTTGGAGGAGGGAGCAGATGAGCGGATAAGACCGGTAAATCCGTCACATACCCTCAGGACGCAGGGAGAGCGCGGCTGGAATTGGCAGTTATGCAGAAGATGCAGCCGGGAATACTGGACTGGAACATGCGGGCGCTTAAGTGATGAACTTGGTGGGAAGGTTGGAGACCAGAAAATGAATGAGTGAGGCAGGTCAGGCTCTGAGCTCTTCTAGAAGGAGCTGAAGGGGTTGAGGAGGCAGAGGTGAGGGAGGAAAAATATTCAGTGCTTAAAAGAGGAAAAATGAATAGATAAGAGGAAGTATCTGAAAAATGATTAGGAAATTTCCCCAATTAAGAAAAGATGCACATCCTCAAACTAAAAGGGCCTGCAGAGTGTTAATTACATTTTAAAGTTAAAATCTTATGTGTACTTTCAAAGAAAAGCATCTACATTTTGAGTCAAAATTGCTAAAAACTTCCAAAGAGAAAAAGCAGGTAACCCGCACAGGAACAGGAGTGGTGCTGACATTAGAATCGCGGCACAGACAACGGATGCAAGAAGAAAGGGAGTGACAGCTTCAGACGCGAGAGGAAAGGACCCTGGAACCCAGGGCTGTGTCCTGCTCACCGCCATGAAATATGGGCACGCAGGAAGCCATCCTCAGTCCTATCAGCCCCCTTGAGAGTCAACCCCAGAAACACTCTTGGAGAAATATTTCAGCAAGAAAAAGGAACCGGGGAGGATGCTGCCAGGTCTAGGGAGGAGTGATGCTTCCCCAGCGTGGATGGTTCACTGCCATCTAAGTAAGCAATGACCTCCGCGTGTGCCGCACAGTCCAGCTTCCTCAGAGGCGGTGGTGGCCTGGTGGAGGAATGTGGGCTGGCTGGGCGGCCACAGAGAATTACTGTTTCCATTAAAAGGAAATGTGTTCTGGCCGGGAGCCCTGGCTCACACTGTAATCCCAGCATTTTGAGAGGCTCAGGCGGGTGGATCGCTTGAGGTCAGGAGTCTGAGACCAGCCTGGCCAACCTGGTAAAACCCCGTCTCTGCTAAAAATACAAAACTTAGCTGGGCGTGGTGGCGGGCGCCTGTAATCCCAGCACTTTGGAAGGCAGAGGCGGGCGGATCACTTGAGGCTAGGAGTTCGAGACCAGACTGACCAACATGGGGAAACCCCATGTCTACTAAAAATACAAAAATTAGCCTGGCATGGGGGCACATGCCTGTAGTCCCAGCTACTCGGGAGGCTGAGGCAGGAGAATCGCTTGAACCCGGGAGGTGGATGTTGCAGTGAGCCGAGATTACACCACTGCACTCCAGCCTGGGCAACAGAGCAAGACCCTGCCTAAAAAAAGAAAAAAAGTGTCACATGGAGACGTGTGTCTGTTTGGGACTGTTTTCCAGCCTTTCCACACTCTTCCCCTCCCCATCTGTCCCTCCATCTCCACCAAGCTGTGTTTTGATGTTGTGTTTGCATGATTTGGTGTATCTGGCATTTTAACATTTCATCCTTGCCACTATTTATTATTTTCTGTTTCTTCGTAGTAGCCACTAAATTGTTTTCAGGTGATATCTCATTGTGGTTTTGATTTGCATTTATCTAATAATTAGTGATATTTAGTGTCTTTTCATATGCTCATTGGCCACATTTGCCTGTTTTTAAATCAGGTAATTTGTTGATTTGTTGTTGAACCATGGAGACATATTTTTAAACCACAACAGCTATCTTGCAGATTGCGGTGAGAACTAAAAGATTTATGTATGCAAATCATATTACCTGTCACGTAGTAGGCACTCAAAAATTATTACTTGTCTTCTTAGGGTTGTTATGTTAAATAATGTTATGTTAATAACATATGTAAAACTGCTTCTTAAATTATAAAGTGCTATGCAAATGTGAGTTAATACTACAAAGCTGTATGCAAAATATTTTAATATTTTTCTGAGGTTCTCCATACTTAAATATATAAATCTTTCCATCTCTAGACTTTATTCTTTTTTTAGCTGTAATCCCTTTTTTTCCATTTTACTTCAAGTTTTATCAAAAAAAAAATAGCAGCCAAAATAGAACAAGTAAAGACGGAGAAACAATAACTAATTTCACTAAAGCAAAGTCAGAGTAAGATCTATTTAAAAATAAAACGTGAAGAAAAGCTGCAATGGATTACACTATTGAAAAATCCTAAGACAACCAGAACTGCCGTTCCTTCAGAGAATGTGAGTGATGTTGAAAGATTAATAACATTTGGATAACATTAATTACAGTGATGTTATAAACTCTGGTATTCCAGTTGCCATAACAACCCGCTATATGTTGGTTTTCTAATGACATTTCGAACAAGTGTTGAGGCGAACTGCATCACTTCAGAACTTTGATTGCTGTCACTCAGTGATTTTAAAATTGAATTGTTTTGTTCTTAAAGAGTCAGAATATGTCACTGTCTTCAGAAATATTCTCAAAATTATGGGGAGGAAGTGATACACATTCCTATACAATTGTAGAGCACTCAAAAAAAAAGAAATGTATTTTGTTTTTAATACAAAATTAACAGGTTTTTTCTATAGGGAATAGAAAAAAACAGAAAGGAGAAAGATTATGCTTCCTGCTTCTCAGAAGACTTTGTTCCCTTGCAGAATTATTTGACAATAAAATTCTTTCTAGAAAAACTCACTTTTCTTGCTTATATTTCTCTCGTCTCCATTCTCTCCTTTCTTTTCACCTCCCTATTTCTTTCTTCCAATGAATTCTTTTAGAAGCCATGGATTCTGGTCAAGGTAGATGCAACACTTTGGAGTTAGTGAGAGGAGGTCATTCCTCCATCCAGCTTTCTGCTTTCTGATCTCTCTTCCCTCTGCTGACCAACCCGTTGCCCAATGGATATAATAAAAGAAAGACTACTTGCCACTGGCTTATATTATATTGGATTTTAATATTCCCAAGAGAATGTGTTAAATATATATATTGTGCCACTGACCAGAAGCAAAGCATGATTGTAACAGACATGCTTCTAAGTATTTGCTCAGCCCACAGCCTACTCTGCTCCTGCTGCCCCACCCATCCACAAATATGAATCGTTTGATTAAATAGGAGCACCAGAACCAACTCATCCATATGCATTGAGCTGGACAAATACATTCTCTCTTTTTCTCCTCTTTTCCCTCTTTCCTCTCCCTCTCTACAAATTCAGCTAAGGTGAATGCTAACCATTTGCAATGGTGTTTAAAGCAGAACAGTGGTGTTCTGTGGCAGAACTCTGTGCTACAGGACTCTGAAGGGAGATTATGCCCACTGCCTCCCCAACCACCCCTCTTGCCCACCCCCACCACAGTTCCAGCAGCATCTCAGTCTATACAGTGCATCTCAGGCATTGGAGGTGGCATCATTCCATGTAAAGCATATTCTATGCTCTATAAACCCTGAGCCCAATGCAATGCCATCTTAAGTAGGCCCAGGTCTGCCCCTTGTCCAGATGTGCCATCAGCACCCTTTCAACACTCTCTCCCCTCCCCCTTTCTCTATACTTAAAGCTCCCTCTACCCCACCCAGATATCCAAAGGCATTGATCCTACCCTCCCAAAGCTCCCACTGTGGCCAGCTCCTCCGAGGCCTCTCAGGGAAGAGTGAAGTGAGCTAATCACCCCAGCCTAGGCTTCTGTTGACCCAGAACCAATTCAAGATGAAGGCCATGCCTTAGACAGCAGCTGCCAGGGAAATACATGACTTATACAATGACATCAGCTGAAATTCACAAAGGTCACTGCATTTAACTCATTCCTCACCCAAGGTGATGCAAGCATGCTAACCCTTTTCCTCCCAGTCTTCTCTGGATGATCTTCTCCACTTGATTTTACTGGGATGTACATGAACAAGCTAGAGGAGCAGCCTGTGCCTGTTACCCTCTCCTCCCCACTGCTGAGGTCACTCTCCACCCTTCTCATCCTACTCTCTTGCTGGGGACACTGAACTGTATGAGTTTCATCAATGGACTCCCTTGCCCTTTGACCTCCAGTTGGGTTCTGCCAATTAGAGGTCCTTAATAGGAGATAAGAGGGAGGGAGAAGGAGTGGAGGCTGGGGTATTTATGCCTCTGGCTTGATCCCTGAAGTATTGTCTTGCAGTCATCTCTATGTGATTCTCTCCACCCAGGTTCCAGTAACTGATCCCTCCTCATATCATTTCTGGTGAGGAGTCATATCTGAACTCAGTGGTGCTACACTGTCCTTTTTGGACTCCATAAACACTGCTCATCATTTGTAAACAGTCCCTTCACTAAACCTCCCTCCAATTGTTCTAGTGCAAATGGCCCAACACATTCCTCCTGGGATCCTGAAATGATTCCTTAAATGATGTGGTCTATCCTATCTCCCCTTCCTGCCTACAATGGCCTTGGGATCTGTCCTAACTCTGCTGCCTTTAAGATTGGTCTACCCTAAACTACATCCACATAACCCCACGATTGTCCCTTCATGCCTAACCCACAAAGAGAGGTGATAGGAGTTAGGCTGAGGAGTGGGGTTGGGGAAAGACAAGGCTCAGCATGGTCCCTGATAACCTCGTAGCTTCCAGGCAGATGAAGGCAGGGTGGAGGCAGGCTGCTCTGAGCCCAGCTGGTCGGTGCTCAATCAGAAAGGATATGGGTTGAGCTCAGAAAGCCTGAGAGCAGTGGCGCTCTGGAGCAGATCAGAAGCCAAGACTCTAAGAACAACATGCAAATCTGTGTAGGGAACATCAGAGGCTCCTACCCAGGTCTGAGCAAGTGCAGACAGGCTGGTTGTCAGGAGGATTAGGGTTAGGGTTAGGGAGGAGTGAATCAAATATGAAGCAAAGCAATGATCAATTAGCTCAATCTGCAGATAGGAATAGATTCCTACAGATAGAAATTTAAGTCAGAGTTGCAAGGGGATTTAGAAATCACACACTTCAATCACTTCACTTTTAGATGAGGACTACCAGACTGTAGACACAGGGGTGATGAGCGCAGAACAAAGACAAACACCCAGAACTTGTCACTTCTAGATTAAGGATTTACCTGTGAAGCCCATGCCTCTAAAAAGGTCGATTCTACTTTTTAAATATTTTTAAACAGAGTAGCTTTGGATGAAAACATGATGTTATGGCCTTGATATTTTTATATCAAGTATATTTTCAACGGGTCACTAGAAAAAAAAAGTAGATGTAAAAAGAATCTACACAGGATCAAACTGATAATAACTAAAATGATATATGTTAACTTTGATATTGACAAAAAACTGACTGAAGAATCTCATTGTGTTGGTAAGTCTCAAAACTACAAAAGTGAACTCTTAAAATTGCACTTTATGCAAATAACACAAAATAAAACTGACAAAGGTGAAAGCTTTACACAGAAAAATTTGTAATTGACGTTAAAGATTGACAAAAGAATCAAATCTTCTTGTCAAAAATTATACCTGCAAAATCTAGCCCAGGAAAATTAGGTTTGGTAGAAAATGACTACAAAAGAAACCTCAAAATTGCTGATTGGAAAAGTTGGAAAGATTTAATACGGACATAAAATGGGATCACTGAATAAAGTCTAAATTATTTCAGTAAAATAAAAATACTGAAAATTATTTAATGGCACAGGAAGAAATTTGATCAAAGAATTACATTAATTCAAGACAGTTGCTTCTAGAAAATAATTTCTTGATAATATTTCCAGAAATGTTGGAATAATTCTGATGAAAATGTTTGTTTTCATTCAATAAAAAATGTCCTCAGGGTCAAAACAACTGAGAGAGAAGTACCTGATATGGGACTTCTCAGGTAGCCCCCACTCTTGGGGCTTCCAGTTTTACATTTACCAAGTTTAAAGAAATCTAAGATCTCTTTCCAGGATCCTAACAACTTGTCTAGATCAAAATAACATGTACTTCAGTGAATGATTTCAGCTGGTTGATAAAATCAAAGTTTACCAGAAGGCATGAAAGTTCAGAGATCCCCTTACCATTTCAAAGGGGGTTTGTACTTTAAAGTCAATCTACATGTCACCTCACACCCATTATGATGGCCACTATTTAAAAAGAAAACAGAAAATAGCAAGGGTTAGCACCAAGGTGGAGAAATTAGAGCCCTTGTGCACTGTTGGTGGAATGTAAAATGATCCTGCCATTATGGAAAACAATATGGAGGTTCCTCAAAAAATTAAAGCTAGGATTACTGTATAATCTAGTGATATGGTTTGGCTCTGTGTCCCCACCCAAATCTCATGTGGAATTGTAATCCCCACGTGTTGAAAGTGGGGCCTGGCAGGAGGTGATTGGATCACGGGGGTGGTTTCTAATGGTTTTGCATCATCCCTCTAGTATTGTCTCATGACAGAGTTCTCATGAGATCTGGTTTTTAAAAGTGTGTAGCACATCCTCCTCCACTCTGTCTCTCTCTCCTGCCACCATGTGAAGATATGCCTGCTTCCCCTTCACCTTCTGCTGTGATTGTAAGTTTCCTGAGGCCTCCCAGTCATGTTTCCTGTACAGCCTGCAGAAACTGTGAGTCAATTAAACCACTTTTCTTCATAAATTACCCAGTCTCAGGTAGTTCTTTATAGGATTGTGAGAATGGACTAATACATCCAGCAATCCCATTTCTGGGCATATATCCAAAAAAGAATTGAAAGCAGTATCTTGAAGAGATATTGGTACATGTGTGTTCATAGCAGCACTATTCACAATAGCCAAGAGCTGAAACCAACCCAAATGCTCATTAAAAGATGAATGGATAAACAAAAGAGTGTGTTTCTTTAAATGTGATTTTATGCTGGGATCATAGAGAACCCTGGATTTTATGCAAATGAGTGGGAAAAAAATTAACCCAACACAAAAAAGTAGGTTTATACTGATCATACAGGACAACACCTTTCAAGATTGTAAAAAGTTAAAACTTTTCTCTCTTCACATCACCTGTAATGATGACACCCCATAAAGATTTTTCTCTATGTATCCTTAGTTTTGCACAATCCCCTGGCCCCAGTGCTGCATCCCCATATCCCAATTGAGAAGAATATGCCAATATTTAAGGACACACAATAAGGTCAGCACATCAAGCTTCAGGACTTACACCCTCCATAAAAGAGAAAATTCTCCTTTCTCATGCCACTCTCTCAAAGCCAGGGTTCCTGAAGAAAGGATTTCTGGTGTCATTACACAAAGGAGATCCTGGAAATTAAGGTTTGCCATGGGTTATGTCCAGTACTGGAATAAACACAGAATTATTGAGGTACCTTCCTCTGTCTTCTTTGCAAACTCCTCGTTGCAGCTCCTTCCTTGCAAACCCCTCTGTCTTCCTTGCGAACCCCTCATTATAGCTCAGAACTCTGCTTTGGCATTGCCTCCTGGTAAAGCCCCTGCTGCATCCACCCTTCCAACCACACTTCCTCACTCTCCTCCGCACCACTTTGGTGCTGCAGGAGTTACACTTTCTGTTGCAAAGATCAAGTATTCTCGGGTGACCTCTGGTGTTGTGGGTGATTGGAAAGATACTTAAGGCAATAAGGAAGCACAGGTATGACACTAGGCAGGTTGTAGTCCAGCCTCCCAGAGCCCTGGGATGTCAGTAAGGGCTCCCCTTTGAGTCAGTAATGGTAATGCCCCCTTGAGAAGAGGGACCTTTGGCCCCTGACTCCTGACGGTGCCGTACTCACAATTCCACTTCTCTCCTTCACCTCTCTGTGCTTCCGCTTCTCACTAGTTCAGCTGTTACCTCCACTTTTGTTTCTTTCTAATTCTACTCTGGTTCTGTAGTTGAGTTTCTCACAGTGGAAACTACCTGTGCTCTCACTGGTTGGGTCAGTGAGTTGCCTCCACTATTGGGCAGAATTCTGCTATTAGACCTCCCAGGGCCCATTGGTAAACCTAAGATTGTAAAAATGTAAAACTTTTCTCTCCTCAACGTCATCTGTAATAATGAAACCCCAAAAATATTTATGTATCCTGTAGTTTTGCACAATTTTGTGGTTACCTTTGACCAAGTTACAGATTCTTGATCAGTTCGATCATGGTTACTTACCAGGGTCACATGACAGAAAGTCAACAACTTATGGAAAAAGAACAGTCTTTGCTGCTTTGCTCAGAAGGTAATATGTACAAACTTGCATTATTGCATATATCACAATACAGCTTGTTTCTGCATAGCCCAGTCCCCTACAAGACTATAACCGTGAGGCCAGTGGTATTTCCTATATTTGCATGTTCAGCATGTAGCATAGTGCCTGGTACATGGTAGATTCTCAATAAAGCTCTGTTGAAGTTAATTGAAATGAAAGTAAAATCAAAATACCTGAATTCTAATTTTGCTATTTCTTTGCTATCTGAACTAAGATACATTACTTAATCTTTTTGAACCTCCCTTTCTTCTTATGTAAAAAGATATAGTTGTGGTAAATATTAAGTAAGATGTGGGCATACCTAGCACAGTTTTGTGTGTGTGTGTGTATGTGTGTGTGTGTGTACATATATATATATATATATATATATATATTTAAACATATATATATATTTAAACTGTCTCTTTGTTATACCACTGCCATGTATTGTAATTACATTCAAATAGATCTTCTCTTCCAAACAGAGAGTAAGTTTTAAGGACAGGGTCTGTGTCTTATTAACCTTTGCACCTCCATACCACCACCCAAATTTCTGCTTTTGGTGGGTATTTAAGATAATTAATGGCATGAAGCGCCAACGGATTTATAAACTGAATGTGTTTAAAATCTCCATATATTAACATTTTTAACAATTTTTTAAAAGCAGGAAATATTAAGCATGACAAATTATGGTCAACCCAAGTTTCAATAACTCTGGGTGCCTAGCAATCTTCTAAGAGTCAAACGAAAGCAATGTTGCCTAGGTTGCAGTTTTCCAGTGTTTGTCTCCACCTACTGTATTTACTGGAAAGCTGCTGAAGCGTTCCTTCTAATCTTGAGGTTTTCAAGCGTCTATCTCTGGGACAAGCAAAGCTCTGCATTGGGCACCACAGTCTAGCACACGTTTTCAGGCACCACTAGAGGGCAGGCTAACGCTAACTTCGGGGACTACTAAGCAAGGGCTTTAGTCTCGAAAAAATGGGTAAACGCACCACTTGTTTATTGGGTCTGTTTCTAAATGGAAAAGTACATGTGGGCATGTCCAGATTTGTATTTCGTGTTCCCTTGATTCGTTATTTAATCCTTCGGCTCACCTTTCCTTTTGTTTTCTCTTTCCTCCTTCAAGTTCTTTCTCCTCTGGAGTGTAACAAACAAACCTGTTTCCCCCCCGGTCAAAGGCTTAACCCACAAAAATAAATCAAGATGAAGGAACAGAAGGAAACACTGCATAATTTAGTTAGTGAAAGTTGGACAGCTGAGGTTTCCTTTGGGTTTATTCTAAAATAAAGGATTTTTTAAAGGTTCAACTTGCCTAATTTTTCATACTTTTGGCAGCTTGCCAAGATGGGAAGGGAAGGGGATTTGCAGAAAGAAGAAAACAGAGAGAGAGAGTGTGAGTGTGTATGTGTGTGCGCGCACATAGCGGGGTGCATTTCTGGGTGTAGGGGATGTTTATAGGGATGGAGGAAGGAAATGAAAAGCAGATGTTGGGAGTTGGATGGTCACAGAACACTGGCTTGCAAGTATTACTGGGCCACCATGAGCAGTGCTGGGACACAGCTCCACTGGACAGCCACCCCTTTCTGTAACCTGAGAGCCGCCACCCTACTCACACCTCAGGCTCCTCATCAAGCATGTGAGAAATTTGTACTAGATGACCTTCTGGTTCAAATATGAGCCTGTGTTGAGCGAGAGAAAACATGGGGGTTGGAAACGCAGGATGAATATTTGTGGAGAATCTGAGAATGACAAACAGAAAGCAAGCAAGCCAACAAATACACTATGAAGCTGGAAGAGTCTTCCAGCTGACCCAAGTGTAGAAACAGTTGCCCCATTTAGAATATTTGGAACATTTTCCCTCCCATTATCAGGGCTCTAACACCGGGCTGCCCTCTGTTCTACCCTCTGGAAAGTCCAAGGGAAAAAGGTACCAAAGCAGACAAGCAAGGATAGAAACAGTGGTGGCATTGCAGGCTGGTCTGCATTGCGGCTATAGAACAAAAATTTCCAACCCAAAATGATAAGATAATAAAATTCTAAACACAAAATTCCTCTAGCCAGTTAAAACAATGGTTCAAAGAAATACACACCCCTTGGGATCGTACTGCTATTCTTCCATAGTTAGTGTAAGTTCAGTGTTGGTTTTTCATGACTTTTGGAGGCCACTAACTTTCCATTTCACCTGCACAGTTTCAATTACTCTAATCATATAGCTCTTTAATAATCAGCCTGGCTATGAGTTGGAAGCTTTAACTGCTCTCTGACAATAAGTAGTAGCTAATTAATTGCTACTTATGAACTTTCTGTTTTTTTATCTTAATACTTCTGAGAGTTCTTTCCAGATAATCACTGGAGAATAAGGAGTTTTTACCCCCATGTGGCTATTCCTCTAAAACTAGCTATATTTAACTAGCTCTAAAATAGATGCGAAAGATTGTTACTTTGCGTGCAACAAATACACAGGAAGAATTCAAAGAATTGTATTTTAAATTTGTTACATCTGCAATTTCAAGTAACCACCACTAGGGGGTGGTGCTAAATACTTAAATGGTAATTCTCAGTCTGAGTTCAAAAATGCAGATGTCTAGGTCTTGGAGAATCAGGATCTTCTGAGTAAGAGATTAGGAAATCTTCCCCTTTTTTATTATTATACTTTAAGTTCTGGGGTACATGTGCAGAACGTGCAGGCTTGTTACATAGGCATACACATGCCTTGGTGGTTTGCTGCACCCATCAACCCGTCATCTACATTAGGTATTTCTCCTAATGCTATCCCTCCCCTAGCTCCCCACCCCACAACAGGCCCCAGTGTGTGATGTTCCCCTCCCTATGTCCATGTGTTCTCATTGTTCAACTCCCACTTATGAGTGAGAACATGTGGTGTTTGATTTTCTGTTCTTGTGTTTGCTGAGAATGATGGTTGCCAGCTTCATCCATGTCCCTGCAAAGGACATGAACTTATCCTTTTTTATAGCTGTGTGGTATTCCATGGTGTATATGTGCCACACTTTCTTTATCCAGTCTATCACTGATGGGCATTTGGGTTGGTTCCAAGTCTTTGCTATTGTGAACAGTGCTGTAATTAACATATGTGTGCATGTGTCTTTATAGTAGAATGATTTATAGTCCTTTGGGTATATACCCAGAATTGGAATGCTGGGTCAAATGGTATTTCTGGTTCTAGATCCTTGAGGAATCACCATACTGTCTTCCACAATGATTGAACTAATTTACACTCCCACCAACAGTGTAAAAGCATTCCTATTTCTCCACCTCTCCAGCATCTGTTGTTTCCTGACTTTTTAATAATTTCCATTCTAACTGGCATGAGATGGTATCTCATTGTGGTTTTGATTTATATTTCTCTAATGATGAGTGATGATGAGTTTTTTTTCATATGTTTGTTGGCTGCATAAATGTCTTCTTTTGAGAAGTGTCTGTTCATATCCTTGGCCCACTTTTTGATGGGGTTTTTTTTTCATGTAAATTTGTTTAAGTTCTTTGTAGATTCTGGATCTTAGCCCTTTGTCACATGGATAGATTACAAAAGTTTTCTCCCACTCTGTAGGTTGCCTGATCAGTCTGATGATAGTTTCTTTGGCTGTGCAGGAGCTCTTTAGTTTAATTAGATCCCATTTGTCAATTTTGGCTTTTGTTGCCATTGCTTTTGGTGTTTTAGTCATGAAGTCCTTGCCCATGCCTATGTCCTGAATGGTATTGCCTAGGTTTTCTTCCAGGGTTTTTATGGTTTTAGGTCTTATGTTTAAGTCTTTAATCCATCTTGAGTTAATTTTTGTATAAGATGTGAGGAAGGGGTCCAGTTTCAGTTTTCTGCATATGGCTAGCCAGTTTTCCCAACACCATTTATTAAATAGGGAGTCCTTTCCCCATTTCTTGTTTCTGTCAGGTTTGTCAAAGATCCGATGGTTGTAGATGTGTGGTGTTATTTCTGAGGGCTCTGTTCTGTTCCATTGGTCTACATCTCTGTTTTGGTACCAGTATCATGCTGTTTTGGTTACCGTAGCCTTGTAGTATAGTTTGAAGTCAAGTAGCATGATGCCTCCAGCTTTGTTCTTTTTGCTTAGGATTGTCTTGGCTATGCGGGCTCTTTTTTGGTTCCATATGAAATTTAAAGTAGTTTTTTTCCAATTCTGTGAAGAAAGTCAATGGTAGCTTGATGGAGATAGCATTGAATCTATAAATTACTTTGGGCAGTATGGCCATTTTCATAATATTGATTCTTCCTATCCATGAGCATGGAATGTTTTACCATTTGTTTGTGTCCTCTCTTATTTCCTTGAGCAGTGATTTGTAGTTCTACTTGAAGAAGTACTTCACATCCCTTGTGAGTTGGATTCCTAAGTATTTTATTCTCTTTGTGGCAGTTGTGAATGGGAGTTTACTCATGATTTGGCTCTCTGTTTGTCTATTATTGGTGTATAGGAAAGCTTGTGATTTTTCCATATTGATTTTGTATCCTGAGACTTGCTGAAGTTGCTTAAGGAGATTTTGGGCTGAGACGATGGGGTTTTCTAAATATACAATCATGTCATCTGCAAACAGAGACAATTTGACTTCCTTTCTTCCTATTTGAATACCCTTTATTTCTTTCTCTTGCCTGATTGCCCTGGCCAGAACTTCCAATACTATGTTGAATGGGAGTGGTGAGAGAGGGCATCCTTGTCTTGTGCCAGTTTTCAAAGGGAATGCTTCCAGTTTTGCCCATTCAGTATGATATTGGCTATGAGTTTGTCATAAACAGCTCTTATTATTTTGAGATACGTTCCATCAATACCTAGTTTAAAGAGATTTTTAAGGGGTGCTGAATTTTATCAAAGGACTTTTCTGCATCTATTGAGATAATCATGTGGTTTTTTTCATTGGTTCTGTTTATGTGATGGATTATGTTTATTAATTTGCATATGTTGAACTAGCCTTGCATCCCAGAGATGAAGCCAAATTGATCGTGGTGGATAAGCTTTTTGACGTGCTGCTGGATTTGGTTTACCACTATTTTATTGAGGATTTTTATATCAATGTTCATCAGGGATATTGGTTTGAAATTTTTTGCTGTTGTTTTGTCTCTGCCAGGTGTTGGTATCAGGATGATGCTGGCCTCATAAAATGAGTTAAGGAGGATTCCCTCTTTTTCTATTGTTTGGAATAGTTTCAGAAGGAATGGTACCAGCTCCTCCTTGTACCTCTGGTAGAATTCAGCTGTGAATCCGTCTGGTCCTGGACTTTTTTTGGTTGGTAGATGATTAATTACTGCCTCAATTTCAGAACTTGTTATTGGTCTATTCATGGATTTGACTTCTTCCTGGTTTAGACTTGGGAGGGTGTATGTATCCAGGAATTTATCCATTTCTTCTAGATTTTCTAGTTTCTTTGCATAGAGGTGTTTAGAGTATTCTCTGATGGTAGTTTGTATTTCTGTGGGATCAGTGGTGATATCCCCTTTATCATTTTTATTGCATCTATTTGATTCTTCTCTCTTTTCTTCTTTATTAGTCTGGCTAATGGTCCATCAATTTTGTTGATCTTTTCAAAAAACCAGCTCCTGGATTCACTGATTTTTTGAAGGGTTTTTTGTGTCTCTATCTCCTTCAGTTCTGCTAGTTCTCTCCATTGTGATGTTAAGGTGTCAATTTTAGATCTTTCCTCCTTTTTTAGTGCTATAAATTTCCCTCTAAACATGGTTTCAGCTGTGTCCCAGAGATTCTGGTACATTGTGTCTTTGTTCTCATTGGTTTCAAAGAACTTATTTATTTCTGCCTTCATTTTGTTATTTACCCAGTAGTCATTCAGTAGCAGGTTGTTCAGTTTCCATGTAGTTGTGCGGTTTTGAGTGAGTTTCTTAATCCTGAGTTCTAATTTGATTGCACTGTGATCTGAGAGACTGTTTGTTATGATTTCCGTTCTTTTCCATTTGCTGAGAAGTGTTTTACTTCCAATTATGTGGTCAATTTTAGAATAAGTGTGATGAGGTGCTGAGAAGAATGTGTATTCTATCAATTTGGGGTGGAGAGTTCTGTAGATGTCTATTAGGTCTGCTTGGTCCAGAGCTGAGTTCAAATCCTGAATATCCTTGTTAATTTTCTGTCTCATTGACCTGTCTAATGTTGACAGTGGGGTGTTAAAGTCTCCCACTATTATTGTGTGGGAGTCTAAGTCTCTTTGTAGGTCTCCAAGAACTTGCTTTATGAGTCTGTGTGCTCCTGTATTGGGTGCATATATATTTAGGATAGGCAGCTCTTCTTGTTGCATTGATCTCTTTACCATTATGTAATGCCCTTCTGTGTCTCTTTTTATCTTTACTGGTTTAAAGTCTGTTTTATCAGAGACTAGGATGGCAACCTCTGCTTTTTTTGCTTTCCATTTGCTTGGTGAATATTCCTCCACCCCTTTATTTTGAGCCTATGTGTATCTTTGCAAGTGAGGTGGGTCTCCTGAATACAGCACACCAATGGGTCTTGACTATTTATCCCATTTGCCAGTCTGTATCTTTCAATTGGGGCATTTAGCCCATTTACATTTAAGGTTAATATTGTTATGTGTGAATTTGATCCTGTCATTATGATGTTAGCTGGTTATTTTGCCCGTTAGTTGATGCAGTTTCTTCATAGCGTTGATGGTCTTTATAATTTGGCATGTTTTTGCAGTGGCTGGTACTGGTTGTTCCTTTCCATGTTTAGTGCTTCCTTCAGGTGCTCTTGTAAGGCAGGCCTGGTGGTGACAAAACCTCTCAGCATTTGCTTGTCTGTAAAGGATTTTATTTCTCCTTCACTTATGAAGCTTAGTTTGGCTGGATATGAAATTCTGAGTTCAAAATTCTTTTCTTTAAGAATGTTGAATATTGGCCCTCATTCTCTTCTGGCTTGTAGGGTTTCTGCAGAGAGATCTGCTGTTAGTCTGATGGGCTTCCCTTTGTGGGTAACGTGACCTTTCTCTCTGGCTGCCCTTAACATTTTTTCCTTCATTTCAACCTTGGTGAACCTGACGATTATGTGTCTTGGGGTTGCTCTTCTCAATGAATATCTTTGTGGTGTTCTCTGTATTTCCTGAATTTGAATGTTGGCCTGCCTTGCTAGGCTAGGGAAGTTCTCCTGGATCATACCCTGCAGAGTGTTTTCCAACTTGGTTCCATTCTCCCCATCACTTTCAGATACACTAATCAAACACAGGTTTGGTCTTTTCACATAGTCCCATATTTCTTGGAGGCTTCATTCATTCCTTTTCATTCTTTTTCTCTAATCTTGTCTTCACACTTTATTTCATTAATTTGATCTTCAATCTCTGATTTCCTTTTTTCCGCTTGATTGATTTGGCTATTGATACTTGTATATGCTTCACAAAGTTCTCGTGCTGTGTTTTTCAGCTCCATCAGGTCATTTATGTTCTTCTCTAAAGTGGTTATTCTAGTTAGCAATTCATCTATCATTTTTTCAAGGTTCTTAGCTTCCTTGCCTTGGGTTAGAACATGCTCCTTTAGCTCAGAGGAGTTTGTTATTACCCACCTTCTGAAGCCTACTTCTGTCAATTTGTCAAACTCATTCTCTGTACAGTTTTGTTCCCTTGCTGGTGAGGAGTTGTGATCCTTTGGAGGAGAAGAGGCATTCTGGTTTTTGGAATTTTCAGCCTTTTTACGCTGGTTTCACCCCATCTTCATGGATTTATCTCCCTTTGGTGTTTGATGTTGGTGACCCTCAGATGGGGTTTCTGAGTGGACATTCTTTTTGTTGATGTTGATACTATTCCTTCCTGTTTGTTAGTTTTCCTTCTAACAGTCAGGCCCCTCTGCTGCAGGTCTGCTGGAGTTTGCAGGAGTTCCACTCCAGACCCTGTTTGCCTGGGTATCACCAGTGGAGGCTACAGAGCAGCAAAGATTGCTGCCTGTTCCTTCCTCTGGAAGCTTCATCCCAGAGGGGCACCCACCAGATGCCAGCCAGAGCTTTCCTGTATGAGGTGTCTGTTGGCCCCTGCTGGGAAGTGTCTCCCAGTCTGGAGACATGGGGGTCAGGGACACACTTGAGGAGGCAGTCTGATCATTGGCAGAGCTCAAACATTGTGCTGGGAGATCTAGCACTCTCTTCAGAGTCAAGTATTGTTTGTTTTTAAGATAATATATAGATTAGTAATGCATATCTTGCAACCCTTTTAAAGATTTCAATAGATGATATAGGATCTTTACTTCTTTATTTCAGTTCAATCCAACTCGGGTGACAATTACTGATGCCTCTCAGGCCCAGGGGCTTGCTGGCCCATACAGAGGGCTTGTGGCTTTGCAGACTCTGAAACTTGATTCTTTCTGATTTAATCTTTCTACTTCCTTCAATCCAAGGGTCACTTCCTCTTATCAGTTGCACAAGAGACACCATCCCACTTGCGTGTCCTGGCAACAGCTTGCCAAGGTGCTCTAAGTCCAAAGAAGAATGCCAATTCTGCTTTCCCTTAAATAAATCTCTCTGGGAAATCTTCCTTTTTAAATAAGTCTCCTGAGTGAATTTGAGGCAGGCTAAGTTAGACAACAGCAATTCAATTCATTTTAACTGGTTTGAGTTCCCTCAACCCCATCCACAAAAGAAAATCTTCCTTTAGAAAATTGTCATCTTTAACTAAAATGACAATATGAATATCCACATAGAGTGTATCCACGCCCAACCACTTTTCAGCACCTCTACTGACCACTGTCATCCCTTGTCACAGACACTGAAATCGCCTCCTAATCAGTTCCCTTGCTTCCATTTCCCTGGAATCAATCTCCACATAGTAGCTGGAGTGATCTTTTAGAAAGATAAATTCTGTCATCTCACTTTCCTGCTCAGAACTTTCTATTTACTATACATCACCCTCAGAATAAAATCCAAATGTCTTACTGTGGCCTGGAAGGCCCTCCATGAACAGGCCTCGGACCGCCGTATCATTGCCTCCCCTAGCACCTTCCACCTTCACGCAAAGCTCAGATCCTTGAGCAAGCTATTTCCTCAGCCCGTCCCCAAGATCTGCAGGGCTGACTCCTTCCTCCTCTGCTCAAATGTCACTGCCTCAAAGAAGCTTTTCCTTTGCCTCACCACCTACCATCAGTCCTGCCAGTGGTGGCTGGGGGCCAGGGGCCAGGAGTCAGGGAGGGTTATTAGAGACAGATTTTGTAGATCCTTTTACAATCACAAAGCAGGAGCATAGTATGTGTTTGTTGAATGAATAAATGGATAAACTTAAGCTAAATCTAAGTATAAAGTGGGAAAATATTAATATGTGTAGGTGCAAACTGTGACCCCCTCTTTATTATTATAACTATGCAATGGCTTTTTAACTAAGCTTTCCATACACATTCAACTTTAACACAACTACCCTTGTCTTGCCTCTTAGGAGTGATTTTCCATAGGGACTTGAGGGAGATGGACCCTTCCAAAACAGGCATTTCAGAATTTTCAAGCACCAAGGGATATATAAAGTTGAAGCTGCACACTCAATATATGTCATTATAATATTTTAATTAATTAATAGTGACTTTAATATGAATAAAGACTTAAAGCAGATTTCAACACAATCTTCTGGTACTGTCTATCCCTAGGGCATTAACATGACCCTCTTCCTTGGAGCTGAAGGTTTTTGGTGTGTGGCCCTCCAGAGCCCTCTCCACCCTCCTCTGCTCTGCTGACCCAGTGGCCTGGGAGGCTGACCTTCATGGATTATTGTATCATATGGGTTTCCTTGGTCTCTGTTTCATTTTAGGGTTTGGCCAATGGAAAGTATCAGCAGAAATTAAGAGGATGAAAGAAAAGAGTGTGTTATTTATTCTCCAGCTCACCCCCTGTAGATTGGCAGTGGCTGCTTTCCTCTACCAAAGGGCCCAGTTAAGTCAGACAGCCTCTGCTAAACTACAAGTCTCTCTAGGGTCCAGTAAGTGCTCCCTTCCCTTGCCTCCTTAGGCCTAAGGATGGTCATAGCTCTCTGCAGCTACTGGCTCCAGAATGCCCCCCTAATCCTGCTTGCACCTTTGTAAATAGCCCCTTCATTAATCTTTCTTCAATCACTCCTTTGGAGTAAGCAATTAGTCTACTACATGGACTCAGATGACTACGCTATTTTTATTTTTATTTTTTGAGACAGTCTTGCTCTGTCACCCAGGCTGGAGTGCAGTGGTGTGATCTCGGCTCACTGCAGCCTCTGACTCCTGGGTTCAAGCAATTCTCCTGCCTCAGCCTCCCAAGTAGCTGGGATTATAGGCGAGTGCTACCACACCCGGCTAATTTTTGTATTTTTAGTAGAGACGGGGTTTCACCATGTTGGCCAGGCTGGTCTCAAACTCCGGACCTAATGATCTGCCCACCTTGGCCCCCCAAAGTGCTGGGATTACAGATATGAGCCACAGTGCCCAGCCCAGATGACTACACTTTATGAGGGTGATGTTGCTGTTCTAGTCTCTTTCTAATGACAAACGGATCTTAAGTTGCTCAGGTGACTACATTTCAGTCCTTTTCTCTCATTGTCTCCATACTGTCTTCTCTTTTCATTCCCCTCCTGTCCCGAGCTGTTCTCAGCAATAACTTCACTAATGTTTACCCATGCCTGTGCAAAAGCCAGCACTCCCAGAAAGTCCTAGCATTCTCCAACTCTCTACAAAAAGGGTCTTGGCTTTTGTTTTCTTTCAGAATATTTATATTTTAAGCATGGAGAGCTTTAAAAAAGAATCAGCTACTAAATTTTCTTTAAAATGACTATCCCACACCTGTCACCCTGTTTATTCTCTTTTTTTTCATAATTACACATTTGTTTTATTCCACATTATACATACAACAGTCTCAGAACAATAATGCCAATACCACCACCGCTCATGTAATTACTGAAAACAGCTAAATCATTTTTGTATATACTTTCTTCATCTTCCCCACTTTTAAAAAATAGATGTATAGCACAATTGCACTGTATCAACAATGTTAATGCATATATAATCCTTGCATACAATATGCTTTTATAATTCTCATCTAATCTTAGTTCTTTTTTTTTTTATTGATCATTCTTGGGTGTTTCTCACATAGGGGGATTTGGCAGGGTCATAGGACAATAGTGGAGGGAAGGTCAACAGATAAACAAGTGAACAAAGGTCTCTGGTTTTCCTAGGCAGTGGACCCTGCGGCCTACCGCAGTGTTTGTGTCCCTGGGTACTTGAGATTAGGGAGTGGTGATGACTCTTAACGAGCATGCTGCCTTCAAGCATCTGTTTAACAAAGCACATCTTGCACCACCCTTAATCCATTTAACCCTGAGTGGACACAGCACATGTTTCAGAGACCACTGGGTTGGGGGTAAGGTCACAGATCAACAGCATCCCAAGGCAGAAGAACCTTTCCCAGTACAGAACAAAATGGAGTCTCCCATGTCCACTTCCCTCTACACAGACACAGCAACAATCTGATTTCTCCATCCTTTCCCCACATTTCCCCCCTCTCCATTTGACAGAACCGCCATCATCATCATGGCCCGCTCTCAATGAGCCACTGGGCACACCTCCCAGACAGGGCGGCAGCTGGGCAGAGGGGCTCCTCACCTTCCAGAAGGGGCGGCCGGGCAGAGGCGCCCCCCCACCTCCCTCCCGGACGGGGCGGCTGGCCGGGTGGGGGCTGCCCCCTACCTCCCTCCCGGGCGGGGTGGCTGGCCGGGCGGGGGCTGCCCCCCACCTCCCAGATGGGGTGGCTGCCGGGCGGAGGGGCTCCTCACTTCTCAGACGGGGCGGCTGCTGGGCGGAGGGGCTCCTCACTTCTCAGACGGGGCAGCTGCCGGGCGGACGGGCTCCTCACTTCTCAGACAGGGCGGCCGGGCAGAGACGCTCCTCACCTCCCAGACGGGGTCGCGGCCGGGCAGAGGCGCTCCTCACATCCCAGACGGGGCGGCGGGGCAGAGGCGCTCCCCACATCTCAGACGATGGGCAGCCGGGCAGAGATGCTCCTCACTTCCTAGACAGGATGGCAGCTGGGAAGAGGCGCTCCTCACTTCCCAGACTGGGCAGCCGGGCAGAGGGGCTCCTCACATCCCAGACAATGGGCGGCCAGGCAGAGATGCTCCTCACTTCCCAGATGGGGTGGCGGCTGGGCAGAGGCTGCAATCTCGGCACTTTGGGAGGCCAAGGCAGGTGGCTGGGAGGTGGAGGTTGTAGCTAGCCGAGATCACGCCACTGCACTCCAGCCTGGGCAACATTGAGCACTGAGTGAACAAGACTCCGTCTGCAATCCCGGCACCTCGGGAGGCCGAGGCTGGCAGATCACTCGTGGTTAGGAGCTGGAGACCAGCCCGGCAAATATCAGCAACTGGGAAGCCCATAAATAGCAGCAGAGGACAAATAGGATGACTCAGTAAGCCCTCTGAGTCAGACTGGCAGAGACTGGCCTTCCTTCATAATTATGGGGCATTAAACCCGTCATCTGTGAAGTCACCTCCAAGTCTCATCTCACCAATATCATGCATCTAGTTTCCTTTGAAGATGTGCAATCTTCCTCCTTGTAGCTACTAAGAAATTAAAGTGCTTGGGCTGAGAGGGCTCCTGTAAGCTAATAGTCTATGTCTTCAGCAATTAACCCCTTTCTGAGATTGGCTGGTGTTCATGCTTTTAGCTGGTCCTAGTCCTGGCTTGGGTACCCTTGAGCGTGAGTCCTCAGATAAGTCACTTCATCTCACTGAACTTCTTTCATCTAAGATGAGATAATAAAACTTGCCTAGCTACAGAGTTGTCATGAAGATTAAAGTCAATTTGGCCAACTACATGACATTTGGAAAAGGCAAACTATACAGACAGGAAATAGACCAATGATTGCCAGGGACTCGAGGATGAACAGGTGGAACACATCATATTTTTAGGGCAGTGAAACTATTCTCTATGATATTCTAATGGTGGATACATGACATTTTACGTCTTTCAAGGCCCACAGACTGCACAACACAAAGATGAGCCCTGATGTAAACTGTGGACTTCATTTAATAATAATGTATCCATACTGATTGATGAATTGTAACAAATATACCTCAGTAATGCCAGATATTAATAGTAAAAGAAACTTCAGGGAGAAGAAAATGTAGGTAAGTGGGAATCCTCTTCACTTTCAGGCCAATTTTTATGTAAACCTAAAACCGTTCTAAAAATAATTTTTTGTGACATTACCAGGCCAAAATGAATTAATTTAATTTAAAAAGTAAAATACAAATAATTTTTTAAATCAGTTTGGATAAGATATGTGAAAGTATTTGACAAACTCTAAAGAGCTAAATAAACATAAGGCATAACACCCAAATGATCTTAAAGAACTTAATTGTGAAAGTTCTTTTGGGGATCTGACAAGTAGAGCCCCAGGTGATGTCTTAATTACCTGTCTCCATGCCTTAGAAGTTGGTTGAGATAGAAGGGTGGGTAGGACTTCTATGACCAGTTTGCCTTCACTGCTGACTGAAAAGATTTCTACCAAATCCAAATCATGGTACAAATATTCTACCCTTCACACAACTACTACCTCTTTGAAATTGCTCAGGAAAGTTTAATACACATACACACTACCTTTCAGCATGTTTCCTTTTGATTCTCTGTGGCTCTCACCCTGTCCAATATTTAGCAGTCATGTTTGATTAAGGTCACATTTTTCAGAGGTGAAAAAGCGATGAGAAGATTTCAGGATTAAGTTCAGGATTAAGTTCAGTTAGGTTAGGAAGGAAAATCTTTCCTCCTTGTAAGCCAGAGAATGCCTGACATAGACAAAGCTTCTTACAGTGTTTCGTTGTTGGGACTGGGGGTTGAAAGGGTGGCTCTTGCTGGAGCCTGGAAAACATTATCTCTGATGCCCACTATATCTGTGTCAGTTAGGGAGGATAAATTGTGGGGCAAGAAAGAGGACCAGTGGGGTCAAAAATTAGCATAGATCATGCAGAAATGACAGACAGGGATTCAAACTCAAGAGAGAGGAAGCTGTTGTTCAGGCCTTGCCAAGTGAGATTAGCTAGCTAATTTCAGCCAGCTTATTCTGGGATAGTGGTGGTCAATTGCATTTCCTCTCCTGGATAATGCATGTACTTTTGACAAGAACCTTCAAAGCTTTTGAAAAAGACCTTCAGTGTTCATCACACAATGATCACTGGAACTCTGTTCTAGGAGCTATTAATAGACTTGCCATGAAAAAAGAAGTTCTATGGTCAAATAACTAGGAAATGCTTAACATGATGGAGCCCTTTGTGAACAATTATGACACACATTCGTACGTTGCAGGCTCTGGGCACCCTGCAGCTAAGAAAACTATTTAGTTTTGTTTAACTCCAACATGTCCCAGGTTTATGTGCACTTTGAGCACATTTTACTGTATGCTTACTAACATTTCCTAGAATATCAGCATAGGAAAAAATTGGTTTTAAAAAAGGAAGCAGGCTGAACATGGTGGCTCACGCCTGTAATCCCAGCACTTTGGGAAGCCAGGGTAGGCAGATCCCTTAAGGTCAGGAGTACGAGCCAGCCTGGCCAACATGGTGAAACCCTGTCTCTACTAAAAATACAAAAATTAGCCGGGCGTGGTGGTGCATGCCTGTAGTCCCAGCTATTTGGGAGGCTGAGGCACGAGAATCACTTGAACCCAGGAGGCAGAGGTTGCAGTGAGCCGAGATCATGCAACTGCACTCCAGTCTGGGCAACAGAGTGAGACTCCATCTCAAAAAAAAAAAAAAAAAAAAAAGGAAGCAACTAATGGTGGAAGTAAAGCCACCCTGACATGATAACAAAAGCGTCATTTTGGGGAAATGACCTCATATCAGCAGTTTCCCCACTCATCCAGAGGTGAGTATGGTGTACTCTCCATGTAGTGACAATAAATATATTTATTAAATAAATAAATCCTGTGTCCATGATTTCTCCACAACTCCATGTTAGATCCTGTTATCATCCATTAGGTATTAAAGTGCTCTCAGCCAAGGAGCACTCGGGGGTTAGCTCTAGATTCTGAGGTAATACTACCAGAAACTAGAAAACGAGGAGAAACAGGTGTCTGAAAAGAGAATCAGAATCTGATGCGAGGAACTGAAGAAAAGCAAGCTGCAAAACTGACATCTCTTGCACTGCCTCCACTCACTATCTGACTATGTAGACAGAAACATCTAGGTTTTAGGTTGGTGCAAAAGTAATTGCGGTTTTTGCCATTAAAAGTGTATTTAAGAATTAACATCCCTAATGAAAGGTACTAGAAGTTTAAGCCACTCTAAATACTAATAAGATACATAGTGTTTGCACATAGAAGGATGGAAAAACAGGCAATGAGAAAGACTTCTTTGCTGCACGTAACTGTCAATGAATGTGGAAGCTTAGTTGTTCGGAATCTAATAGTTGAGACCAGTTTTCAAAACCACTCCCAATTTCAGGGCGCAGAATGTCTTAGTAACACCTACAAGTTTCATCTAACGAATATGACTAAAGCCAGAAAGCAGCCCTGAGGTTTTTCCACAGAGAGTCCGCCCTGCCTGGGTCATACATGCCCCTATGCAAAGTGGGCCCAGCACTGTCCCCTCCTGGTGCTCGCGCTGCGGGGGAGCAGAGCCAGGGTGGAAACCTGCTATGGGCAGAATGAGGCTGTGCTGGGCTGGAATGAGCCACTCCTTTAGAGAATCTAAATGAGGATAAAGAATTTCTGAACCAGCTAGGGGCCAAAACCCATCCAAGAATAGAAGTGGAAGGGACTCAAGCTTTTTAAGTTTCTTCCACAGCAATCCAGATTCCAACATTGTTTCTAAGGAGGCTTTTGTTTCCCTGGAGAACTCTAGTTTCAAAGTGGACTTTCTTGCACAAAGAGCGCTTCAATAAAATTGGTTGCGTGAGTGAGTGTTAAGTGTGAATTCAAAGAAGAATATTAGGCTGGGTCTCAGGCATATGTTACTATTACACTATGTATCTTATTAGTATTCAGAGTGGCTTAAACTTCAAGTACCTTTCATTTGGGATGTTAATTCTAAAACATACTTTTATGGCAAAAACTGCAATTACTTTTGCACCAACCTAATACCTAGTTTCTGTCTACATCTCAGAAGCCAGAGGTGCCTCATGAGAACACTGAGGTACCCAGACAAGGACCACATCCAGACAGGAAGAGCACACAGCACAGTGGCTGTGAGCATGGGTTTTCCATGAGATAGACCTCAGTTAGAATCTCAGCCTCAACACTTACTAGCCATGCAATCAGGGGAAATCTTGCTGTATGATCCTGCTGAGCCTTGGTTTCCTTAACTGTAGAGAGACTAAGAATCTCTAACTTACTTGGGGATTCAATGCAATAATATGTATCACAGACCAGGCACAGTGGCTCACGCCTGTAATCCCAGCACTTTGGGAGGCTGAGGTGAGTGGACCGCTTGAGTCCAGGAGTTTGACCACCCTAGCAACATGGTGAAACCCCATCTCTACCAAAACTACACACACACACACACACACACACACACACACACACACACCAGCCAGGCATGGTGGCACTTGCCTGTAGTCCCAGCTACTCAGGGGGCTGAGGTGGGAGGATCACCTGAACTTTGAAATTTGAGGCTGCTGTGAGCCAAGATGGCACCACTACACTCCAGTCTGGGAGACAGGAGTGAGAGCCTGTCTCAAATAATTATAATAATACATGTAATATTTAGCATTTTACCTGGCATATCAGTACTTGATATATTGTAGTCATTATAAAGGTCAAATTTCTCTCTAGGACTGGGTTAGAAAATATGAGGAAAATAGATAAGTTCATAGAACTAATTAGAAAAGAGAGAAAGTTAAACTCTCCTATGACTTGATAAAATGTCTGTAGAAAAAGACAATTTCAGCAGGGTTGCATCAGATAAATTGAACCCATCCCCTGCCACATTTGTTCCTGGGCCTTTATATCCTCAGCATGACATTGAACTGATAGGACCAGAAGGTACTGGGAGAAATGTAAAGATGGGATGTGACTGAATTTGGGGTGGGTGCTTTGCTTCGTAGGAATTCTTTGGTTTTTGGAGAAGAAGGCCAAACTGTGATTTTGTCATGAAGCTGTCATGAAACTGGCATTTTATGATCATTTTTAAACTTCCATTATAGTTTTAAATAAGTTCCTGGCAGTCTTCAACTTTTACAAAGTCTTCCTGGAAACAGGGTCAGAAAACAAAAAGGGTGAAGCCAAATCCCTTTCCCCTGACATTTGCTGTGCTAGAAAGACAGACCGGGGTCCCTCTCAAAGCTGGCTGCCCCTCACTTCCCAGTTCCCCTGGTTCCTGTGTGCCATTCAGACACCCCACTGCAGTGCTTTCAGCCCACAGGATAGAAAGGAAAAGCTCATGGCTATTGTTATAAAACACAGTTATAAGATCAATGGAATGGTTTTGAATGCATTTGCTTGCTAATGGGAATTTTTACAAGAGGGAAATAAAAGAGAAATTAGTTCAAATTTCCCTAGACAGATGTCTTAAAGAAATCTGAGCCTTCCAAAATGCTACCAAAAAGCTTTTCTAAATTCTGCAAACGAAGCAAAATTGTTGTTAGTTAAATGCGTAATGTTTATTATCACCAGCATATTAGTTTTAGAGAAAATTTACACCACAGTGGAGTTGTATTTTCATGTACTACGAGTACATTTTGTCAATCATTAGGGTCCCTGCTAAAATCAAAGTAACAATATAGTAAGCCCATTTTAAAGAAGCTAGAAAACAGTTTTACTATTTTTTTATTGGTTTGGAAACTTGTGCTGTTGTGTTTTTTCTTTAATGACATCATTAAGTATCCGGCCAAATATCCCTGTCCAAGGAATTCAGTCTTTAATTATTACATTTTTCCATGGGAATAAACACTGTCACTGAGTGTTACAACTTAGTTTCTAAAAGTACATGGTGGCCAGAAGCCTGCTAGCCTCAGAGGTATTTCCACAAGTTTAGCAGTGTCAAAACTAACTGAGTTACATCAGCTATTTGTTGAAAGAGTCCCACCAAAATCTGATAAAAGGCCCATAAAGGAATCAGAATGTTTGCTTATTTGTCTGTTTAAAGTAGTGTCAGAGTAATAGATCAATACAACATAGGGGCTGCTTATATTGTTCAGAGGAATAGTATATTAAAAAATGCTATTCTTGATCAAAGTAGACCCCCAACATGATAACACATAAGAGAATCTGGAATTCTAAAACTACAAGAAACGGGGAGAGATAGGAAGTAAGCACAAAATAAGGAGAAACCTTCAATAATCAGCTTTAGTTTAGCTGATCATTGAACGACAATATTTACTATAGTGTTTTCTGTCTTTGCTAGTTTAACCACATGTTCTGTTTTTCAATTCAAGATCAGGGCATTTTTATATTCACTTTGGGGAAATCATATGTCAAGAAACATTTACTTGTATATCCCCAAACATTCAGATTTCATGGTAAAAATTAATGTACATGACATACATTTAGACAACAGCTACTGGTTGCCCCCTCCAAAAAAAGTCAAGGTGCCACAAAGACTGAGCTCTTGATGTGAGGAAAACAGTCATTATAAGCAGTCCTGTGGTCCCTGAGAAAAAGGATTCCTTCACTCTCTGAAGAGGAATTTATTTATACAGCATGAACAACTATCTGCTGAATTTTAATTCTGTCCTTTCTCAGAAATAAGTTTGGGCTCTGCTTTTAAAAACAAGCCCAGGAAATAACAGTTTGCAGGGGCCTGAAATCAGAAGCCTGCAGACTGCTGGCAGGAAAGTTCAATATTCATATTCATTTTCATTCTACAATCGACCTCATGTACCAGAAGGCTTTTCCTCAACTTGAAATCTCAGTGTTCCCTCAAACAAGTCGCAGCATGTGTTTGCCTCACACATGACACTAACTCTTACTTTTGGACTGAAACAAAAGCCAAAGGTGAATCCTGGTGACCGTCAAGACTCCAGGAATGACCCAGCATTGATTATGGGCTCCTTGGAGAAATTCAGACAAATATGAGAAAACAAATAGGGGTGGAGCCAGAATTTAGGTTGGTGGGGCACTGAGAAACTTTTTTTCTCATTTGCATATTTTCCATTATTGTTGTAACACATGCTTCATTCACAGGGTATGTGACAATCCAGAAGGACACCACTCTCCAGGATGACCTGTGTCTGAGTGTAGAGTTTCAGAGACCAGGCCATTCACTTGGCACAGTTACCAAGAATGGTCTTTTGGAGTTTTTCAGAGTGGTTGGAGTTTCTCAGAGATACGTCCTCATTGTTTGATTTTCTTACATAATATGTACTCCCTTGGTAATCACATCTGCATTTTTAATTATTAACTATATTCAAATCCTCTGGCCCCTCCACTGAGCACCAATGATATATAGCCAACTCTTGTGGACATCCCCACTGCTGGTCCTACAGCCCATCACATTCAGCAATGCTTGCATCATCCCCCCCTCTTTCCCAAACCACTCTCCTTCCTGTCTGTTGCCTAAGCAAATACCACTTCCATCCAGCAAAGCTCCTCAGCCAGACACCTGACTTTCTCTCCCTCACAACCACCCATGACCAAGCCTGTCAATTTCACCTCCTATTAATAATTTCCCCTGAACCAGTCCACTCCCCTCCATCTCTATCACCACCATCCTGGGGGAGGAGACCACTACCATCTCAAACCTATGTTACACACAGTCTTCCTAACTGAAATGCTGAGCCTCTTCTAAAGCACTAGAACTTTCAAAGGCTCAGTCCTACCTTTCTCACCCTCCTGCTCAAAACCTACTCCCACTGCCATTTGTCTAAACAAAACTCTTTTATGTGGCATGAAAGGCATTTCTTGATCTATCTCCTTTATCTTGAAAATCTCATCCCTTGCACTCCATAATCTAGTCATGCTACAACCTAGTCACAGTATTTCGATTACCTGTTTTGTTTTAATTTTGTTTTTTGTGGTTTTTTTTTTTCAGAGACAGTGTCTTGCTATGTTACCCAGGCTGGAGTGCAGTGACTGTTCTCAATCCTGATCATAGTGCACCATGGCCTCAAATTCCTGGGCTAAAGCCATCCTCCCACCTCAGCTCCAAGGACTACAGGCTCACACCACAACACCTGGCACTCTGTTTACTTCTCTTTTTCCCCTACCAGGTTATAAACTCCTCCAAGGCAAGGATTTAGTCCTGCTCACAGTTGTAACATAACACCTAGATCAGTGCCTGCACATAGCAGATGTTCAATCATTAAACTAAAATTTATTTCTCCCATAATTTTTTCTTAAGTTTTGGTGGTTCCAATTGAAAAAAAGACAACATGAATGAGCATTAACAAATAAATAAAAAGCTCAGATGCATGAGACCTGCCTGCATCCTTATAATAAAAGCTGTATTTTCTCCAAGTAATTTTTTCCTGTTTTATGTGAGGAATTAAATATATCAATATGTCATAGTGTTAGAAAAGGAGAACTTTGGCCTTCAGGTAATACAACACCTAAAAAAGTTTTATGTCATTTGTATTAGAAAATGTCACGTTCCTAGGCTGCTTAGATACTCAGGATTCATTAGCTATTTCTCATTGGAAGTGCCAGAAAAGTGCCAGAAATACAACTCAATCAACTTAGACACTCCACCCTCACAAAAACTGATAATCGGTTCATGTAATCCAAGAAAAGATTGAATAACCAATACACAGAAAGGACAGTCATGCATTTAGGTCTCAGAAAGGACTCAAAACCAAGATTCAAAAGCTATCAGACTCACTGTGACGCTTCTCTCAAAAAAAAAAAAAAAAAAAAAAACCTGCATACTCTCACTAGTTCTCTCCACTCCATATGATGAGAAAAAAAAAAAACACAACACAGTATTATTTTCTAGGGCTGCTATAATAACACACTAAAAATGAGTTGTCTTAAAACAACAGAAATCTATTGTCTTACAATTCTGGAGGTTAGAAGTCCAAGCTCAAGGAGTTGGCAGGGCACGCCCACTCAGAGGACTCGGGGAGAATCCTTTCTGGCCTCTCCCAGCTTCCCATGTTTGCGGGCAATCCTTGACAGCCAGTGGCTTTTAGATGCGTCACTCCAGTCACATAACCATCTCCTCCCTGTGTCTCTTCGCATGGTCTTCCTTCTGTGTGTGTCTGTCTCTGAGTCTAAATTTCCCTTTTTTATTATGTAAGGACACCAGTCCTATTGATTAGGGCCTACTCTAATGACCTCATTGTAACTTGATTACAGGTATAAACACCCTATTTCCAAATAAGGTCACATTCTGAGGTACTGGGGGCTAGGACTTCAAAAACATACCTTTTTTCAGGAGACATAATTCAACTACAACAACGAATAATAACAGTTTCCAATATTTGCATCTAAAGTCTCCCCTACCAGAGGAAAAGTCTAGAAGTCCTTGACCTGGTTTATGTGGTGTCCCCAACCCCTGGGCCAAACAACAGAGATGGGGGCAGCAGAGTTCTATAAGAACATGATTGTTTCTGTGGTAGTCATATAGATGGGGAAAGTGGTACTATGGAACAGCTATGCTCACATCTGCTTCCCTTCTAGTGACAAGGAGATGGGTTAATGTTAGAGGGTAAAAAAAAGATACAGACACTCAGCAGAGTGACAGGTAAACATTCACAAGGAGAGGAGTGTTAGGAAATAGATCAGGAAAGGAGTGTGTGCCATGACATATCAAATGTCTTCTTTAATACTGTAAGTGGGAAACAAAGCAAAGCGTTTGTTCAATTTACTGCTGCCACAAATGAGAGATGCATTATTTTTCTTTTTCAGGGGTTATGGTCAACCCAATTTTCTCCCTACATACAGCATTCCATTACATATATTTTGCTCCTAACTTATTTTATATTCTGGAGGTGAAAGCATATAAGAACAAATCAGTAAAAACTGTGGTGATATTTTGGCACCAGAAATTAAGTTCCTTTTTAACATTATGAACTATGGCTAAACCAGGACAAAGGTGACTCAAAATTTCCTTAACTTAAGCTGGGTATGGTAGCAACGGCCTGTATTCTCAGCTACTCAGGAGGCTGGGGCAAGAGGAGAGGATGGCTTGAAGCCAGGAGTTCTAGGCCAGAGTGCACTGTGATCACACCTGTGAAGAGCCACTGTGCTCCTAGGCAACAAAGCAAGGCCCTGTCTTTAAAAAAAAAAAAAAAAAAAAAAAAAAAAAAGTTAAAAAAATTTCCTTTACTTAAAGGTTTGCATGACTATTTAGACATACATTGAAGCCAAGTGTGGTGGCTCACATCTGTAATCCCAGCATTTTGGGAGGTGGGGCAGTGAGGATTGCTTGAGGCCAAAAGTTCATGACCAGCCTGGGCAACATAGCAAAATCCTGTCTCTACAAAAATTTTTAAAATTAGCTGGGCCTGGTGGCATGTGCCTGTAGTCCTAGCTGCTTGGGAGGTTAAGGCAGCAGGATCGCTTGAGCCCAGGAGTTTGAGGCTGCAGTGAGCTATGATTATGCAGCCTGAGTGACAGAGCAAGACCTTGTCTTTAGAAAATATAAAAGTAAAAATAAAATTAAAATAAAAACATACATTGCAATTGTTCTAATTGTCAAATTTATTTGCTCCAAAATAAAACTGGGCAGGTCTATTTTGGATACCATTTAAACTCCACCATTAAAGCAACTATTTTAAAGTATTTTTTAATTATAGAAAAATAATATTTGTTAATTTATAGACATTTTGGAAAAATCTATGAAAGACTGTTTAAAAAATAAAAGTCACCTATAATCCCATCACTAATTACCGTTAACATTTCAATATCTTTACTTAGTTGTTTTCTCTATTTACATAAGTACATTTTTAAAAACTTTACAGAGTTAGATTTATATTATACAGTTTTTGTTTTTTGTTTTTTTGAGACAGGGTCTCACTCTGTCACCCAGGCTGGAGTGCAGTGGCATGAACATGGCTCTCACTGCACCTCTGCCTCCTGGGCTCAAGGGATCCTTCCACCTCAGCCTCTAGAGTAACTGGGACCACAGGCATGAGCCATCACACCCGGCTAATTTTTGTATTATTTTGGTAAGGTTCTGCCATGTTGCCCAGGCTGGTCTCCAACTTTTGGGCTCAAGTAATCCTCCTGCCTAGCCTCCCAAATTGCTGGGATTACAGGCATGAGCCGCTGCACCCAGCCAGATACATATTAAACAGTCTTATGTCCTCATTTTTTCATTTTATATTTTGGAAATACCATGTTTAATCACAGCATAATATTCTATGGTATGCCATAATTCATATAAACACTATTTTATTGTTGGACATGTAGGTTGCTTATTTTTTTATTATAAGGATGTTCCAAATATATATATATGCACAGTTTTATTGTAAGCATAGCTAATCACCCCTAAAAGAGATGCAAAGCTTTCTGCCATCACTAAGCAAATTTCAATTTATTCTATACAATCTGCCTCTAAAATGAGATAAAATATCAATCATCACAAGAAATATACCAAAATGCATACATACAATTAACAAAGATATCTAATTCCTAATTACAAATTGTCTCATATATTGAAAAGCACAGTGTTCAAGTTCCTTGAGGGCAGGCACAGTGGCTCACACCTAGAATGCCAGAACTGTGGGAGACCAACGTGGGAGGATCGCTTGAGGCTGTTACAGTAAGTAGCTAGTCAGACATAGGTGGAGCAGGGCAGGGCAGGAGAGGGGAGGAGTGGGCAGGAGAGGGAAGGAATGGGCAGGAGAGGGAAGGAATGGGCAGGAGAGGGTTCCCCCATCCCCAGCCCAGGAGTCTTGGGCAGGCGAGGGGGTTGTTAACTGTCTCTCTAAAGTAATAATTGGTCCCAGCCGGTGCTAGGGAAAGGCAGGCTCACAATAAATAGAAAACACCTGAAACTGATCAACTTCTGGATAAGCTTTCAGGAGTGGGGAGAAGTAACCCAAGATCCTGGAAGTATGCCGATGTATAAAACCCCAAATCAAAAGGTCAAACCACACATTTGTCTTTCAGGTCACCCACTTGGGCCTCTTCCAAGTATATTTTCCTCCCTTTCATTCCTGCTCTAAAGTTTTTTAATAAACTTTCACTTCTGCTCTAAAACTTGCCTCAGTATCTCCTTCTGCCTTCTGCCCCTCAGTCGAATTCTTTCTTCTGAGGAAACGAGAATTGAGGTTGCTGCAGACCTGTGGGATTTGCCGCAGTAACAAAGCCAGGAGTTTGAGACTAGCCCAGAAAACGTGGTGAGATCTTGCCTCTAAAGAAAAGGGGGGAAAAAAGTTTCTTGACTCTCTTCAGATCTTTTGGAAATCTTATCCCTTGCTAATAAATATTTGTAGAGTCAGAAAGAGGAGATGGCATTAATTTCTGCATTGATGTTTATATTTTGGTGCTATATGGCCGGGTCAAAGGGCTACATATTCCACCTCTGCTCCAGAGCTGCTTATCCAAGTTCTCTGGGATGTAGCTGGTATACCTAGGAATTATGTCCCTAGAAAGACGCAACCCTGCAGCAGCTAGAATTAGTGCAATTTAGTGAGAAGAGCACAGGACTTTCTCTACACCTGGGTTCAAATTTCAATGCCAGCACTTCTGGGAGCAAGTCTTTGGGCAACTCAGTGTTTGTGAGTCAATCTACTATTTCTAAAGTAGGGAAGGACACAGGTGAACATTCATTGAATACAGAGGCTTTACACAAGTGATCTCGTTTAACTCTCACTAAAAAATGACTGATCCTTTTAAAAATAAGACAACAGGCTCAGACTGGGTAAGTAATTACTCAGACTGATAAGGAGGCAAGGCAGGATTTAATTCCAGATCTGTCTAGCCCTAAAGCTCACATTCCCTGCCCCACTTGACATGTTGCTTCCTGGACTCACTTGGATTGTGGAGAAATTAGTTGGATTTGAATGTCTCCTCTAGCGTAGTCAGCATAGTTTTCATTCCTGTAGCAGTTTTTGTATTATAGTTTGTTGGGATAGAGGGTTGGGACCAGGGCCAGGAATAGGTTAAGGCAAGCGAAACACTAACCTCAGGCAGAAAATATAAGGGGCGGGGCACAAAAAACTCAGTCGTCAAGATAAATAATATTTTAATATAATATTTTTTTAAATCTAAATTAATGCAAAAATCCATAAAGAACAAAATAACATTTTAAATGAAAACAAGAACTGATAGTTCCATGTTAAGCCATATTGGAGCCTACAACAGAAAAACATACAACCCTATTCACATGTTTTTAATGTATTTTTGATGTTTAATTATGATAAATGCTATGTAATAATACCTTGGCCAGGCACAGTGGCTCACGCCTGTAATCCCAGCACTTTGGGAGGCCGAGGCAGGTGGATCATGAGGTCAGGAGATCGAGAACATTCTGGCTAACACGGTGAAACCCGTCTCTACTAAAAATACCAAAAAAATTAGCCGGGCGCAGTGGCAGGCGCCTGTAGTCCCAGCTACTCAGGAGGCTGAGGCAGGAAAATGGCGTGAACCTGGGAGGCGGAGCTTGCAAGTTTGTGCCACTGCACTCCAGCCTGGGCGACAGAGTGAGACTCCATCTCAAAAAAAATAAAATAAAAATAATACCTTAAGCAGATATGAATTTTTTTCAGAGCACTAGTTTTAAAATATTGAAACAATTGAAAAGTAGATATCTACTTTTCAATTAAATAAAACTCACATTTTAAGTATTTGATCAGAATTTATTATAAATTTATTTTGCTGGTTTTAATGGAAGCAAATTCATAGGTGGTATTTTTATCTAAGTCAATAGCCTTTTTTTTTTTTTCCAAGACAGTTTCACTCTTATTGCCCAGGCTGGAGTGCCATGGCGCCATCTCGGCTCACTGCAACCTCAAGCGATTCTCCAGCCTCAGCCTCCCGAGTAGCTGGGATTACAGGTGCCCGCCACCATGTCCAGCTAATTTTTTTGTATTTTTAGTAGAGATGGGGTTTCATCATGTTAGCCAGGCTGGTCATGAACTCCTGACCTCAGGTGATCCACCTGCCTCAGCCTCCCAAAGTGCTGGGATTACAGGTATGAGCCACCGCGCCTGGCCGCCAATAACTGGTTTTAAAAATACGTAAAATCATGTATCCAGTTATATAGTATGTAGTACACATCCTTCCTTTTGCAACATGGCTCAGCACAGCACTGGCTGGAACTATGACTTGCAGCTACCAGCCTCAAAGATTTTCAGGACTCTGTAAATGGAAACAGAACATCTGATCATATCTGACTCCTCAGGTCTCCTATCACAGCTCCTTTGGGTAGTAGTCTCTCTTTTCATAGAAGAATATCACTGTCAGGCTGACTTTTAGGGTCATGTTCCTAAAGGCCAATAAAGACAAGCTGTGTTCTCATGACAACAGGCAGAAATCAACCTCACACATCTGCTGATGCTCCAGAACATCTATGTGGACTTCCAAGCACTAAATATCTGAGAGTTACTGTCTTTTAAATACCCCCAAATGAAGGTTTTGAATAACCTTTCTGGAGCACATATGTTCATTTAACATTTATTGAAGACTACATCCCTACTAAATAAAACAGCCTATATCTGCGTTTGCAGATTCTATTATCCAGCCTTATGTTCTTTACCAATTAGTAGTGTATGTCATTATATCTTTTGTCATTTAAAAAGCATGTATTATGCATCTTTTATTACAGTAAGGGCTATATAATAATGCCTTATGCTTTTACGATTTTTCACTTGCATTCAATGCTTATGAAGGTTCTATGAGGTAGGTAGATATTTTATAGAAATTAATGTATTAACTTTTTCTTTGAAGCTGCAGATTATCTAGTGATCAGCCCTCTCACTTTTTACTCACTGTCCTCTGATTCCAGTTCTAATGCTCTTTCCACACTGCCAAGTTGCCTCTTCTAACAGACAGCCTAATAACATAGGATTTCAGATAGACAAGTGTAGACAAAACAGGACTGTACGGTGGAATATAGGATGTCTAAAGTGATCAAATGAATATGAAATTATGATATAACCTGCCAAGGAAAAGATGAATTTTCCAGAAGGGAGAGTGAAGAGGAGTCATAGGGTAACTCAGTCCCCGACACTGCCACAGAGCTGGGGAGGCCCGGGTCTGCCGGAGAGGTGATGCCATGTGTGGTTACCATATGGCTGGGGGCAGAGGCATGGTCAGCAGCACAGGCAGAGCTCAGAGCATGACAGCCTCACCAGAGACAAAAAGTTGAGTCACAAACCTGGCCTAATCAGAATCAAGAAACAGAGCAGGCCGGGAGCAGTAGCTCATGCTTGTAATCCCAGCACTTGGGAGGCTGAGGTGGGTGGATCACAAGGTCAGGAGTTCAAGACCAGCCTGGCAATACAATGAAACCCTGTCTCTACTAAAAATACAAAAATTAGCTGGGCGTGGTGACGGCTGCCTGTAATCCCAGCTACTTGGGAGGCTGAGGCAGGAGAATCACTTGAACTAGGGAGACAGAGGTTGCTGTGAGCCGAGATCGTGCCACCGAACTCCAGCCTGGGCGAGAGAGCTAGACTCCATCTCAAAAAAAAAAAAAGAAAAAGAAAAAGAAAAAAGAAACAGACCAATTCTCAGAATGAGTGCCAATGAGAAGACCTAAGAAAACAAGAGACAGGCCAGGTGCGGTGGCTCACGCCTATAAACCCAACACTTTGGGAGGCCGAGGCAGGTGGATCATGAGGTCAGGAGACTGAGGCCATCCTGGCCAACATGGTGAAACCCCGTCTCTACTAAAAATACAAAAATTAGCTGGGTGTGGTGGCGGGCGCCTCTAATCTCAGCTACTCGGGAGGCTGAGGAACAAGAATCGCTTGAACCCAGGAGGCGGAGGTTGCAGTGAGCTGAGATCACACCACTGCACTCTAGCCTGGAGACAGAGTGAGACTCCGTCTCAAAAAAAGAAAAAAGAAAACGAGAGACAAAACAGACTACTGTCCGTGATTTCTTTAAAAAACCAGGAGGAGAAGATAAAACTGTTCTGGAGATGGATAATGGTATTGGTTGTACAATAATGTGAATGTTTAATGTCACTGAACTATACATTTAAAATGGTTTAAATGGTAACTTTTATTATATGTATATTTTTAACATTATATATTGTGTTATATATAATTGTGTATATGTGCACCATTTTTAACATAAATAATTTTTTTAAATCAGACTCAAGTTGACCTAATTCTCTGTACCTCAGAGGAAAATCCTCCCAGGTCCAAAAAAGAAAAACAGTCAGGAGCTGCTTAACCAGTGATTGAGGTGAAGGCAGGGGAATTTTACCCACCTAAAGGGACAATTTGTAAGTTTGTCAGTATTTGGGGGTTTTGGTTTATTTTTCTTTTTTGAGACAGAGTCTCACTCTGTCACCCAGGCTTGAGTGCAGTGGTGTTATCTCGGCTCACTGCAACCTCTGCCTCCTAAGTTCAAGCAGTTCTCGTGCCTCAGCCTCCCAAGTAGCTAGGATTACAGGCACATGCCACCACGCCCAGCTGATTTTTGTATTTTTAGTAGAGACAGGGTTTCACTATGTTGGCCAGGCTGGTCTCAAATTCCTGACCTCAGGTCTGCCCGCCTCAGCTTCCCAAAGTGCTGGGATTACAGGCATTAAGTCACCATGCCGGGCCTAGTTTGTTTGTATTTTGGCTCTAACAATGAATGAGGTACAACTGGCTGGGGTCCTGGGATTAGAGATGCCCAATAATATGTGGGTCAGTCGTGCAAAAAGAAGCTGTCTCATGTCAGACATGAGCTTTGAATGTCTTTCAAGTAGAGGAAAAACCTATTTACAATGATGTGAGCCTAAAACCTAACTTTAATTTACACATAAAACACAAAATACTTTTGAGTAGTTTTAAATGCACTGAATTTTCTAGGAATACAATTTATAAATGCAAAGAAAATTGGACGTTGCCTCACTGAATTTTTAGGAATGCACTTTATAAAGGCAAGGAAAACTGGATGTTGCTTCACGCATAACTTAACCCACTGTAGTTCATCATTCTGGAAAATTACAATACCAATGGTGATGCCCCCTGTGGTATTTGAGTCATCGATGTATCACTCCAGTACCAGTCTGCATTTGTAGGTGTCACATTCACAACGATTCTAGGTATAAGTACAAGCATCTGGCTATAATGTATGTTTACTATAAATTAAATTTTTAAAATTTCTCCTTTATGTTATGCTTAGGTTATGTGTGAGATTAGCTTGTACTTTCTATTCACCTTCTTTTAGAATAGAAGATATTTATGAAAGAAAAAGGGTATTGAGACTGGTGAAATGTATCTACATCCAACCAGGATGGCTTGGAGTACACAGCTACTGGGGATTTTCCAAGCACTTTGGGAGAATGCATGCATTCTATTGTTTGAACAGAGACAACCCATTTATCACTGACATCCTGTATCCCTTTTCTGCTGCTATCGGGGGTCTAACCTTGTCCAGACAAGCCAGAAATATCTCGTTTTCTCTTCCAAGTACTCTGCAGCATCTTCACTGGAAAAGAGGAATTTCAGATGTTTGACTATTAGAGGCTTGACAAGGGCAGAGAGAGCAGACACCTAGCACAGAGTTTAGTCAGTAGGAACTCTGAGGAAAAGGGCAATGATCAGTTAAAAAAGGTCAGCTATAATATGTTTCCTATCCTCAAAGCCTGCTGCTAAATTAAGGGAAAAAATTTTAAAGATGTATGCAAAAAATTTATTGTACACAATCAAAAGGAAGTTGAATCTAACTACAACCGCAATTATTCATGAGGTTTATCAATTTGTAGATCATTTTGAAGAATTGACAAAATTTTGTATGCTCCTTGGGGAGACACTGAAAAAGTCATTAAAGCAAAGGAATCTCATTAGCAAACATGGTCTCTGCCCTCACTGAAAGTTAAAGAATGACTCAACTGACAGATAGTTTCCATACTTCCTTTTTAATAGCCATACCTTATATCAGTTTGCTCTCATACATGAGAATTAGAGACCACATATTTTTTCAGAGCAATTTAAAAACAACTGTTTCGCCAAGCGCAGTGGCTCATGCCTGTAATCCCAGCACTTTTGGAGGCTGAGGCAGGTGGATAACGAGATCAGGAGTTCAAGACCAGCGTGGCCAAGATGGTGAAACCCCGTCTCTACTAAAAATACAAAAATTAACCGGGTGTGGTGGCAGGTGCCTGTAATCTCAGCTACTCGGGAGACTGAGGCAGAGAATTGCTTGAACCCGGGAAGCAGAGGTTGCAGTGAGCCGAGATTACACCACTGCATTCCAGCCTGGGCGACAGAGTGAGACTCCGTCTCAAAAAAAAAAAAAAATCTGTTTCTTTCTACAACCACTTAAAAAAACAAACCATGCCCAAACTTAATATCATAAACTTAATTGCACTACTAAAAACCAAAGGTTAATTGGAAAATTTAAATTTTCATTATTTTATTGCAGAGTTGTTTGTAATAGTAAAAACAAAAATGGAAACAACCTAAATGTCTCAGCAGAAACATAGTTGAATAGGAGACGGTGCATTCATAAATGGAATACCATGCAATCTCCAAAATGATCTTATAGAATTACCAATGTTATTGAAAGATGTGCATGTGCCAGGCATGGTGGCTCATGCCTGTAATCCCAACACTTTGGGAGGCCAAGGTGGGTGGATCACTTGAGCCTAGGAGTTTGAGACAAGCCTAGGCAACATGGCAAAACCCTGTCCCAACAAAAAATACAAAAATTAGCTGGGCATGGTGGTGCACACCTGCAGTGCCAGCTACTTGGGAGGCTGAGGCAGAAGGATCACTTGAACTCAAGAGATGGGGGTTGAAGTGAGCCAGAATTGCACTACATTCAAGCCCGGGTGACAGAGCTAGACCATGTCTCAAAAAAAAAAAAAAAAAAAAAAAAAGCAAGAAAGAAAAGAAAGAAGGATGTGCATGATATATTTAATCATGAGAACATTACTGAAATCCTTTAAAAATGCATATATTTACACATATGTGCTTAGAGAAAAAAGGATACACACCAAAGTGTTACAAGTCATTGTAACATTGCATTTGTGTAACAACATTTTCTTTGGCTTGTCTGTAATTTCTAAATTGTCTGTGTATATATTACTTTTGCAATAAAAACAATGTCTTATCAAAATAAATACATTTAACTTTTATTGACAATATTTTCTCTGGGGCTGTCATATTTTTTTCTAAGGCCTCAATAAACTAAACAACTAGACAGAACAGAAGGTAAAAAAGTGAAGCTCATTTTCTTTATTAGTTGTTTATGACCATCATCATCTCTACTCATCACCTTCAAGCACCAAGCTGGTTCTTCCCCACCATCCCTGCCTCATGAATGGCATCACCTCACTGGCTGCCCAAGTGAGAATCTGTTACCTTTACTCATCCCCAATCCAGGGGCCCACCTCTGTCTAATGTTTCTCCATAATAGCTCCCAAACTCTAACACCCTCCTTATCATTTCTACCATCTTGTTGCTCTATGACTGCAGCAAGCCCTGTAACTGGCCTCTCTGCCTCCAGGCTTCTCCCGACCTAGACTTGCTTACATTGCTGTACAAGTGAGGTTTTTGACATTCTCAGTCTTGTCACTCACTGCTTAAACTCCTCAAGAGTTTTTACTCCCTTCAGGCCAAGGGCTATATGAAGCCCTTCAGATGTGGCCATTGCTTGCATCTCCAGCCCCATCTCTCAGCAGTGCTCTTAACACTCCCAACCATCATGAGCTAATTACTATCCTTCCAACACGCCATGCTCTTTCACACCCCTCTTGCTTTGAACACACTGACTCTTCTGCCTGAAATACCTTTCCCAGTTCCCTTCTGATATGGTTTGGCTGTGTCCCCACCCAAATCTCATCTTGAATTGTAGTTCCCATAATCCCCACATGTTGTGGGAGGGACCTGGTAGGAGGTAATTGAGTCATGGGGGTGATTACCCTCATGCTGCCATTCTCATGGTAGTGAATGTGAGTTCTCACAAGATCTTATGGTTTTATAAGGGGCTTCTCTCCCTTTTGCTCAGCACTTCTCCTTGCTGCTGCCATGTGAAGGACAGGTTTTCTTCCCCTTCCACCATGATTGTAAGTTTCCTGAAGCCTCCTCAGCCATGCTGAACTGTGAGTCAATTAACTTCTTTCCTTTATAAATTACCCAGTCTCGGGTATGTCTTTATTAGCAGTGTGAGAATGGACTAAAACACCCCCTTCACTCACTTTTCAGTCTTCAAAGTGCACAGCCATCCTTTACTGCCCCGTGCAGCACCTTCAGGCCTTGAGCTCTATGCAGGGAGGTAAGCCACAGAAGTCACAAGCACATCTTTTATACTAGTGCACACAGCTGAAAACTCACAGACTGGTACCAAACCAGCTTGGTTCTGTTCTGCTTCCACTGCCTGTCAAGACTGTGTGCTCTGGGCAAGGTACTTCAACCACTGGGTCTTGGCTTCCTCATCTGGAAAATGAAAATAAAACTGCAACTTTATAAAGCTTTTCTGAAATCAAATGCAGCAATGTACATAAAAGGCAAATAAGCTCACTCTATGTTTTACCTAATTTTCTTTTTATCCTGTCTGTGTATTTCTTAAGCCAACCATCTTACTTCCTTTTTAGAATGCATCAGGATAGACACAAATAAATGGAAACACCATTACAAAGCCCCTGCTCACACTTCAGAATTCAGATTGCATTACCTCCTCCAGGAAGTCTTCCTTAATCACTCTCTGCTCGAGTCTCATTTAGATGATCTCCTGTGTGCTTGCATATCGTCTGTGCATACCTCTGTGTTGAGAGGAGTGGTAAGAGATGGGGCTGGAGACTCAAGAAAAGGCCACATCGGAAGGGCCTCGATCCTTTCCCCTGAAGGGAGTAAAGGCTCTCCAAAGACTTTCAGCAGTGAGTGAAAAGACCAGCCGAGAATGTGAAAAACCTCATCTGGACACAAGGCAAAATAACTATTTTCTCCCTTGGTTACCTTTCCCATTCCCTTTCTTCAAGGGAAAGAACCATGTCTTATTTTACTTGGCATCAGCAGCTCTCAGAACAGTGGCTTGACCAATACCAAGCATTCAATAAATGTTTATTGAAGGAATGAATCAATGGCCACCCACAACCTATACCTCTTACAGCCCATTTAATGCCCTTTAGCCCCTTCCATAGGTATTTGCCTGGAATGTTTGTAAGATTTTTGAAAATCTCAGAAACAACACCAGCCCTCCACCCATGGGAAGATGTGTTTCAGGCTAACACCTGTGCTATTGTTGATGCCATTGCCCCAAAGAAGACCAACCTCTCCTTCTTGCCCATATAAGTTGGCTCTAATTTCAATGCTGCTGAAAACCTCTCCTCTTCCATAAATTATTTTTTCAGATTGCTCCAGCCCATTGTGATCTTTCATCCTTCAAACTCCTTTAACATCTAGGGCCTACACCATTAATCTGACAATCACCATATACTGCTTAATATTGTTGTAGTCTGCTATTTACCTTCAGTCTGCAATTTAACTTCCTTAAGTTTATTTCTTGTTCCCCATTGTAGAGAATATCTCCCTTAAATAGCTGCCAAGTCTTGCCAATCATGGCCTTTCCTGTAGTGTTTTGCATGTGTGTGCACACATGTGTTTTTAATTCACTTGAAGACAAAGAGACTCCCCTTAGGAAGCTTTATTTTCTGTTTGCCACTTCCCTAGGACCCAAGATACCCTGATCCCCCTCAATTCATTCTCTGCCTTTCCCTGCTCTTCTTCCCAAGGAAATGAACACCTTCCAACTTTATCACCAGGGCTCCTTTGCCTTCTGGCTTGCATTTGTGTTCAACCAATAGAAGGCACAGATAGGTAATAGATGGGTGGGAGGACAGTGGTAGGGAATGTCTTCCCTTGCTTGGCCCATTCTGTAGTGTTTGAGCCCTTCCAGGACTATGGCTTCTCTAGGGCAGCCCCTCTTCAAAAGCTGTGCCCCCCAGATAAGCTCCAATGGCATCATTTCTTCCCTTTACCTTTTCAGGCCTGGTGCCTCAACATCCTTTTTTGATGCTCTTAACTCTGCCCACACTTCTGTAAATAGTCCCTTTATTAAAGGGACTTTTATCTCTTCAAAAATCCCCACAGAATATTCTGTTTCTTGCTGGGATCCTGACTAACACAGGAACTTTCCATTTAGTTGGGATAAGACTATGGGAACCTTATAATTTATCATCCAAACCAGGACACTTCTGAGAGTGAAAGGGGGCACTATTAATTAAACCATGGCAACGGGCGCAAATCAGAACTGTTCCAGGCTACCTGGAATGAATGAGCATCCTAGGTAAGTCAGTCACATAAAAAGATAATTGTTATAATGAAGAGATAAAAACATTTCTAAAAGAGATAATATTACAGCATAGATTAAGGTAAGTGCCAAGGGTGGAATAGACTTGCAGTGCTACAGCCATTCCAAGACAAGAGAGATTATTTCTCCTGGGGAAAGGCATTTGAGATCAGCGGGTTGCTCAGTTCTCCTCCAACTAAATGAAGTCACACAATCCATGTGTGCTTGGCCGATTTTGTAGATTTTCTCCAAGAAATTTCAGTCCCAGTTGGGTCCCCCCCTCCACCCCTCACACACCCAGTGTAACTGTTCCTATTTCTTTCTATTGTTTAGGCTCTGAGTTTTTAAGGAAAGCAAATTAATTTAAATCTTAGCCAATTATTCCTTTTAAAAAATACCAAATGCATTCCTGATTCAATTATAAATCATTGTAAATATCTTATATTTTTGATTCTTTAAACCACGTTTTAGCTTCATTTTGCAAAGATATCTAAGAGGTGATTTATAAGCTTTGCTTGCAAATACAAACATTTCTGCTAGTAATCACATAAAGCCTAAGTAACCCTAGAAAGCTTCTCTATGTATGCATGTATGTATGTTTACCTTGTCTCTTAAACAAAAGAGTTTGACAATTAACCAATACTCTAAAGCCTTGTCACCCTGAGCAAAGTGAACCCAGACTCATTGCACCCCCACTCCTAGCTGATTCAAGGCTACTTGGCCAGGAAATGTTTCTAATGCTCACGTTGCTAGCAGAAGCAAGTTACTATGAGCCCCAGTGTGTGACTTCAGGCTTGCCAAATCACTGCTTTGTTCAGGCATTTCATACTCAAGAGAATAGTATATAAAAACACCCACATCCCTGCCCAGGAGCAGAGAGCACCATGTAGATTAGGGCAGCCAGAGTTCCTGCTCTACTTCCCAACCAGCTGGTGCTGGTTAGGATTAGACCAGTGGGAGTTGGGGTTGAAAAGGTCCCTCTTGAGAGAGTCAGAAAGGGTTCTACAAGAACAAGGCAAACAGGAAAAGAAAGCAGTAACTAGAGACAAAAAGCAATGGCAGATGTACAAATCACACACAGGAAATAGCACAAATCAACACAGATAGTGTTAATAAATGCAGATAGTGTCAGATAGTGAACCAAGTAGGTCCATGCTATGCCCAACATCAAAGAAAACAGTTAAGTATGCCCCACCATGTAGCTGAAAGGCAGATAGCTAGAAGGCTTTTGCTATTGACACTAGCAAGACTCTATCTCAAACAACAACAACAACAAAGTCAAATAGAGCTTTAAACCTGAATCATTTACATCTTTACTTCATAAAATGTAAAACTACTTTTTTACCCAAGACTTAAAATATAGAATTATGTAACTTCTACTTTAAACAAAATGAAAAATGTTTTGAGTATCAAACAGTATATTATCTACCTTGTAGACAGCATCTTCATCTAACACTGCCACTGTGTTAGCAATTCTTAAATGACATCAAACTAGAAGAAAAGCTGCTCCTACGTTGTTTTTATTTAATAAGACAAATTTGGCACTAGACTTTTTCTAGAAATAGCATTCATAGTATATCGATATAATAGTAACATCTTGTTTTAGGTTAATGAATTCCTATTAGGAAGCAGCACTTTGGGACAGTTTTTAGTGACACTAATTTAATTCTATCATTATAGTCCTCTGACCTGCCTTAATTCCAGGATCATCTGAATTCTAGGTTAAGGAATGATTATTAGCCAAACCTGGAAACAACTACAAATTGTATTATTATAGGTAACCCCAATTTAATAGTGACTAAAAGTCATAACTGTCACCATTAAAAATAGCCATATTTCATATCTTCAAAACTATTCTATTTACAATACTTTATATAATAAATAACTTACAGCAGTATAGTAACACGCCTCAAAAAAGTTCTTTTTTCACTAATTCCTAGAGGTTTCTTGGTTACTTTCCTTCATAAAAACACATCAAATGTGAGTTTACGCTATGAGAAAAACAGGATTTGAAAATAGATAGATATTTTCCATTATGGCACAAATGTTTAAGGCCGAGTCAGCACCAGAAATGTTCGGGGCCTGAACGTGTTTGTTTCCTCACATTAGTATGAAGAACTGTCTGAGTTGAGAAGGCTGAAAGGGGAGGGCAGCTTCTTCTTGACCTGAGGCCGTGCAGCCCCGACCGATGGGAGGCACAAGGTGCTGGCTGACTTCTGTCTGTTCTTGTTGGTGCCCCAACTCAGGAAGGAAAGCTTCTTGGAGATTTTCTGGGTTTTATCAGTTTTGTTGTCATCATCAATGGCTAAGCAGATCATGGAGTACGTTTTCTGCATTCCCACGGAGTATGTGGCACTCTTATTATGCTGCACATAGAAAAGAAAAAGGGCGTCAGACATCATCAAGATAGATGATAAAAACTACGAAGTTTGGCCAGGCGCAGTGGCTCACGCCTGTAATCCCAACACTTTGGGAGTCCGAGGAAGGTGGATCACTTGAGGTCAGGAGTCCAAGACCAGCATGGCCAACATGGTGAAACCCCATCTCTACTAAAATACAAAAATTAACCAGGTGTGGTGGTGGATGTCTGTAGTCCCAGCTGCTTGCAAGGCTGGGCACGAGAATCACTTGAACCCAGGAGGTGGAGGTTGCAGTGAGCTGAGATTGCACCACTGCACTCCAACCTGGGTGACAGAGCAGGACTCTGTCTCCAAAAAATAAATTAAACAGACATAATTCGGAAACTCAGGTGACCAATGCTTATATAGAATTAGGTTCTTAAAACAAGGACAAACTGTTTTTCTTTTTTGAGACAGGGTCTTGCTATGTTGCCCAGGCTGGTCTTGAACTCCTGGGATCAAGTGATCTTCCTGCCTTGGCCTCCTGAGTAGCTGGGGCTCTAGGTATGTGCCACCAGGTGCAACAAGGATAATTTTTGTTTGTTTGTTTTTTGTTTTTGTTTTTTTTTTTTTTAAGACGGAGTCTCACTCTGTCGCCCAGGCTGGAGTGCAGTGGCACGATCTCGGCTCACTGCAAGCTCCACCTCCCGGGTTAATGCCATTCTCCTGCCTCAGCCTCTCTGAGTAGCTGGGACTACAGATGCCCACCACCACACCTGGCTAATTTTTTGTATTTTTAGTAGAGACGGGGTTTCACCAGGGTCTCGATCTCCTGACCTCGTGATCCACCTGCCTCAGCCTCCCAAAGTGCTAGAATTACAAGCATGAGCCACCGCGCCCAGCCCAACAAGGATAACTTTTAAGGAATGTACTCAATAGTAACAATTTAAGCTTAGGAGCCACAACTCACATTTTAAGGTTCTTCTTCTATTTGAGAAAGTAATAATACTAATGGTCACGAATATGAAAGTATAGGATGGGGCGTGGTGGCTCACGACTACAGTCCCAGCTACCTGAGAGGCTTAGAGGGGAGGAATGCTTGAGCCCAGGAGGTTGAGGCTATATAGTGAGCTGTGATTGTGCCACTGCACTCCAGCCTGGGCAACAGAGTGACACCTCTGTCTCAAAAAAAGGGCGGGGGGGAAGGGAAGAGGGGAAAGGAAAGGGAAGAGGAGAAGAGAAGGGAAGAGGGAAAGGGAAGGAAAAAAAAAAGAATATGCAGTGAGCAATAGGTCTCCCTGTCACCTGGGCTTCTAGGCCCTCCATGTTATACTTCTAGAGATGATGTGCATGTACAGGTATTTCTGTATGTACATAAGTATATTACCATTCATTTTCTTAAAAGGAATATACTGCACTATTCTACACCTGATTTTCTTTTTTCTTTTTTTTTCTTTTTCTTTTTTTTTTTTTTTTAAGATGGAGTCTCGCTCTGTCGCCCAGGCTGGAGTGCCATTTTCATCATTTTCAAGTGTAGAGTTCAGTGGCATTAACTACATTCACATCATTATGCTCCACTGCCACCATCCATCTCTAAAACTTTTTCATCTTCCTCAGCTGAAACTTTGTACCATTAAACACTCTCTACTGTTAACTTTCCAAGAATCATGTAGGATTCAAACTGGAAATCTAAGGAAGCTTGCTTTCTGAAGACTTCCACATGGGCTATCACCAGCTTCTAAGGTTTGCCTAACATTGAGATTGTTTAGTTCGCCACATGTTTATTGATGGTCTACTATGTTCTGGCACTAACATTAGGCATACAATATATCGCTGCAATAGTTGAGGACATTGTTCCTAATATAAACCCTAAGAGGGGCCGGGCACAGTGTCTTACACCTGTAATCCCAACACTTTGGGAGGCTGAGGTGGGCAGATCACTTGAGGCCAGGGGTTCAAGACCATGGTGGCCAACATGGTGAAACTCCATCTCTAGTAAAAATACAAAAATTAGCCAGGTGTGGTGGCACACACCTGCAATCCCAGCTACTCAGGAGCTGAGGCAGAAGAATCACTTGAACCCAGGAGGTGGAGGTTGCAGTGAGCCAAGATCACGTCACTGCACTCCAGCCTGGGTGATGGAGTAAGACTCTATCACAAAAAATAAATAAATAATAAATAAATAAATAAAATAAACCCTCAGGAATCTGAGTTATGCAGCAATAAAGTAGGGGGTACTTTGAGCCCCTAAGGATGGAGATGCCTCTTCCTTTTCTGGAAAACTGACCACTAACTCCACCATGTTTTACGGAGCACATACAATGTCATTTAAAACAATAATAAAACGAATAATCCTGGAGACAGATGTGAGGCCTGAAAGCATTTCCCAACCCTCAGCTGCTCAAAGTCCATTGTGTATCAAAACCACTGCCTTATAAATACCCTCAGTTCTCTTCCATCTGCCCCCAGCAATGCTAACTTGCTCATCTCCGCCCTCTGCCTCCCCTAGGGCCTGTATCTGAAAGGTTGTGCATTGCTGGAGGACACTCACCAAGGCTTCCCTTGGAATTCTAACCTGACCCCAAACCTCTAATAGGCACCCATTTCCTGGCACTCTTGTGTGTCCCTAGTAATTTCGTTTCCTTTTCTCCTGTATACTTGTTTCTTATCTTCGCTCTCCTCCTGAAGCCACTCACACACCCTCCTGAAATCCCTGCCGTATACTTCATGGCATCCATCCCCCAAGACCAAGCCCTTCTGTGTGCCTGGATCCCATTCCCTCTCTCCTCCAGGAACCCTTGCCTCCCAGATCTCTACACACACACACGCACACACCCCTCTCTCTCTACACACACACACACTCCTCTCTCTACACACACACACACACCCCTCTCTACACACACACACACACCCCTCTCTACACACATACACACACCCCTCTCTCTACACACACACACACACTCCTGCAATGCATACCATCACATTCTTTGAAAAGCCTTTCTTGGCCAGGCACAGTGGCTCACGCCTGTAATCCCAGCACTTTGGGAAGCCAAGGCGGGCGGATCACAAGGTCAGGAGATTGAGACCATCCTGGCTAACACGGTGAAACCTGCCTCTACTAAAAATACAAAAAATTAGCCGGGCATGGTGGCGGGCACCTGTAGTCCCAGCTACTCGGGAGGCTGAGGCAGGAGAATGGCATGAACCAGGAGGTGGAGCTTGCAGTGAGCTGAGATAGCGCCACTCACTGCATTCCAGCCTGGGCGACAGAGCGAGACTCTGTCTCAAAAAGAAAAAAAAAAAAGTAAAGCCTTTCTTGACCCTATTCCCCTCCAGGTCCACCCCAGTATCATACCCACATACACTCTCTCTCACTCCTGCAATGTGTACCACTACTTTCTTTGAAAAGCCTTTTTTTTTTCTTTTGAGACAGAGTCTTGCTGTCACCAGGCTGGAGTGCAGTGGCCCAATCTTGGCTCACTGCAACCTCCACTTCCAGGTTCAAGTGATTCTCCTGCCTCAGCCTCCCAAGTAGCTGGGATTACAGGCACATGCCACCATGCCCAGATAATTTTTGTATTTTTAGTAGAGTCAGGGTTTCACCATGTTGGCCAGGTTGGTCTTGAACTTCTGGCCTCAAGTGATCCACCTGCCTCAGCTTCCCAAAGTGCTGGGATTACAGGCTTGAGCCACTGTGCCCAGCTCCATTTACTATTTCTTTCCCTGCCACCCACTCCTCGCTCAAATCCACCAGGGTACCCCTGTAGAACTCTTAGGACTTTACAGAGCACAGTTTAAAACCACTGTGTAGGCCTAACTCTTCCATCCTCTGGATGAGAAAACTGAGGCCCAGGGAGGGTATGAACGTGCTGAAGGTTACACAGCTTGTGAACGGCAGTCAGGGCGTAATTCCAGAGCTTGATTCCAAGCTTAGATTTGTTCAGTTAGGGATCCCCACTGTAGTCAAGAGGGTAGCCAAGGGCAGCAGGTCATCGGTTCAGCCAGAGTGCTAGGCTAAATGCTCTCTTTATTTGATTTTGTTTGAAAGGTTCAGTCGCTAAAAACAGTGCTTGGCTGTCATTATCTAAAATCCTTATCATAAAAATTAATAGACAAAAATAAATTATTTTTTAAAAATTATTTTTAAAAAACCAGGGGCTGGGAATGGTGGCTCACTCCTGTAATTCCAGCACTTTTGGGAGGCCAAGGCAGGCCAATCACCGGAAGCCAGGAGTTCAAGATCAGCCTGGCCAATGTGGTGAAACCCCATCTCTACTAAAAATACAAAAATTAGCCAGGCATCATGGTGGGTGCCTGTAATCCCAGCTACTCGGGAGGCTGAGGCAGGAGAATTGCTTGAACCCGGGAAGCGGAGGTTGCAGTGAGCCAAGATTGTAGCACTGCACTCCAGCCTGGATGACAAGAACAAGACTCTATCTCCAAAAAAAAAAAAAAGAGCCAGGTACAGTGTCTCACACCTGTAATCCCAACTATTCGGGAGGCTGATTCAAGAGGGTCTCTTGAGGCTAGGAATTCAAGATCAGCTTGGATAACTTAGTTAGACCCCGTCACTACAAAATTAGTTAAATAAAAGATGAAAGGAAATTACTTTTGGCCTGGTGCACTGGCTCATTCCTGTAAAACTAACACTTTGGGAGGCGGAGGCAGGAAGATTGCTTAAGCCCAGGAGTTTGGGACCAGGCTGGGCAACAAAATGAGACTGTCACTACAAAAAAAAATTAAAAATTAGCTGGGTATAGTGGTGCACACCTGTAGTCCCAGCAACTTGGGAGGATTTTTTTTTTTTTTTTTGAGATGGAGTCTCCCTCTCTTGCCCAGGCTGGAGTGCAGTGGCATGATCTCGGCTCACTGCAACCTCTGCCTCCTGGGTTCAAGCAATTCTCCTGCCTTGGCTGCCCAAGTAGCTGGGATTACAGGCACCCACCACCACCACACCCAGGTTTCACCATGTTGACCAGGCTGGTCTAGAATTCCTGACCTCAGATGATGAGAAGGGAGGATCTTTTGAGCCCTAGAACTCGAGGCTATAGTGAACTATGATTGCACTATTGCACTCCAGTCTGGGCAACTGAGTGAGACCCTGTCTCAAAACAAACAAGACAAAACAAAAAACAACAACAAAAGAAATTATTTGGCCGGGCATGCTGGCTCATGCCTGTAATCCCAGCACTTTGGGAGGCAAGGTAGGCGGATTGCTTGAGCTTAGAAGTTAGAGAACAGCTAGGGCAACACGGTGAAGCCCCATCTCTACAAAAAATATGAAAAATTAGCTGAGTATGGTGTTGCATGCCTGTAGTCCTAGCTACTCAGGAAGCAGAGGTGGGGGGATCACTTAAGCCCAAGAGTAAAGGCCACAGTGAGCCAAGATCGCGCCAGGGCAATGAGAGCGAGACTGTGTCTCAAAACAAAAAACAAACTTTTTTTTTTCTAGACAGGGTCTTACTCTGTTGCCCCGGCTGGAGTACAGTGGCACGATCTCGGCTCACTGCAACCTCTGCCTCCCAGGCTCAAGCGATTCTTATGCCTCAGCCTCCCACGTAGCTGGGATTGCAGGTATACACCACCACATCCTGTTAATTATTGTATTTTTAGTAGAGATAGGGTTTTGCCATGTTGGCCAGGATGGTCTCCAACTCCTGGCTTCAAGTGATCCACCTGCCTCGGCCTCCCAAAGTGCTAGGATTATAGGAGTGAACCACTGTGCCCAGACTAAAAACATTTTTTTTTTTTGAGACAGAGTCTCGCTCTGTCACCCAGGCTGGAGGGCAGTGGCACGATCTCAGCTCACTGCAAGCTCCACCTCCTGGGTTCACGCCATTCTCCTGCCTCAGTCTCCCAAGGAGCTGGGACTACAGGCACCAGCCACCACGCCCAGCTAATTTTTTGTATTTTTAGTAGAGATGGGGTTTCACCATGTTAGCCAGGATGGTTTCGATCTCCTGACCTCGTGATCCACCCGTCTCAGCCTCCCAAAGTGCTGGGATTACAGGCGTGAGCCACTGTGCCCGGCCTAAAAACATTATTTTTAAAAAAATTAAAGACATCCTGCTGGGTGAAAAGAATAAACATCATGATCATGGTTATCATCATTATAATGTCTATTGTGAATTGAAATGTAGCTCATGTTTGGCCCTCTTGGAAGGGCTTTATGTAAACTCAGTTTATCCTGAGGCTCACAGCTATTCCCTGACTTGCTGAAGGCCACACAATGGTGGTGGAAAGCCAGGATACACATCTAGACTGTCTGAGTGCAGAACCCTTGCTTTTAGCTATTACAGCAGCCCCTTCCTTGGCCTGGTGTAAAGATGTCACAGGCTTGAAAGTCAAGCCTTTGCACCTCTCACAGGGGGCAGGGCATGCCCCATAAACTCAGGCCTCTGCTGATGGGGTCCCTACTCCAACCTTCAGTGTATGGTTCGGCTCTTTTCTCTAACCTCCTTTTGGACAAACTTCTTTTCTGTTTCTGCTGGGGACCTTAATCACTTGTCCATAAACTCCATGCATTTTGTCCCTAAAAATATAATTTCTTATGATCCCTTCTCCCAAGATGCTCTGAGTCCCTTGACTTTATCTTCTTTTAAAATTTGAAGTATATCAGGTGCGGTGGCTCACGCCTGTAATCCCAGTACTTCGGGAGGCCGAGGTGGATGGATCATGAGGTCAGGAGTTCGAGACCAGCCTGAGCAACGTAGTGAAACCCTGTCTCCACTAAAACAAAAATTAGCCAGGCAGAGCGGTGCCCGCCTATAATCCCAGCCACTCAGGAAACTGAGGCAGGAGAATCACTTGAATCCTGGAGGCAGAGGTTGCAGTGAGCCAAGATCACGCCACTGCACTCCAGCCTGGGCGATAGTGTGAGACTCCGTCTCAAAAAAAAAAAATTTTTTTTGAGATATAATTCACATACATGCATAAAATTCACCATTTTAATACCCTTCTGTGGCTTTTATTTATTATTTTTGAGACAGGGTCTTGCTCTGACACCCAGGCTGGAGTGCAGTGGTACAATCATAGCTCCCTGCAGCCCCAACCTCCCTGGGCTCAAGTGATCCTCCGGCCTCAGCCTCCCAAGCAGCTGGGACTACAGGTGTGTGCCACCATGCCTCGCTAATTTTTTTTATTTTTTGTAGAGACAAGGTCTCGCCATGTTGCCCAGGCTGGTCTCGAACTCCTGGGCTCAAGCGAACATACTGCCTCAGCCTCTCAAAGTGCTGGAATTACAGGTGTGAGCCAGCATGCCAAAACACCAGTGATTTTTTAGTATATTCACAAAGTTAGGTGACCATCACTACTACCTAATTTCAGAACATTTCCATCCCCCCAAAAAGAAACCTTCTACCTTATGACCCTTCAGCAGTCCCTCCCCACTCCCATTGCCCAGCCCCAGCACCATCTACTTTCTGTCTCTGGATTTGCCTATGCTGAGCATTTCATATCCACGGACTCAAAATCCATTGGCTCTCTGGCCCTCTCTCAACTGACTTCTGTTGCCACCTCTCCACCAAAGTGTCTTTTCATCCTGCTGCCAAATACAATAGGCACAGCTAAGCCAACCTCATTCTCCACCTCTCAACTGCATTCAATGCAACCCATCACTCTCTCACTGCAAAGCTTTCTCCTCTTAATTTGAGAAGTTCCTTTCCTCCGACATCTCTGAACTCTCCTGCATTTTCTTTGCACTTGCTTCTCTTCCAACTGATCTCTAAATGTTTAGACCTCAGCCCTAGCCCCCTTGCAGGGAGCTGCATTTTGTCTCACAGCCTCAAATATCATCCCTGTGCAATGATTCTCAAATATTTATTTCTAGCTCTGATTTCTTCCTCGAACTGAAGACTTCACATCCAATCTCCTCCTTTATGCTTACGTCTGACTGCTAATAGCTTCTGAAACATTCAAAACATGACTCTTGATTTCTCTCCTTCACCTCCCTCACACCCATTACCCATCATTATGAAAAATAACCAGGCCGGGCATGGTGGCTAATGCCTGTAATCCCAACACTTTGGGAGGTGGAGGTGGAAGGATCGCTTAAGGCCAGGAGTTTGAGGCCAACCTTGGCAATATGTCAAGGACCCATCTCTACCAAAAAAAATTTACAATAGGTAAATAAACAAATTAGCCAGGCATAGTGGTACACACCTGTAGTTCCAGCTACTCGGGAGGCTGAGGCAAAAGGATTGCCTCAGCCCAGGAAGTCAAGGCTCTAGTGAGCTATGATTGCACCACTGCATTCCAGCCAAGCAACAGAGTGAGACCCTGTCTCAAAAAAAAAAAAAAAAAAACAAAAACAAACAAACAAAAAAAAAAAAAAACAAGAGAAAAAGGAAATTAAAGGTAGAAAAATAACCACTACCCATGAGATTGATCAAGCCAAAAACTGAGGCCTCACCTCCCTGTTCACTGTCTCCTTTACACAAATCATCCACAAATCCCCCATCAGCTCTACCTCCAAACTATGTCCCAGGGACACTCACGTCTCTCCAACTCTACAGCCACCCCCATCACCTCAGCCACTAACGTCACCAGCCTGGACAACTGCCATGGCCAGTCTCCGGCAGCAGACGCACTTCTAAAACAAACATCACACCATGCCGCTCCCCTTCTGAAAAGGCCCAGTGGCTTCCAAGCTCCCACCACTGCCACCGAGGCCTCCTTCCTACCTCACTTCCCACGGCTCCCTTCCTTGTCCTGGTGCTCTTGCCAAAAGGCCTTTCTTTGGCCTCTCTGGTAGGAGAAGCTTATTCTGCTGCAGGGGCCCTGTACCTGTAGGTGCCCCTGCCCAGAAGGCCTTTCTTGTCTCTCTGCCACTGGCTCGAACCTCCTGGTCACTCTCATGTCTGTTCCAGCCCTGCCTAGATAGAGTCTCACCTCCTCCCCAGTCATTCCACCCCATTACAGGTCTTTTTTCCTTTACAACACTTATCAAAATCCTGACCATTTATTTGCTGACTTAGTGCCAGCTTCGTGGGGGGCGGCAGGGACCTTACCTGTGTAATGTAAACTGGAGCTCTGACACCTAAGAGAGTGTCTGGCACCCAATTGATCCTCAATCAATATTTGTTGAATGAATAAATGACTGTTGTTACAGAGGGAAGGTCGAGGGTACGTCATTAAGTGTGGCAAAGTGCAGAGGAGAACGTCATTGAGTGTGGCATGAACGCTAGCACTTGGGGAAAATTTTAGGGTTTTTTTGCAGACAGAGTCTCACTCTGTTGCCCAGGCTGGAGTGCAATGGCGTGATCTCCACTCACTGCAACCTCCACCTCCCAAATTATTCTCCTGCCTCAGCCTCCTGAGTAGCTGGGGTTACAGGCGCACACCACCATGTCCAGCTAATTTTTATATTTTCAGTAGAGACAGGGTTTGCCTTGTTGGTCAGGCTGGTCTTGAACTCCTGACTTCAAGCAATCCACACACCTCAGCCTCCAAAAGTACTCAGATTACAAACATGAGCACCGTGCCCAGCCTCACCTGGGGAAAATTAAAGGTGGTAACTGTGCAGGTGAACTTGAGAGACTCAAATGCTTCCCAAATCTCCCAGAACATGGCTGACATTGCCTCTAGGGTGTACAGAGGGATTGTCTTAACTTTCACAGGTCATCTTAAGCTCTTCTGTACCATTAGAATTTTTTTTTTGTTTTTTGTTTTTTTCACTATGAGTATGTATTACTTTTGTAATTAAACAATTTGATCAGAAAAATAGATCAGTTGATTATTTTATCTACAGGATATTTTTAAAAGTTTGCTAGCAGGGTGCAGTGGCTCATGCCTGTAATCCCAGCACTTTGGGAGGCCAAGGTGAGAGGATGGCTTGAGCCCAGGAGTTCAAGATCAGTCTTGGCAACACAGCGAGAACCTGTCTCTACAAAAAATAAAGAATGGGCTGGGCATGGTGGCTCACACCTGTAATCCCAGCACTCTGGGAGGCCGAGGCAGGTGGATCACGAGGTCAGGAGATCGAGACCATCCTGGCTAACATGGTGAGACCCCATCTCTACTAAAAATACAAAAAATTAGCCAGGCACATTGGCAGGCGCCTGTAGTCCCAGCTACTTGGGAGGCTGAGGCAGGAGAATGGCGTGAACCTGGGAGGCAGAGCTTGCAGTGAGCCGAGATTGCACAACTGCACTCCAGCCTGGGTGACAGAGCGAGACTCCATCTCAAAAAAAATAATAAAAAAAAAAATGAATAAATAAATAAATAATGAGCCAGGGGTGGTAGTGGGTGCCTATAACTCCAGGTGCTCATGTGGCTGAGGTGGGAGGATCACTTAAACCCAGGAGATAGAGGCTGCAGTAAGCCATGATCATACCACTGCAAACCAGCCTGTCTTTAAAAAGAAAAAGTTTGCCAATTTTCTCTTTGACCCAAGGTGAGCACATTACAGTGATTACAAGCCTGGGAGTCCAGTCATTTGTACCATGTTACACAGGCAGGAGACAGAGGGTCTGATAAACACCTCTGGGGCTGAACTCATGCAGATTTCACTCCACACCACTACTGACTGCCCAGGGAGGTGTCAGTGCTCACCATGGATGATGTGGAGTCCAGGAGGCTCACAACTTTCATCTCGATCTCGTCCTCACCAAAGCTCTTCAGCAGCTTCATAACCTCACTCACCGTCAGCCACTTACAATCCACAAGCTGAATGGAGACAATATAATCTCCTCCCCGGGCTCCTGCCACCTGAAAAAGTATTGTTGAAAATAAGTCAACGTTTTGTTCACTCAAATCCTTGAATCAGTCCCCATTAACAAAATAGGTATTTGCGTAAGTTCGCATCAAGAAAGCAAAAATTCACTTTGGGTGGCTGAGACGGGTAGATCACTTGAGGTCAGTAGTTCAAGACCAGCCTGAACAACACGGTGAAACCCATCTCTACTAAAAATACAAAAATCTGCCAGGTGTGGTGGTGGGCACCTGTAGTCCTAGCTACCTGGGACGCTGAGGCAGGAGAATTGCTTGAACCCGGGAGGCAGACATTGCAGTAAGCCGAAATCGTGCCACTGCCCTCCAGCCTGGGTGCAATTAAAAAAAAAAAAGTCAAAATTGGCCAGGCACAGTGGCTCACGCCTATAATCCTAGCACTCTGGGAGGCCAAGGCAGACAGAATACTTGAGGCCAGGAGTTTGAGACTAGCCTGGCCAACATGGCAAAACCCCGTTTCTACTAAAAATACAAAAATTAGGCCGGGCCAGGTGGCTCACACTTGTAATCCCAGCACTTTGGGAGGCTGAGGTGGGCAGATCACAAGATCAGGAGATCAAGACCATCCTGGCTAACACGGTGAAACCCCGTCTCTACTAAAAACACACAAAAAATTAGCCGGGCATGGTGGCACGCACCTGTAATCCCAGCTACTCAGCAGGTGGAGGCAGGAGAATTACTTGAACCCAGGAGGTGGAGGTTGCAGTGAACCAAGATCGCGCCACTGCACTCTAGCCTGGGCGACAGAGCGAGACTGTGTCTCAAAAAACAAAAACAAAAACTAAAATTAGCTGAGTCTGGTGGCACGTGCCTGTAATCCCAGCTACTCAGGAAGCTGAGACAGGAGAATCACTTGAACCCAGGAAGCAGAAGCTGCAGTGAGCCCTGAGATCGCGCCACTGCATGATGACGACTCACTGCAGCCTCCACCTCCCAACGTCTAAAAAAATACTAAAAACAAAATAAAGACAGTAAAAATTAATCCTTTTCTTTTAGGGAATGTAGCACCCATGAGGCCTTTCACATCAAGTCAGGCCTTTGACGTGGGTGAACCCGCCCTAAATTCAATCACCCAGATATCTGTATTTGCTGCCAACCAAGAAAAGCATGTGCTTACCAAGGCAGAGCAGTAAGGATCCAGGAAGTGAACCTCAACGGGGGCGTTCCCTCTTAAGGTGAACCCCAAGTCCCCTTCTTCTGCGGTGAAGCGGTTGCTTCGAGGAGGCATCCACTGCTTGTTAGCCAAAAACACAGATAAGGGGCCCTTTGGAAGAGAGCATCGTTAGGTGTAGGATTTGAAGGCTAGATCAGACGCTTGAAAGCTAAAGGGAATTTTGCCTGCTGTCCTTGAAGATCTCACTTGGCCTTGTTCAGGGACAAATGACACATCTGGGGGCATACATGCTACAGCAGTCATGCAAGAAGCTGGAAAGCCATCTTCTCAAACATACCCAATATATTTTCAATAAAATTATCTTTTAGACATTGTATTAATTATCTTTTTCTTTTCTTTTTTTTTGAGACATTGTCTCACTCTATCACCCAGGCTAGAGTGTGGTGGTGTGATCTCGGTTCACTGCAGCCTCTGCCTCCCGGGTTCAAGTAATTCTCCTGAGTAGCTGGAATTACAGGTGCGAACCACCATGCCTGGCTAATTTTTGTATTTTTAGCAGAGATGGGGTTTCACCATGTTGGCCAGGCTGGTCTCAAACTCCTGACCTCAGGTGATCCGCCCGCCTCAGCCTCCCAAAGTGCTGGGATTAAAGACGTGAGCCACTGCACCCAGCCAAAATTATCTTAAATAAAATCTCTAATATAAACAATTTAAGACCAGGCATGTCATGCCTGTAATCCTAAGCACTTTGTGTGACCAAGGCAGAAGGATTGCTTGAGGCCAGAGGTTTGAGACCAGCTTGGGCAACATAGCGGGAACCATTCTCTACTAAAAACATAAAAGAATTAGCCAGGCATGGTGGTGCACGCCTATGGTTCCATCTACTCAGGCTGCTGAGGCAGGAGGACTTCTTGAGCCCAGCAGTTCGAGGCTTCAGTGAACTGATTGTGCCACTGCACTCCAGCCTGGGTGAAAACAGAGTTAGACCCTGTCTAAAAAAAAAAAAAAAAAAAGGAAAAAAATCTCAGGTCAGGCATAGTGGCTCATACCTGTAATCCCAGCACTCTGGGATGCCTAGGCAGGAGGATGGTTGGAGCCCAGGAGTTTGAGACCAGCCTAGGCAACATAGCAAGACCCCATCTCTACAAGAAATAAAAATTAGTTGGACGTGGTGGTGTTTGCCTGTAGTCCCATCTACTAGGGTAGCTAAGGTAGGAGGATCGCTTGAGCCCAGAAGGTTCAGGCTGCAGTGAGCTATGACCATGCCACTGTAATCCAGCCTAGGTGACACAGTGAGACCACATCTCTAAAAAAAATTAAAAAATATTTTAAAAAATTTCAAATAGACAATACCTAAAAACTACTTTTAAAATATGCTATGGGGCCGGGCACAGTGGCTCAGGCCTATAATCCCAGCACTTTGAGAGGCCGAGGTGAGTGGATCACTGGAGCCCAGGAGTTCAAGATCAGCCTGGCCAACATGGTGAAACCCTGTCTCTACTAAAAATACAAAATTAGCTGAGCATAGTGGCACAGGCCTGTAATCTCGACTACTCGGGAGGCTGAAGCTGGAGAATCACTTGAACCTGGGAGGTGGAGGCTGCACTGAGCCGAGATCGCACCACTGCACTCCAGCCTGGGCAACAGAGTGAGACTCTGTCTCAAAAAACAAATAAATAAAAATAAATGAATAAAATAAAATATGCTATGGTCTGAATGTTTGTACCCTCCCAAAGTTTGTATATTAAAACATTAAAATTTTATTAATATTTATTAAAATTTAAAATGTATATTAAAATCATCAATGTAATTATTAGGAAGTGGGGCCTCTTGAGAGGTGATTCAGTCTTGGGGTGGAGCCCTCAAGAATGGGATACATGCTTTTAAAACAGGCCCAAGGGAGCTCATCACCTTTTCTGCCATGAGGACACAGGTAGAAGGCCCCACCTATAAACCAGAACATGGGCCTTCAGCAGATACCAAATCTGCCAATACCTTGGTCTTGGACTTCCCAGCCTCCAGAACTGAGAAATATATTTCTACTGTTCATAAGCCACCCAGTTTGAGGCATTTTGTTATAGCAGCCCACATGGACTAAGACACCATACTCACCAAAGTGAAGAGCTGTCCCTTTAGGTCATTTATGTAGAGAGCTTTCAACATACCAGCTTCTAGAAGAAGTCCGTGACTGTCAGCTTGGAGAACTGGGGTAATATAATGTCAACCTCTTGCTCAGTTTTAGCTAGAATAGAGGATTAGAAATGGGAGGATAAATGTTTCTGTAATTGAAAGTGATCCTTATAGCCCGGTGTTGTGGCTCACGCCTGTAATCCCAGCACTTTGGGAGGCCGAGGCAGGTGGATCAATGAGGCCAGAAGTTCAAGACCAGTCTGGCCAGCATGGTGAAACCCCGTCTCTATTAAAAATACAAAAATTAGCCAGGTATGGTGGCAGGCGACTGTAATCCGAGTTACTTGGGAGGCTGAGGCAGGAGAATCACTTGAACCCAGGAGGCAGAGGTTGCAGTGAGTTGAAGTCTTGCCACTGCACTCCAGCCTGGTGACAGAGTAAGACTCCAGGGGGGGAAAAAAGAAAGTGATCCTTGGGAAGGAGACAGTACAGAACTTTCTCTTAGTCACACATCCTTCCCCTCGGTTTAGACAAGTAGTACAAGAAGATGGAACACAGCTCAACCCCCGACCTAGGTTGAACTCTACCTTCCATTTGGGTACCTCCTGTGAGCCATAGGAGGTATAACTCATTCCTGAGCTGGGACCAAGGAGTGATAACCAGACACATTCCCATGGGGTTTCCTGATATTTAAGGGGCTTAGTGGGCTTCTCTGGCACTCATAAAACCCTAATGAGGAGGCTGGGCACGGGGGCTAATGCTTGTAATCCCAGCACTTTGGGAGGCCGCGGTGGGAGGATCATCTGAGGTCAAGAGTTCAAGACCAGCCTGGCCAACATGATGAAACCCCATCTCTACTAAAAATACAAAAAATTAGCCAGGCGTGGTGGCACGCACCTGTAGTACCAGCTACTTGGGAGGCTGAGGCTTGAACCAGGGAGGCAGAGGTTGCAGTGAGCTGAGATCACACCACTGCACTCCAGCCTGGGTGACAAGAGCAAAACGACCTCTCAAAAACAAACAAACAAACAAAAAACCTATTGAGAAGTCATCTATGTTTCAAGTATTATTGTTATGGAAGTTCCATGCCTCACTGGACACAGTCCTGGGATATTGAGCTTTCTGTTTTCAACATTATTACTATTTTGAGACAGGGTGTCGCTCTGTCGCGCAAGCTGGAGTGCAGTGGTGCGATCACAGCTCTCTTGCAGCTTGACCTCCTGGACTCAAATGATTCTCCTGCCTCAGCCTCCCGAGTAGCTGGAACTATAGGTATGCACCACCACACCTGATGAATTTTTTTTAAATTTTTTGTAGAGATGGGGTCTCACTATGTTGCCCAGGCTGGTCTCAAACTCCTGAGCTCAAGTAATCCTCCTGCCTCGGCCTCCCAAAGTGCTGAGATTAGAGGTTTGAGCCACCGTGCTTGACCTTTTCATTATTAATGTGGTATGAGGATTTCCCAGTGAAAAGGAGGTTTGGCAAATCATAACCATTGACAGCTACATACCCCCACCAGCATCTTCACAGCAGGCTCGGACTACCCTTAACATAAGGCTGGTCAATTTCTAACAAAGGATCCCAGGGCAGGCTGATTCTACACGAGAACAAATAGCATAAAAAGTGTATCTAGGCCAGGTGTGGTGGCTTACTCTGGTAATCCCAGCACTTTGGGAGGCCAAGGCAGGCGGATCACTTGAGGTCAGGAGTTCGAGACCAGCCTGGCCAACATGGTGAAACCCCATCTTTACTAAAAATCCAAAAATTAGTTGGGCGTGGTGGTGGGCGCTTGTAATCCCAGCTCCTCGGGAGGCTGAGGCAGAAGAATCACTTGAACCCGGGAAGCAGAGGTTGCAGTGAGCCGAGATCATGCCACTGCACTCCAGCCTGGGCAACAGAGCGAGACTCCATCTCAAAAAGAAAAGAGAACTCCAGGGCGAAATAAGCACCTCGGTCCCTGCCCTGTGCAGCCCTCCCTGTGCCAAGCACACAGCGAGGGCTCGCTCAACCCCCACAGGCCAGGCGTACTCTTTCCGCGGCACAGGCACCCCCACAGAGGGAACACAGTCTAGGTTACTCACCAACAACACTGGGGGCGTGGATCAGGTTCAGCAGGTCATCATCCTCCTGGTGCTGGGCGTACGTGAGCCGGGAGCGTTCCTGTGCGGCACACAGCACCTTCTGTAGCACCTCAATGCTCCGCAGCTTCTTGCAGAGGCTGGCCTCCCGCACTGACTCCTCGTGATGAGCCATGGCTCTGTGCAGGTGGGACTTCCCCGCAGATGGAAGCCAGCACCCACGTGACCTGCAGATCCACCAAGCAGAGCATAAGGGCCCAAGGGGCAGCCCAAGAGGTTGGACGTTCTCTTTTCTAAAGAATCTGCCTGGATAGCTAGAGCCCGTGATACCCTACCTTGTTTTAACCTGAGTGACTCTCTCCTAGCAGAGAGAGCCGGACAGACTCCATTTTAGTTTCTTCACTTGCAGCCCCCTTTATCCCCCTTAAGGGAATAACTAGTGTAAGCTGACTCCAAGCACATCCAGGAACGCAAACTGCTGATAAGATACTGAGGCAGGCTGTACCAGCAGCTCCTGGGGATGTGCTCAGTGGCAGGTACCTAAAGCCCCTGCATTTATCTCTCAGTGATAGTTTAAGCCCCTGCACCTGGAACTGTTTATTTTTTGTAACTGCTTCTATAACCAATTACTTTTTTTAACTTCTTGCCTATTCTGCTTCTGTAAAATTGCTTCAGTTAAACCCCCCTCCCCTATTTAGACCATAGTATAAAAGAAAATCTAGCCCCTTCTTCAGGCCCGAGAGAATTTCGAGCATTAGCCGTCTCTCAGTTGCCGGCTAATAAATGACTCCTGAATTAGTCTCAAAGTGTGGCGTTTCTCTACAACTCGCTTGGTTACAACAAGCCTTTTATTAAAATATTATTTTATTTCATTTTATATTTTATATTTAGAGACAGGGTCTCACTTTGTTTCGCATGCTGGAGTACAGTGGTGCAATCATGGCTTACCACAGCCTCAAACTCCTGGGCTCAACTGAAATTCCCACTTCTGACTCTTGAGTAGCTGGGACCACAGGCATGCACCACCACACTTGGATAATGTTTTCATTATCATTATCATTTCATTATCATTGCTATGTTGCCCAGGCTGGTCTCAAACTCCTGGCCTCAAGCAATCCACCTGCCTTAGCCTCCCAGAGTGCTGGGATGACAGACGTGAGTCACCACGCCCAGCCCAAGCCTCCCTTAAATGCATATGTAATAAGCTCACTTGTGTCCATAAGATGTTCACTCAACAAATATTTACCAAATGTGTTAGGCACTAGAGATAAAGCAACGAGTAAACAAACTGCCCCCACATTCATGGAGTTTACATGTAGTGATTGAAGACAGATAACTAACAAGACAAGAAATATGTAATGGATGGGGTGGTGATGAGGTTATAGAGAAAAATAAAGCAGGGTAAGCAGAGATGGTAGGAGAAGACTGGGAATGGGGTTGTCCTATGATGGGTGACCAAGAAAGGCTTTTTTTTTTTTTTTCTTGAGACGGAGTCTCACTCTGTCACCCAGGCTGGAATGCAGTGGCACGATCTTGGCTCACTGCAACCTCCGCCTCCCAGGTTCAAGCGACTCTCCCACCTCAGCCTCCCAAGTAGCTGGGATTACAGGCACACACCACCACATCTGGCTAAGTGTATTTTTGGTAGAGACGGGGTTTCTCCATGTCGCCCAGGCTGGTCTCAAACTCCTGACTTCAAGCTATCCTCCCACCTCAGCCTCCCAAAGTGCTGGGATTGCAGGCATGAGCCACCACACCCAGCCAAGGAAGGCTTTGTGATATGGTCTTTGTGAGCAGAGCCCTGATGGATGTGAAAGAGCAGCAGGTGCGAGGGCCCTGGAGCAGGGGCACGCACAGGTGTTCAAGGGCAAGGAGAAGCTAAGGTGTGCCTGGAGGCAGGGAGGGCGGGACAGAATGAGTGCAGGGAAGGAGCAAGGCCAGATCATGGCGGATCTCACGCGTGCAAGATAAGGGCTCTCACTCCTGTTCTGCTTGAGATGGGAGCCCACTGGGGTGTGAGCAGGAGACTGATGTGATCTGGCCTGCATGACCAGACTCTGAAGGGGCAGCAAGAAAACCAGCTATGAGCAGGGCAAGCCACGTGACCGCTCTGGGTCTCAGTTTCCTCAGCTGTAAAATGGGGATGCCATGAGACCCACCTCATAGTGTTGCGTGGGGTTTAAGTGAGTAAATGTTTCTTACATAAGCACTGTACACATGTGGCTTCCACCAGGGCAGCAGGGTTAAAGTGGCCAGATTTGAGTGTGTCTTCTAGGTACAGCCAAAGGGATTTGCTAATCAAATGTAGGGTGAGAAAGTAAGACAAGAGGTTAGGTGTGGTGGCTCGTGCCTGTAAACCCAGCTCTTTGGGAGACAGAGGCAGGAGGATCGCTGGAGGCCAGGAGTTCAAAACCAGCCTGGGCAACATAGTGAGACGGCATCTCTACAAAAACCTTTTTACAATATTAGCCGGGCATGGTGGTGCATGCCTATAGTCCCATCTACTCAGCAGGCTGAGGCAGGAGGATCACTTGAAGCCAGGAGTTCGAGGCTGCACTGAGCTGTGATTGCACTACTGCACTGCAGCCTGGGGGACAGCAAGACGCTGTCAAAGAAAGCAAATGAAAGAAAAGGAAAGAGGAAAGGAGGGAAGAAGGGTAGATGGGGAGGAGAGAAAGAGAGAAAGAAAGAAAGAATAAAGGAGAGGAAAGGAAAGGGAAAGAAAAGGAAAGCAACAAGGAACAAGAAAAGGGGAGGAGAGGGGAGGGGATGAGGGGAGAGGGGAGGGGATGAGGGGAGAGGGGAAGGGTGAGGGGAGAGGAGGAAGGATGAGAGGAGAGGGGAGGGGAGAGGAGGAGAAAGGGGAGTGAAGGGGAGGTGGGAGAGGGGAGGAGAGGAGAGGAGGGGAAGGATGGGAAGGGAGGGGAGGGGAGAAAGGGAAGGGAGGGGAGGAGAGGGAGGAGGGGAGGAGAGGAGAGGGAGGAGGGGAGGAGAGGGGAGGGGAGGAGAGGGGGGAGGAGAGGGAGGAGGAGAGGAGAGGGAGGACAGAGGAGAGAGGAGAGGGAGGACGGTGGAGAGAGGAGAGCAGGGGAGGGGAGAAGAGAGGGGAGAGAAGGGGAGAGGAGGGGAGGGGAGGGTAACAGAGGGGAGGGAAGAGGAGGGGAGAGAACGGGACAGGAGGGGAGGGGAGGGGAGCAGAGGGGAGAGGAGGGGAAAGAGGAGGAAAGAAAAGAAGAGTGGAGAGTGAGTCCAAGGTTTCTGGCCTGAGCACCTAGAGGGGTGGGAGTTGCCATCACTGAGACGGGGAAGCTGCGTATGTGTGCGTGGGGGCAGATTAGGGTGGTGGAGGTGAGGTCTGCACATGGGAAGAGATAGTCACACTGAGACATGGCAGAGACCAAACCAGGACACTTCATTACCAGTCATTAGGTGTTCTTGGTAATTCAGCCATGCATAAAGAAATCAACAAACGTTTCCTTCCCTGTTAGCATGATACAGGCCACCCTATGGACCCCAAGGGAGATGGTTAAAGTCCTGGCTCCACAGTGGGAGGCCTGGGTGCTATGGAACCCATGAGAACACAGCCTGGGAAGCCCTCTGAGGCTCAGGACTGCACCTCATGACTTCTGAACCCAAAGTGGCCACGATGACTTGGAACACCCCCCTCTCCCAGGCCCTCTTCAGGGACCTCTCTGTGGCTGTCTGTGAGCAGGATCAGCTGGGCACAAAGTGGGACCCACATGTGGATGCAGAGGGACACACACCCAGCTGTCGGCGCTGCTGATCATTCTTCAGTGTGGCCAAGGGTGTCAGCCCCTCTGGCATGTGGTCGTAGAGCTGGGACAGGCACTTCTCCTGGTGGTCCAGATCCATGCCTGGCTTCACTGCAAAGAGAACCACAGGTTAAATCCCCTCTCATGGATCTGGCCACAGACCCACATAGAGATTTCTCTTTCTACCATGTCTCTAGTTTCCTTTCTTCTGCAGTTTCACAAGGCATTTGGGATCCTCGCTCTCCTTTCTGCCCCTGGACACACCCCAGGCAGTCTGACCCTCAAGCTTTTTTTTTCTTTGAGACGGTCTCACTCTGTCACTCAGGTTGGAGTGTGGTCTCACTCTGTCACCAGGCTGGAGTGCAATGGCACAATCATAGTTCACTGCAGCCTTGAACTCCTGGGCTCAAGTGATCCTCCCACCTCAGCCTCCTGAGTAGTTAGGACTACAGACATGCACCACCACATGCCAGGCCAATTTTTAAATTTTTTTGTAAAGATGAGGTCTTGCTACATTGCCCAGGCTGGTCTCAAACCCCTGGGTTCAAATGATCCTCCTGCCTTAGCCTCCCAAATTGCTGGGATCAAATGTGTGAGCCACCATGCCTGGCTACCCCGAAGCTCTTGCTCATTGGAACCAGTCATGCTCCAGAGGTTCAGAATTTTTTTTTTTTTTGAGATGGAGTTTTGCTCTGTCGCCCAGGCTTGGGTGCAGTGGGGTGATCTTGGCTCACTGCAACCTCCACCTCCCGGGTTCAAGTGATTCTCCTGCCTCAGCCTCCCGAGTAGCTGGGATTACAGGCACGTGCCACTATGCCCAGCTAATTTTTCTATTTTTAGTAGAGACGGGGTTTCAGCATCTTGGCCAGGCTGGTCTCGAACTCCTGACCTCATGATCCACCCAGCTCGGCCTCCCAAAGTGCTGGGATTGTAGGTGTGAACCACCACACCCGGTGAGGTTCATAATTTGACCCTGAGCCCCCACACGCTACCTCCTCTGACTCACCCACCACACAGAACCTCCTAGCATAGCCCAGACCCTGTCATGCCTGGCCTGCACCCCTCTGCAGGCCTGCACCCCTCTGCAGGCCTGCACACCTGCAGCACAGCCCCTTCCTGCTTCAACCACACCCTCCCTGGTGCATATCCTGCTCTCAAACCTCACAAAACCACTCTCCACTTCCCCAGCACCCTCGGCCTCTATTCCTGTGCTCAGACACTTTACTCCCTCTAGGCTGACCCTGCCCTCCTGTGCAGATGGAAAAGTTGAACTCAAATGTCACCGCCTCTGAGAAGCCATCAATGACTGCACCATGGAGTCCACCTTCTGCTGCATTTGTGTCTCTGCAGCAATCACCAAGGCACTATATGGTATTTCTATTTGTTTCCACATCTTGTCTCACCTAATAGACTGTATAGTACTAGGAGTGGTGGCTCACACTTTCAGAGAACCTACAGCATATAAAGCATTATTGAGCTTTGCATACAGGCCCTTCATTTTCATGACAGCCTGTGAGGTAGAGTCTCTCCATATACCCATTTTACAGATGAGAAAATCGAGGCAGAGGACAGCTAAGTAACTTGCCCAAGGTAATACAGCTCATTCATGGCAGAGCTGAGATATGAACCCAGGAAGTCTGGCTCCAGAGGCTGTCTTTTTAATTCCTCAGGAGGCTGCCTGGATTAGTACTCATTAGATCAAAAATCCCTGGCCAGGCACCGTGGCTCATGCCTGTAATGCCAACACTTTGGGGAGGCCAAGGCAGGACAATTGCTTGAGGCCAGGAGTTTGAAACCAACCTAGGCAACATAGTGAGACTCCATCTCTACAAAAAAAATTTTTTTCAATTAACTGGTGTAGTGTCATGTGCCTGTAGTCCCAGGTATTCAGGAGGCTGAAGTAGGAGGATCGCTTGAGCCCAGGAGTTCAAGAAGGCAGTGAGCCATGATCATACCACTGCACTCCAGCCCCACCCCAAAAAATAAATTAAATTAAATTAAATTAAATTAAATTAAATTAAATTCTGATCATCACAGATTTTTTTTGCATTAATTTTTATTTTATTATTATTTGTTTTTTTGAGATGGAGTCTTGCTCTGCTGTCCAGGCTGGAGTGCGGTGGCACAATCTCGGCTCACTGCAACCTCCACCTCCCCGGCCCAAGCCATTCTCCTGCCTCAGTCACCAGAGTAGCTGGGATTAGAGGCACACGCCATGCCCGGCTAATTTTCGTATTTTCAGTAGAGACAGAGTTTCACCTTGTTGGCCAGGCTGGTCTCGAACTCCTGACCTCAAATGATCTGCCTGCCTTGGCCTTCCAAAGTGCTGGGATTACAGGCGTGAGCCACTGTACCCGGCCTGCATTAATTTGGATTCTTTTAAAATATTACCTTAAAATGTTACCTATCTTGATGCCAGCATTTTTGGCATTCCCTTAGATTCTAGATTCCAGGTGAAAATTCATCCTCTTGCACACAGGCAGAATTAAAGGTGCCTCCTCTTCCTCTCTCTAAAGAAGCTTATAACCCCTAACCCCACCATGGCCTGTGCAGCAGCTGCCTCAGTCATGGGTCATTCTCATCCTCTGCCTTCAGCCTGTGAGCATCTCCAGGGAAGGCAGTTAGCTCTCGCTCAGCTCAGAATCACCCCTGGGGCAGCTGGACCACAGCCCTGGCCAAACCCCTGAACCCCACAGGCCTTACCCTGGTGGTCAATGAGGAGGATGGCAGTGAAGTAGTGGGCCAGCGCCGTGTAGTGGTGGGCCTTCACGCAGGCCAAGCTGGCCCAGGAGTAGGGGATGTTCTCTTTCACCAGCGCCTGGCTCATGGCTGCGTGCAGCTGTTGGTAGACCTCTCCCACCTGAAATAGAAGGGGCATTGGGAAGGGGCAGCCCGGCACAAGGGCCCTCATGAACCCATTTGCAGAGAAAGAGCCCTTTCTTCTTCTCATGCAACAGCCCCTGCCAGGGGCTGCTCCAGAATCTGGGAGCAACTCCAAGCAACCCCTCATTCTGTCACTGTCACAGTTAACAGGGGGATCAGGCTGCTGTCATTATGCTGGTTTTTAGGTTAAGCTGCACATGGAATCAGTGATCCGTATCTGAAACACCAACACTTGCCAAGAAAACTCAAGCCAGCAGTACTGGCCGGAGCTGGCACAATGCCCAGGTCACAGGCAAGCTCCCGTGGGAAGGCCCCGCTACTTCCAGTGCTCCTGTGCCAGCATTTACCGCCCACTCCCCAAAGTCACAGGAACCAGGGAGTCTTACCTTGGCAGCCTCCTGAGCCACCTTCACCAGCATGAAGAATTCATTCCGGATCCCAGGAAGGCTGATTTTCTCAAACACGCTTTCTTGGGCTTGTGTAAGCATCATTTTGACAAGCACGCTGAGCATGGCAGGGCTCATGTCGTAACTTGGAGTATGGGTAAATGTCTCTTTCAGGTAGTTTAAAACCCCTAAAAGTGGAAAATGTTTTGCCCATTAGTTCGGGTTTACATTTACTTCATCACGTTGCTGTAGAGAAAGATAGGAGGCCAGGTGCGGTGGCTCATGCCCATAATCCCAACACTTTGGGAGGCCAAAGCGAGCAGATCACTTGCATCAGGAATTTAAGACCAGTGTGGGCAACATGGTGAAACCCTGTCTCTACAAAAAATACAAAAATTAGCTGGGTGTGATGGCGTGCACCTATAGTCTCAGCTCCTCTGGAGGCTGAGGCAGGAGGATTGCTTGAGCCCAGGAGACAGAGGTTGCAGTGAGCTGATATCTCACCACTGCACTCCAGACTCCGTCTCAAAAAAAAAAAAAAAAAAAAAAAAAGGAAAGATAGGAGAAAAAAAAAAGAACCAGTGTCCTACAACATATTAAAAAGTTTGATTCTCAATTATATGGTCCAGCAATTCCACTCTTATGATATATATCCCCAAACAGTTGAAAGTGGGGGCTTAAATGATACTTGAACACCTGTGTTAATAGCAACATTATTCACAAGAGCTGAAAAGTGGAAACCACCCAGACATCCATGAGCAGATGAATGATTAAACACAATGTGGCCTATCCATACAATGGAATATTTTTCAGCCTTAAAAAGGAATGAAATTCTGACATATGGTACAGTGTAAATAAGGGCATTATGCTAAGTGAAACAAGCCAGTCACAAAAGGACCAATATTGTAGGATTCCATTTAGATAAGGTACCCGGAATAGTCAAATTCACAGAAACAGAAAGGAGAATAGAGGTTAGCTGGGGCTGGGAAAGGGGGCAATGGGAAGTTATTGCTTAACTGAGTAAGTACAGAGCTTTGCTTATCCATCATCCAGATGGAAAAGTTCCGGAGATAGCTGGTCACAGGGGCTGCTGCCTATAATCCCAGCTACAAGGGAGGCTGAGGTGGGAGGGTTGCTTGACATTAAGAGTTCAAGACCAGCCTGGGCAACATACTGAGACCCCTGTCTCTTAAAAAAATATATACTTTTTAAAAATGTATTTATTTTATTTATTTTTGAGACAAGATCACACTCTGTTGCCCAGACTGGAGTGCAGTGGCACGATCATGACTCACTGCAGCCTCAAACTCCTGGGCTCAAGAGGTCCTCCCACCTCAGTCTCCTGAAGAGCTGGGACTACAGCCATGCACCACCCCACACCCAGCTAATTTTAAAATTTTTTGTACAGATGGGGTGTGCCTATGTTGCCCAGACTGGTCTCCAACTCTTGGATTCAAGTGATCCTCCTGACTCAGCATCCTAAAGTACTGAGATTACAGGTGTGAGCCACCTTGCCTAACCAACAAAAAAAATTTTTAACTTCCGGAGATGTTTAGTGGTAATGGCTGCACAACACTATGAATGTACAAATGCACTTAATGCCATTGAACTGCACACTTCAAAATGGTTAAAATGTGCTTCTGGTTGGCAGATAATTTTAAAATTTTAAAAATTTAAGATAATCATTAAAATGGTAATTTTATGTTCTGTGTTATTTTACTATAATAAAAAACTGGTTAAAATAGTCCATTTTAAGTTATATATGTATATTTTAACACTATTTATTTATTTATTTATAAATAAGCGCCCAGGCTGGAGTGCAGTGGCATGATTTCAGCTCACCGAAACCTCTGCCTCCCAGGTTCAAGCGATCCCCCTGCCTCAGCCCCCCAAGTAGCAGGGATTACAGGTGCCCACCACCACACCTAGCTAATTTTTGTATTTTTAGTACAGACGGGGTTTCACCATGTTGGCCAGACTGGTCTTGAACTCCTGACCTCAGGTGATCTGCCTGCCTCAGCCACCCAAAGTGCTGGGATAACAGGTGTGAGCCACCCCACCCAGCCTTTTAACCCAATTTTTTAAAATTGGATTGTCTTCCAAAACACTTACATCTCTATTGAGTAGAGAAACCAGCCTGCTCCCCACAACTCCTGTGTCACCTGGGACAAAATTCCATCATGACAGGTATGGAGATGCAAGCAGACAGCAGGCAGAAGGACTGAGGGGCTCACAGGCGGCCAGGCTCACACATAAGATCTGAGTCATTCAGCAGTCCAGGGCTTTTCCCCTGGACCTCAAGAAAGATCTATTCTGGCCAGGTGCGGTGGCTCATGCCTCTAATCCCAGCACTTTGGGAGGCCGAGGCGGGTGGATCACCTGAGGTCAGGTTCAAGACCAGCCTGGCCAACATGGCAAAACCCTGCCTCTACTAAAATTATAAAAATTAGCCAGGCATGATGGTACACACCTATAATCCCAGCTACTCAGGAGGCTGAGGTAGGAGAATCACTTGAACCCGGGAAGCGGAGGCTGCAATGAGCCGAGATCTCACCACTGCACTCCAACCTGGGTGACAGAGTGAGATTCCATCTCAAAAAAAAAAAAAAAAAAACTCAATCCGTCTGCTCCAATGGAAATTTTCATGCTGCAGCCTTCCACTGACTTCTTTATAGTTTAGAAAATTAACTGTCCAAAGCGCTAACTGACAATCAATCTGGAACTGAAATAGAGTCTCTCATATGAATCCCATCCAACTGGGTCCTCTGGTTTTGTTGCTGAGCAAAAAAAAAAAAAAAAAAAAAAAAAAAAAATCCCCACCCTGTGGAGGGATGGCACCTGCTGTTTTGAGCTGTGAGCTCCGTGGGGGTTCCCTCACCCTCCCCACTGTTCTCCCACTTGCTTCATTTCATCTATAATTTGTCTCCACTGCTATAATCTCAGTGACAGGACACAGAGTGCCTGCCTAAGATTCCCCAGAAAGATGAGTCCAGAAAAAAGATTTACAACAAAAGAAATCAACTCATACTTGGAATCTTAGCATATCGCTTCATCCCAAGAGACCAATCTTTCATTTTTTTAATTAATTAATTATTTTTTGAGACAGGTTCTTGCTCTGTCGCCCAGGCTGGAGTGCAATGGCACGATCTTGGCTTACCACAACCTTGGCTGATCCTTCCATCTCAGCCTCCCAAGTAGCTGAGACTACAGGCATGCACCACCAGGCCCAGCTAATTTTTGTACTTTTTGTAGAGATGGAGTTTTGCCTTGTTGCCCAGGCTGATCTCAAATTCCTGAGCTCCAGCAATCCACCCACCTCAGCCTCCTAAAGTGCTGGGATTACAGGCATGAGCCACCATGCCTGGCCTATTTCTTGAATTAAAAAAAAAATTCTTTTTGACAATCATAGCTCACTGCAGCCTCAAACTCCTGGGCTTAAGTGATCCTCCTGTCTTAGCCTCTGGAGTAGCTAGAACTATGGGCGTACACCACCATGCCTGGCTAATTTTAAATATTTTGTAGAGACAGGGTCTTCCTGTGTGGCCCAGGCTGGTAGGACCAATCATTGTAACATCAGAAATTTCACAATGAGTTGAAGTGGCAAAGCTCTGGTTCTTCACAAGCTTGCAGGGCAAAGTGATATCAAACAATGATCCACATGGGTGGAAGGGGATCACACCCCAAAGCAGAATGTCGATGATCAACCTAGAAGGCAACACACTATAGAGCTAGTGTGGAGAACACACTGTGGTCTACACTGTGCCCTGCTCTTGCATCCATCCCCACGGGGAGTCTGACCCAGACACAGGCCCTGCTATGGGGGAGCAAGGCAGAACCCGTAGGCAAGGGTGAGCCGTGCCAGGCTCACCCACAGCACTGGGTCTGGTGACCCCGGTCCTCTACAGGTGTAAGCACTAGGTTGCTTTTCTCCTCGACCCCGCACCTCGTTCTCATACTAGGATTACCTGAGGTCAGGAGTTTGAGACCAGCCTGGCCAACAGGGCAAAACCTCATCTCTACTAAAAATACAAAAATTAGCCGGGCATGGTGGCAGACGCCTGTAATCCCAGCTACTTGGGAGGCTGAGGCAGAAGAGTTGCTTGAACCCAGCAGGCAGAGGTCGCAGTGAGCAGAGATTGTGCCACTGCACTCCAGGCTGGGTGACAAGAGCAAGACTCTATCTCAAAATAAACAAATAAATAAAATAAAATAACAAAAGACAGTTCCCAGAAGAAGGGAACTGAGCTATGAGACATCCTTTGAATGCATCACTTGACCAAGGGTTGAGAACACCCACCTCATGCTGGAGAAGTTGGCAGAATGCAGGTGACATAAAGGCATGGAGGGGCAGGGTGCGGTGGCTCACCCTGTAATCCCAGCATTTTGGGAGGCTGAGGCAGGCGGAACACCTGAGGTCAGGAATTCGAGACCAGCCTGGCCAGGATGGTGAGACCCCATCTCCACTAAAAATACAAAAATTAGCCGGGCGTGGTAGCGAGTGCCTGTAATCCCAGCTACTCAGGAGGCTGAGGCAGGAGAATCGCTTGAAACTGGGAGGTTTCAAGCAGTGAGCCAACATTGCGCCACTGCACTCCAGCCTGGGCGACAAGGGCAAAACTCCATCTCATAAATAAATAAATAAATAAATAAATAAATAAATAAATAAAGGCACGGAGAGTAATATGCACAGATAGGGTACACCTAATACAAGAAAAAGAAGCCTACAGTTTCACTATTTGGGAAAAGTTATTCTGCTCTTCATGACAGTGTTGAAAGAAACAGTTATGCACTGCCATCCCAGGGCCACTTGTCTGGAAAAGATCAATCATCAGCCACAGGATTCACCATGTACATCAGCCATCCCAGACTGAGGTCTGAACCACCAAGCAAGTTTCTTTTTTTTTTTTTTGAGATGGAGTCTGGCTCTGTCGCCCAGGCTGGAGTGCAGTGGCGCGATCTCGGCTCACTGCAAGCTCCGCCTCCCGGGTTCATGCCATTCTCCTGCCTCAGCCTCCCGAGTAGCTGGGAATACAGGTGCCCGCCACCAGGCCCAGCTAATTTTGTGAATTTTTAGTAGAGATGGGGTTTCACCATGTTAGCCAGGATGGTCTCGATCTCCTGACCTTCGTGATCCACCTGCCTCAGCCTCCCAAAGTGCTGGGATTACAGGCATGAGCCACCGCGCCCGGCCAGAGCAAGTTTCTTAATGGGAAGTTACACCAGAGCTGAAGACTGGTCTGGCCCTTGCAGGGGACGACCTGTAGACCCTCTTCAGTGGGGGGTCCCCTGGTGCCACCAGGCGGGGCCAAGGCTCTGTCCAGTCAGCCCTGGAGGAGACATACCTGCAGCTCTCTGAAAGGCATCTATGGCACTCTGCAGCCCAGCCTGCATCTGCCAATAGCGCCACGTCCCAATCTGGGTGTAGAGGGCCCCAGTGTTGAACAGGACACTGGCCTTCTCCAGCAGCAGGTTCTGCTGGCTGACCAGAACCCCATTGAGGGAGTCATACCTATGTGAAAGAAATGCATTCAGGGAGTACAGATTACTTGGCTAGTTAATGCTACTTTTGGATGCAAGTGGAAAAAATTATTATTATTATTTTATTTATTTATTTTTTTTGAGACAGAGTCTCACTCTGTCGCCCAGGCTGGAGTGCAGTGGCGTGATCTCGGCTCACTGCAAGCTCTGCCTCCCAGGTTCACGCCATTCTCCTGCCTCAGCCTCCCAAGTAGCTGGGACTATAGGCACCCGCCACCACGCCCAGCTAATTTTTTGTATTTTTAGTAGAGACAGGGTTTCACCGTTTTAGCCAGGATGGTCTCGATCTCCTGACCTCATGATCCGCCCACCTCAGCCTCCCAAAGTGCTGGGATTACAGGCGTGAGCCACTGTGCCTGGCTCTATTATTATTTTTTTAAGAGTCAGGATCTCACTCTGTTGCCCAGGCTGGAGTGCAGTGGTGTGATCATAGCTTACTGCAGCCTCCAACTTTAGGGCTCAATTGATCCTCCCACCTCAGCCTCATGAGAATAGCTGGGATTACAGGTGCATGCCACCATACCTGCCTAATTTTTTTTTTTAATTTTTGTAGAGATGGGGTCTCACTATGTTACCCAAACTGCTGTTAAACTCCTGGGTTGGCTGGGTGTGGTGGCTCACACCTGTAATCCCAGCACTTTGGGAGGCTAAGGCGGGTGGATCACCTGAAGTCAGGAGTTCGAGACCAGCCTGGCCAAGATGGTGAAACCCAGTCTCCACTAAAAATACAAAAATTAGCCAGGCATGGTGGCAGGCACCTGTAATCCCAGCTACTCAGGAGGCTGAGGCGGGAGAATTGCTTGAACCCGAGAGGTGGAGGTTACAGTGAGATGAGATTGCACCGCTGTGCTCCAGCCTGGGTGACAATAACAACAACAACAAACTCATTTCTTCAATAAAATTCAAGAATGCACATGCACTGAGGCTTTTGTTTCCAAGCAAGATGACAGGACTAATCGCACTGACCGCCACAGCCACACACACAAATATCTGATGGGGTAACTTTATAAACACAGCATGGGACATCCAGACAATGGACTATTACTCAGTACTAAAAATGGAGCCTTTTCAAGCAAGCCTTGAAAAGATGCAGAGGAAACATTACTAAGAGCCAACCTGAACGTTGCTACCTACTGTATAGCACGCTGTGTGAGTCCAACATTCTGAAAAGCCAAAAACCCGGGAGACAGAAGAAAGATCAGGGGTTGCCAGGACTTAGGGGGAGGGAGGGAGGAACGGCAGAGCACACGGAGGATTTTTCCAGCAGTGAAACTCTTCTGTACGACACTGCAAAGATGGATCACTGTCACTCTATGTTGGCCAAAAGCTGCAGAATACACAAGTACAAGAATGAACCCTAATGGGAACTATGGACTCTGGGTGATAATGATGTGTCAGGTAAGTTCCTCAATTATAAAAAAAAAAAAAAAATGCGCCAGGTGCGATGGCTCATGCCTGTAATCCCAGCACTTTGGGAGCCCGAGGCAGGCAGATCACAAGGCCAGGGATTGAGACCAGCCTGGCCAACGTGGTGAAACCCCATCTCTACTAAAAATACAAAAATTAGCCAGGCGTGGTGGGGCACACCTGTAGTCCCAGCTACTCAGGAGGCTGAGGCAGAAGAATCACTTGAACCCAGGAGGCGGAGGTTGCAGTGAGCCGAGATCACGCCACTGTCCTCCAGCCTAGGCAACAGAGCAAGACTCCGTCTCAAAAAAAAAAAAAAAAAAAAAAGGGCCAGGTGCAGTGGCTTACACTTGTAATCCCAGCACTTTAGAGGCCAAGGCAGGTGGATGGCTTGAGCTCAGGAGTTTGAGACCAGCCTGGGCAACATAGTGAAACCCCTCTCTACCAAAAATACATGGTGGTGGCATGTGCCTTTAAGCCCAGCTACTTGGGAGGCTGAGGTGGGAAGATGGCTTGATACTGGGAGGCAGAAGTTGAAGTGAGCTGAGATCACACCACCACACTCCAGCCTGGGCGACAGAGTGAGACTCCGTCTCAAAAAAAAAAAAAAAAGAAAAGTGTGTGTGTATATATATATAGCTTCTCCTAAATGAAATATGGCAATTACTAACCCCTCATAATTCTTTCTGAAATCTAAAACCTCAGGATTTGTTTTACTTGTTTATTTTTTCAGACCAAGTCTCACTCTGTTGCCTAGGCTGGAGTGCAGTGGCATGATCATGACTCACTGCAGCCTCAACCTCCTGGGCTTAAGCGATCCTCTCATCTGATCCTCCCAAGGAGATGGGACTACAGGCATGTGCCACCCATGCCTGGCACATTTTCTCTAATTGTTTTGTAGAGATGGGGTCTCACTGTGTTGCCTAGACTGGTCTCAAACTCCTGGGCTCAAGTGATCCACCAACCTCGGCCTCCCAACATGCTGGGATTCCAGATGTGAACCACCACACCCAGCCTAGGACTTGTATTATTTATTTATTTTTTTTTTAATTTTTATTTTTTGAGACAAAGTTTTGCTCTTTCACCCAGGCTGGAGTGCAGTGGCGCCATCTCAGCTCACTGCAGCTTCTGCTTCCCGGGTTCAAGCAATGGTCCTGCCTCAGCCTCCTGAGTGGCTGGGATTACAGGCGCCCACCACCACACCCGGCTAATTTTTGTATTTTTAGTAGAGACATGTTTGTCAGGCTGGTCTCGAACTCCCGACCTCAGGTGATCCACCCACCTCGGCCTCCCAAAGTGCTAGGATTACAGGTGTGAGCCACCGCACCTGGCCCTAGGACTTGTTTTAAAGTTTACTCATGAACCAAGGGGTGTGCAGACAGCTTCTCCCTAATTCATGACTAAGGAGAAACCACCTTTCACCATGCAGACAGCCTGGTGCATTGTTAGGAAAAGTCATCCCCCTTTCCTTTGCTTTCAATGAGGAAGGCATCAGTAGCCAACCATCGGCTATAGAAACATTCAATTCTGATATGCCCCGACCTTCTAGGATGTACTCTCCTTTCACTGACACTCCTAAAAACACTCAGAGAAGGGGTGCAGCATCTCCAAAGTACTTTTTTTTTAGGTTGTTGGTGTTTTTTTTTTTTTTTAATACAGACTCTCACTCTGTTGCCCAGGCTGGAGTTCAGTGGTGCAATCTTGGCTCACTGCAACCTCTGCCTCCCAGGTTCAAGTGATTTTCCTGCCTCAGCCTCCCAAGTAGCTGGGACTACAGGCACGCACAACCATGCCCAGCTAATTTTTGTATTTTTTAGTAGAAGCAGGGTTTCACCATATTGGACAGGCTGGCCTCGAACTCCTGACCTCGTGATCCACCTGCCTCGGCCTCTCAAAGTGCTGGGATTACAGGTGTGAACCACCACACTCAGCCTTTTTTTTTCTTTTTTGAAACAGGGTTTCACTCCTATCACCCAGGCTGCAGTGCGGTGGTGTGATCTAGGCTCACTGCAACCTCTGCCTCCCAGGCTCAAGTGATTCTCTTGCCTCAGCCTCACGAGTACCTGGGACTACAGGTGCATACCATCGTACCCAGCAAATTTTTGTATTGTTTGTAGATATGGGGTTTTGCCACATTGCCCAGGCTGGTCTCAAACTCCTGGGGTCAAGTGATCTGCTTGCCTCAGCCTCCCAAAGTGTTGGCATTATAGGTGTGAAAACCACTGTACCCGGGCTCCCAAGTATTTAAAGTATACTAATCTTTGAAAACACCAATTGGGTCTACGGCCATACCACCCTGACGTGCCTGATCTTGTCTGAAAATACCAATTGTGGAGAAGAATCAAATCCTCTACTTCCATTTTTTAAATCTGATCCAAGCTGAGTGTGTAGCTCATGCCTATAGTCCCAGCTACTCAGGAGGCTGAGGCAGAAATATCACCTGAGCCCAGGAATTCAAGACTAACCTGGGCAACACAGTGAGATCCCATTTCAAAAGAAACCTGATCTATTTCTGTTTGGTGCTTTTGTCTCACTGGACAAGACCTGATTTTCTCTCTCTCTCTCTCTCTCTCTCTCACTCACTCACACATACACATGCATGCCCCAGTCCAATCTGAGACAAGAATCTTGCTTCTGACTAATTCCATTTCAGAGCCCTGTGCTTCCCCAGTGATACAACAAGCAAGAAAAATGTCTCCTCTCCTTGGCTCACCTGTTCTGAGAAGCAAGAGGCCACAGTCTGTTGGGGCCATCTCCCTCGGATCACCTTCATAAATAAATACCAATGTATTGATATCTTTCTAGACTTCCCTGGATAAATGCAAGATAGGAAAGGGGGCTGAGGTGCACAGGGGTGCACCCCGGATAAATGCAAGATAGGAAAAGGGGCTGAGGTGCCCGCAGAGGGGCGTCTGTGATGCTGAGGCTCCGAAACTGTGGCTGCCATAACACGTGAAGCACCAGCGCAGACCTCAAGCACCTACCAGGTGAACAGGAGTCCCATCTGCCGCGTGGGTGGGAAGAATCAATTCTCAACAAAGCCCAGCTGGATGAAGTATGTCATCAGCAGTTCCACCCTGGCCTCATCCCGGCTGGGCGTCCGACAAGCCTGCGAGGAAAAGAACCCCAGAGGGCATGAGCAGAGGAGGACACAGCTGACAGCCCTTCCCGGAAGGTGCCCTGCACATACCAGCAGGTGCCTGTAACTATTTCTGCAGTATGACGACCTCACTGCTGGCATCATAAACTCTAGGAGGGGTGGAAAGAACCTGGCAGGAAGTCAGAAATCCTGGAATCCAGTCCCAGCCCTGCCAGGAGGCAGGTCTCTCCCCTTCTATGGTTTTCCTTTTTTTTTTTGGGGACGGAGTCTTGCTCTGTCACCCAAGCTGGAGTGCAGTGGTGCGATCTTGGCTCACTGTAACTTCCACCTACCAGGTTCAAGTGATTCTCCTGCCTCAGCCTCCCGAGTAGCTGGGATTACAGGCGTGTAGCACCATGCCCGGCTTGTTTTTGTATTTTTAGTAGAAACGGGGTTTTGCGATGTTAGCCAGTCTGGTCTCAAACTTCTGACCTCAGGTGATCCACCCGCTTCAGCCTCCCAAAGTGCTGGAATTACCAGCATGCACCACCACGCCCAGCTAATTTTTGAATTTTTAGTAGAGACGGGGTTTCACCATGTTGGCCAGGATGGTCTGGAACTCCTGATCTCAGGTGATTCTCCTGCCTCCGCCTCCCAAAGTGCTGGGATTACATAGGCGTGAACCACCGTGCCCGGCCTCCTTCTACAGTTTTCTTATGCAGCAAATGGAATGGATGATTCCAGCACCCCCCAACCATCACCTCAATCTACCCACGATTCTGTTAAGACCACAAGCATGCAATAATGGGGTTCCCCGAAGACTTGGAAAAACTACCCTCCCCTCTCTGCTGCACACAAAAACTTACTTGTCTCGGATCCATAAGATCTGTGATTTCATCTTCATATAAATAGCCATCTTCACTGTAATGTTCCAGGATAAAATCCTTAAAGAAAAATAAGGTTAGATACTATAAAATGTGATTGAAAACCATGTATGTGCATAACAGTAATATGTCATTTGTGACCTGTTTCTAAAAAGGCAGAATAAAGAAAAACTTACAGTGATTTTCAAAGTGGGGGAATTTATTTTCTTAATTTATGTAGTTTTTTTTATATGGAGTCTTGCTCTGTAGCCCAGGCTGGAGTGCAGTGGCACAATCTCGGCTCACTGCAACCTCTGCCTCCCAGGTTCATGCAATTCTCCTTCCTCAGCCTCTCAAGGAGCTGGGGTTACAGGTGCCCACCACAACGTCTGGCTAATTGTTGTACTTCTGACCTCAGGTGATCCACCCACCTCACCCTCCCAAAGTGCTGGGATTACAGATGTCAGCCACAGTGTCCGGCCATAGAATTTTTTTTTTTTTTTTTTAAAACAGGGTTTCACTCCCATTGTCCAGGCTAGAATGTTGCGATCTCGGGTCACTGCAACCTCCACCTCCCAGGCTCAAGTGATTCTCATGCCTCAGCCTCCCAAGTAGCTGGGATTACAGGCATGTGCCACCATGCCCAGCTAATTTTTGTATTTTTAGTAGAGATGGAGTTTCACCGCATTGCCCAGGCTGGTCTCAAACTCCTGGGCTCAAGCAATCCATCTGCCTCAGCCTCCCAAAGTGCTGGGATTACAGGTGTGAGCCACTGCACCCCATGCCTATGTTTTTAAATGCTGTGTTGCTTCAGTAAAAGTGAGAGTTGAAGTTAATTTTTTGCTTAAAAATGTCTTTGTGTCTGCGCATCATGGCTCACATCTGTAATCCCAGCACTTTGTGAAGACAGGGCAGGTAAATCACTTGAGCCCAGGAGTTTGAGACTAGTCTATGGCCTATACATTCAACTATACTGCAAACACTGCAGATATTCAGGGGCTCAGACTTGCAATTCTGGGCCTCCCTCAGGACCCAGACAAGTTTCCCAGCACAGACCCTGAGGGTAGGACTGTCATAACAGTCCCCAGATACAGGTTTCCTTTGCCAAGAAGACCCTTAACCATGTTATAAAGGCATTTTATTTTATTTTATCTTTGAGGCAGGGTCTCACTTGGTTGCCTAGGCTGGAGTGCAGTGGTGCGATCGCGGCTCACCGCAGCCTCGACTTCTCTGGGCTCAAGTAATCCTCCTACTTCAGCCTCCCAAGTAGCTGGGACCACAGGCACGTGCCACAGGCTAATTTCATTTCTGTATTTTTTAATAGAGATGGGGTTTTGCCCTGTTGCCCCACCCCCGCCCCTACAAGTGCTGGCTCCCCCAAGCTGCAAGAAAGGTGATCACATAGATGGCTCAATTATGTCTTCCCAAGTGACTGTGTAACCTCTTTACACAACTTCTACATTAAAGCTCCTCCTGTTTTTGTGTGTTCAACGTACACACACACAAACACTTGTCTTACAAAAATGGATTTGTACTAAATATACAACTTTGCTGTGCCTTCTTTTTCTAAGAGATGAGGGTCTCGCTCTGTCATCCAGGATGGAGTGCAATGGTGCAATCATAGCTCACTGCAGCCTTGAACTCCCGGGCTCAAGTCATCCTCCCACTTCAGCTTCTCCAGTAGAGGGGACTATAGGTGTGCACCATCACACTCAGCTAATATTGTTATTTTTCATAAAGACAGAGTCTTCCTATGTTGCCTAGGCTGGTCTCGGACTCCTGGCCTCAGGTGATCCTCCCACCTCAGCTTCCCAGAGTGTTGGAATTACAGGTATGAGCAACTGCGCTCAGCTGACTATGCCTCTTTTCTTTAAACTTGGCCATGGGCTGGGTATGGTGGCTCACACCTGTAATCCCAGCGCTTTGGGAGGCTGAGGTAGGTAGATCACTTGAGGTCAGGTGTTCCAGACCAGCCTGGCCAACATGGTGAAACCCTGTCTCCATTAAAAATTTAAAAAATAAAAAATAAAATAGCTGGGCATGGTGGTTAAAAGGGGTCAGGTGTAGTGACTCATGCCTGTGATCCCAGCACTTTGGGAGGCCAAGGTGGGAGAATCACTTGAGACCAGGAGTTTGAGACCAGCATGGACAACATAGTGAAACCCCATCTCTACAAATAATAAAAAATTAGCCAGGCGTGCTGAGGCAGGAGGAGGATCACTTGAGCCCGGGAAGTTGAGGCTGCAGTGAGCCATGATCACGTCACTGCACTCCAATCTTATGTTCACCTCATAAAAGTCAAAGAGGATTTTGATTAAATTATATATGTGATCCTGAATTTGAAACTTAGTAAACTAGGGTAGATTAACGTACTTAGTGGGATAAAAAAAATTATCTAACTGGCCAGGCACAGTGGCTCACCCCTGTAATCTCAGCACTTTGGGAGGCCGAGGCAGGTGGATCATTTGAGGCCAGGAGTTCGAGACCAGCCTGGCCAACGTGGTGAAACCCCATCTCTACTAAAAATACAAAAATTAGCCAGGCATGATGGCAGGTGCCTGTAATCCCAGCTACTCAGGAGGCTGAGGCAGGAGAATAGCTTGAGCCCAGGAGGCGGAGGTTGCAGTGAGCTGAGACTGAGCCATTGCACTCCAGCCTGGGCGACAGAGCGAGACTCCGTCTCAAAAAAAAAAAAAAAAAAAAAAAAAAAAAAAAAATCCTAACTGAAACCCACTGTAAACATTAGGGACAAAACAAGAATTTCTACCATCACTGTTATTACTTAGCCTAATTCCAAACATTCTCTAGCCCACACATTAAGAAAAATAAGAGACATAAAATACTGGAAAGAAACAATCAAAATAATTTTTTGCAACACAACAGCATGTTTATAAAACCCAATAGCATCAACTGAAACATTACTAAATTAATAAGAATTCAATAAAGTGGCAAAGAAGTTAGCACATGAAAGTCAATAGTAAAAAAGAAAAGTCAATATTCTTCCTTTCTTATACAAGCAATAACCAATTAGACAAACTTAACAGACAGCCAGGTGTGGTGGCTCATCACATCTGTAATCCCAGCAGTTTTCAAGGCTGAGGTAGGCAGATCATTTGAGGTCAGGAGTTTGCGACCAGCCTGACCAGCAAGGTGAAACCCTGTCTCTACTAAAAATACAAAAAATTAGGTGGGTATGGTGGCAGGTGCCTCTAATCCCAGCTACCCAGGAGGCTGAGGCAGGAGAATCACTTGGACCTGGGGGGCAGAGGTTGCAGTGAGCCAAGACTGCACCACTGTACTCCAGCCTGGGCGACACAGTGAGACTCTGTCTCAAAAACAAACAAACAAACAAAAAAAACCTAACAGAGAAACAATACCTTTCAAAATAGCAACAAAAATACATTTCTAGGGATAAAATTAATATAATTAAGCAGAAAACTATTAAACTTTACTGAAGAACAGATGTGATTTCATTTTCTTTCATTGATTCGATTTTTTTTTTTTTTTTTAATGAGACAAGGTATCATTCTGTTTTCCAGGATGGACTGCAGGGGCTCAATCACAGCTGACTGCAGCCTCGACCTCTTGGGCTCAAGCAAGCCACCTCAGCCTCCTAAGTAGCTGGGACTAAAGGTGTGAGCCACTGTGCCTGGCCCTATTTCCTCAAAATAAAACAAAATCAGCCAGCTGCAGTGGCTCACGCCTGTAATCCCAACACTTTGGGAAGCTGAGGCGGGTGGATCACTTGAGGTCAGGAGTTCGAGAACAGCCTGGTCAACATGGTGAAACCCTGTCTCTACTAAAAATATAAAAATTAGCTGGGTGTGGTGGCGGATGCCTGTAATCCCTGGTACTCAGGAGGCTGAAGCAAGAGAATCGCTTGAACCTGGGAGAGGGAGGTTGCAGTGAGCCAAGACTGTGCCACTGCACTCCGGCCTGGGCTTCAGAGCGAGACTCCCTCTCTAAATAAATAAATACATAAAATAAAATAAAACAAAATCACACTGTGAAGCTTCACTGATTATTAAAAATATCACACGGACACACAAGTCAGATTTGAAATGGAATTGCCCTAATTCAGTCTGCTGAACCACTTCTGCAGTACCTGTGTTTCTCTCAAATATGGAAGGGAAAAAATACAACAGAAAGCCCCTCAAACGTTCTCATTTTCATATGACTGACATTTGTAGCGTCTCTTTTAGGCTAAAATGACATGGTTGGAAGCCTGTGCCGAATGGCAGTTGGCCATGTCCACAACATGTGAATATTTTCATTTGCTTTAATGTGGAATTCAGAACATGACCCAGTTGAATCCTTAAAAATGCCTATAAAATTCCTAAGTTTCTCCAAGAGACTCTTCCTTTAAAATGCTTGCATTCTTGGCCGGACGCAGTGGCTCACACCTGTAATCCCAGCACTTTGGGAGGTTGAGGCAGGCGGATCATCTGAGGTCAGGACTTCAAGACCAGCCTGGCCAACATGGTGAAACCCTGTCTCTGCTAATAAAAATTAGCTGGGTGTGGTGACACATGCCTGTAATCCCAGCTACTTGTGAAACTGAAGCAGGAGAATCACTTGAACCCAGGAGGCAGAGGTTGCAGTGAGCTGAGATCATGCCATTGGACTCCAGCCTGGGCAACAAGAGTGAAACTCCATCTCAAAAAAAAAAAATGCTTACATTCTTGTAGCCCAGCACCATGCAACAGACAAATTAAATCGTAAAGAAACTTCTACAATAGCAACAGACATTTCCAGACACGTGGATTGTTTTGAGTCCCACAGACCAGTGGCAAGTCACATCTATTTTTGCATTTATATATACACACATATATTTTAAATAAAAATAGAGATGGGGCTGGGTGTGGTGGCTCACATCTATGATCTCAGCACTTTTGCTGGAGGTGGAAGCAGGAAGATCGCTTATGGCCAGGAGTTCAAGACCAGCCTGGGCATCATAGTGAGGAGAACCCATCTCTTAAAAAAGAAAAAAAAAAGAGAGAGAGAGAAAGAGATGACTGCGTGGTGGTTGACACCTGTAATCCCAGTACTTTGGAAGGCCAAGGTGGGCAGATCACCTGAGGTCAGGAGTTCAAGACCAGCCTGGCCAGGATGGTGAAAATCTGTCTCTACTAAAAATACAAAAATTAGCCTGGCGCAGTGGCTCACACCTCTAATCCCAGCACTCTGAGAGGCCGAGGCAGGTGGATCATGATGTCAGGAGTTCAAGACCAGCCTGGCCAGGATGGTGAAACCCTGTCTCTACTAAAAATACCAAAATTAGCCAGCATGGTGGTGGGTGCCTGAAACCCCAGCTACTCAGGAGGCTGAGGCAGAGAATTGCTTGAACCTGGGAGGTGGAGTTTGCAGTGAGCCGAGATCACGCCACTGTACTCCAGCCTGGGCGACAGAGCGAGGCTTCATCTCAAAAAATATACATATATACACACAAAAATTAGTTGGCCATGGTGGTGCATGCCTGTAGTCCCAGCTGCTCAGGAGGCTGAGGAAGGAGAATCACTTGAACCCAGAAGGTGGAGGTTACAGTGAGCTGAGATCGCACCATTGCACTCCAGCCTGGGCAACACAGTGAGACTGTGTCTCAAAAAAAAAAAAAAAAAAGAGAGAGAGAGAGAGGGAAGGCCTCATTCTGTTGCCCAGGCTGGTCTCCAACTCCTGGCCTCAAGCTGTCCTCTTGCCTCAGCCTCCCAAAGTGCTAAGATTATAGGCGTGAGCCATTGCATCTGGGCATAAGTCTCACGTAAAAGTTCAGGCAGGCTGTGGCAGTGTGGCATAAAGCTGCAATTCCTGGATTGTTTTCATTGCTTTCTACCCAGAACATAAACTTTCCGGTAAACTTGAGTCCTGAAACACTCAGAATACCAACTTCCCTTCTCCAGTTCCAAAATAAACCCCAAACTCACAGGATTTAAACAAGGCAGCAGTAAAAAAGGCCTCTATTTATGTCAAACAACTCACCGTCTCTGAGAATGAAGGTCAAGTGCTTCCAAAGTATTAACCAATTGCTTTTAAAAGTAGTAGTTGGCTGGGAGCGGTGGCTCACACCTGTAATCCCAGCACTTTGGGAGGCCAAGGCGGGTGGATCGAGTTCGAGACCAGCCTGGCCAACATAGTGAAACCCCATCTCTACTAAAAACACAAATTAGCCAGGCATGATGGCAGGTGCCTGTAATCCCACCTACTCAGGAGGCTGAGGCAGGAGAATCACTTGAACCTGGGAGGTGGAGGTTGCAGTGAGCTGAGATGGCCATCACTGCCCTCCAGCCTGGGCAACAAGAGCGAAACTCCAGCTCAAAAAAAAAAAAAAAGAAAGAAAGAAAGAAAAAAAAAAGTAACAGTCAAAATGTCATAAGATGTTTTCTTTTCTAAACTAAAAGTAGTCCAAGATGAGCCAACTAAGAGGATTATCATGGAAAGTAAAATAAGCCAGGCACAGTGGCTCATGCCTATAATCCCAGCATTTTGGAAGGCTGAGGCAGGAGGACTGCTTGAACCCAGGAGTTTGAGACCAGCCTGGGCAACAGTGGGAAACTCTGTCTCTATGAAAAATACAAAAATTGGCCGGGCATGGTGGCTCACGCCTATAATCCCAGCACTTTGGAAGGCCAAGGCAGGTGGATCACCTGTGGTCAGGAGTTCGAGACCCACCTGACCAACATGGAGAAACCCCGTCTCTATTAAAAATACATAATTAGCCAGGCATGGTGGCACATGCCTGTAATCCCAGCTACTCGGAAGGCTGAGGCAGGAGAATCGCTTGAACCCGGGAGGTGGAGGTTGCGGTGAGCCGAGATCATGCCATTGCACTCCAGCCTGGGCAACAAGAGCTAAACTCCATCTCAATAAAAAAGAAAGAAAAATGCAACAATTAGCCAGGCACGGTGGCACACGCCTGTAGTACCAGCTACTCAGGAGGCTGAAGTGGGAGCATCAACTGAGCCCAGGAGGCAGGGGTTGCAGTGAGCCAAGATCATGCCACTGCATGCCAGCCTGGGTGAAACAGTGAGACTCGGTCTCAAAATAATAAAGAAAAAGGAAAAAAAAGAACACAAAATATTTCTTCGAAGCAATTTTCGCAATGCTAGGATTAATTCCTATAACCAATGCCTGGGCTGCATGATGCAATCTTGGGCCACCCTGCACCTCATCCCCTTTCCCCTCCTTGATGGAATTTGGAGGTGACTGGTTAAAAACTCAAATTGATGGAGTTGAAGAGGGAAGGAAGAGGAGGGTATTCCAGGCACAGGACGGTCTCCCGGCCCCAGCCTCCGGGCACGGTATCTCCTGTGTTCTCCATTGAAGCACCCCTTCCACTTCCCACTTGAATCCCCCACTGACCCAAGGGCCCCGCAGGCAGTGCTTGTGGCACCTCTGGCACCCAGCACAGTGCCAGGCACAGGTGGGCTTATGAGGATCTGCCAAATGGGAGAGGAGTCCAGATACCCAGGAATGTGGCAGGGGGACACACAAGCAAAGACTCTGGTTATTCAAATATTTAAGGGGAGTGAATTGACATCTTTGATTTCCTTTGAAATTGCATCACAAATAAGACAGATTGATATTAGCCATTACTTTCGTTCTCTTTTTTTTTTTTTTTTTTTTGAGACAGTTTCACTGTTGCCCAGGCTGGAGTGCAGTGGCACAATCTCAGCTCACTGCATCCTCTGCCTCCTGGGTTCAAGCGCCTCTCTCGTGCCTCAGCCTCTCGAGTAACTGGGATTACAGTCATATGCCACTATGCCCAGCTAATTTTTTTTTTTTTAGATGGGATCTCACTCTGTCGCCCAGGCTGGAGGGCAGTGGCGTGATCTCGGCTCCCTGCAACCTCCACCTCTACCTCCCGGGTTTGAACGATTCACCTGCCTCAGCCTCTGAAGTAACTGGGATTACAGGTGTGCACCACCACGTCCAGCTAATTTCTGTACGTTTGGTAGAGACAGGGGTTTTACCATTTTAGCCAGGCTGGTCTTCAACTCCTGAGCTCAAGTGAGCCGCCTGCTTCAGCCTCCCAAAGTGCTGGGATTACAGGCGTGAGCCACTGTGCCCAGCCTTTAGCCATTACTTTCAATGGCAAAAACTGCAATTACCTTCAAACCAACCTAACAGACACAAGAATGCACAGATGGACAAATATGTCAGGAAGCAATGCTGGCAGTATGTTCTCGGAAGAAGTGAGTACACAGGGGTTTGCTATAAAATTCTTAAAATTTTTTGAAAAGTTTGGAAATTTTCATAATCAAATGTTAGAGAAAAAACTTTAGCTATTCTTCCAAAGACATAACCTAAACTGGATACATGACTTAAGAAACAAATACACTATTAATAAAAGAGGATGTAAGTTTTAAATTTGAAAGCATATCCACTACAGACCCTTTGACTTGGCCTCTCAGGGAAGGCCCTCCTGGGTTTCCAACCTGCCTTGTCCAAGACCCAGGAGGAGCTTCAGAAGCCATCAAAGGCAACAACAAAAATATGGCAGGAATAAACATATCAATTATGCATGTAGCTGGCTGAGAAGGGCCTCAGGGTCACTCTGTAGATATCAACTGACTCTGCCTGTTGAGCCTAAGGCCATTGCAAGGGATACATATTTTCTCTATATCCATTTTTTTGCTTTTTTTTTTGGAGACAGGGTCTCATTCTGTTGCCCAGGCTGGAGTGCAGTTGTATGATCACAACTCACTGCAGCCTCCAATTCCTGGGCTCAAGCGATCCTCTTGCCTCAGCCTCCCAAGTAACTGGGACTACAGGCATGCGCCACTGCAAATGGCCTATTTCCATTTTAAACACTGAGTCCAGTGCCCATGGCTTTGAGATTTACCTTGAGGATGACTGAAAAGTCGATGTCTTTCGTTTCCTTCAGGCCAAGAGGAATCAGGGGAACCGTAAATGCCTCCCTATGAGGAACACAACAAGGTATGTATGAACACCCCCAACCGGACCCTTGTGCATGCCACAGCCTTGCCCTCAGCAGCCCAGCTCAGGTGTGTGCCCCCTCCTTGCCCCATCCAGTACTCACCTGGCTGACAGGCTCATTTTCCATAAGGATGACTCTAGTCATGCCCCACCCTCTGCTCTAAAACTGACCCTGCTCCCTAAGACTGCTGGACCACCCTGCCTAACACATCAGGCCCCTGGCATCTTGACACTGATTTATCTCCCGGTTTCAATGCCTAAATGGTTCCTTTCTTATTTTATTTTTTTTTGAGAGACTCTTGTTCTGTCGCCCAGGCTGGAGTGCAATGGCGCAATCTCAGCTCACTGTAGCCTCCGCCTCTCAGGTTCAAGCAATTCTCCTGCCTCAGCCCCCTGAGTAACTGGGATTACAGGCACAGGACACCACACCCAGCTAATTTTTGTATATTTTTTTAGTAGCAATGGGGTTTCACCATGTTGACCACGTTGGCCAGGCTGGTCTTCTGACCTCAAGTGATTCGTCCACCTTGGCTTCCCAATGTGCTGGGATGATGGATACAAGCCTCTGTGCCCAGCTCAATCTCAATGCTTCTTTTGGCAGCTGTGCTGAGAGTCTATTGTGTGCCAGGGCCTGTGCATGGTGCACTTGCTGCTCCCACCTGGGTGCACCACCCTGCTGCCCTGCGCCTCCTTTGTCAGCTCCTCACCCCCTCCTCCTCTGCTCCCCTCAGCGGGCCCCACAGCTGTGGCAGCTCTCCAACACCCTCACATTCACAACTCTGGGTTCGTAGGGGCCTCTTCTTTGGGAAGTGTCTAGGCGTCCCACCACCAGCACAGAAGATGCCATCAGGGCAGGAGCCCCATCCGACACCGAAGTGCACCTGCCTCCCAGCCCAGGGTCAGACACCCTCCACCTCCTCTCCCCCAGCTGACCACTCTGTAACCACAGGTCGCCTGGGGAGTGCTCCCTGAGCCTACATTCCTAGGGGCAGGGACAGCAGGAAGTGAACGGAGCTCAGGCTGTGTTTTGCAAACAGGGATTCAGCTCCCTGACCTGTAACAGGAGACCTCCTTGGGCTGCTCAGCCCAGCCCCACAAGAAGGCCAGGAAGGCTGGGCAGGGCGAGGGGACAATGCAGCTGTAAGCTGAACCTGGCTCTGCAGCACAGCCATGCTACGGCCAGGTGAGACCCATCCTGGGGGCATGGAAAGCCGAATTCTGCTGAAGGCTCCTCCAGGCTACGCAGGGTGGGAAGCCAGGTTTGTGGCTGTCCAGGCAACAACAAGAGGAGGAGCGACTGTCCTGAGTCCCAACTCCAGGGCACCCCAGCCCCAGTGTGGCACTGACAGCACCCTCTAGGTGCCCTCCGGCTTCCCTGAGTTTTCCCATGAGGGAGGGAAATAACCTCATGCACCATGAGGGAGGGAAATAACCTCATGCACCATGAGGTTATTTCTTTCCCGCCTACCTCCTAGAAGACTGTAAAGATCAACCATGCTAAGAAAGAAACAGTCTACCTTGAAAAAAGAATAGTGCAGGCCAGGCGCAGTGGCTCACGCCTATAATCCCATCACTTTAGGTGGCTGAAACAGGCAGATCACGTGAGGTCAGGAGTTCAAGACCAACCTGGCCAACATGGTAAAACCCCGTCTCTACTAAAAATACAAAAACTACCTGGGCATGGTGGTGTGCGCCTGTAATCCCAGCTACTCAGGAGGCTGAGGCAAGAGAATCACTTCAACCAGGAGGTGGAGGTAGCAGTGAGCCAAGATTACACCACTGCACTCCATGCCTGGGTGACAGAGCAAGACTCCGTCTCAGAAAAAAAAAAAAAAAAAAAAAAAAAAAAAAAAAGATCAACCATACTAAGAAAGAAACAATCTACTTTGAAAACAGGGCCGGGCATGGTGGCTCACGCCCATAATCCCAGCACTTTGGGAGGCCGAGGCAGGCGGATCACGAGGTCAGGAGATTGAGACCATCCTGGCTAATGGTGAAACCCCGTCTCTACTAAAAATACAAAAAATTAGCCGGGCAAGGTGGCGGGCGCCTTTAGTCCCAGCTACTCGGGAGGCTGAGGCAGGAGGATGGTGTGAACCCGGTAGGCGGAGCTTGCAGTGAGCTGAGATCACGCCACTGCACTCCTGCCTGGGTGACAGAGCAAGACTCCGTCTCAAAAAAAAAGAAAAAGAAAAAAAAAGAAAACAGAAAAGCGCAGGACCCAAATGCATGGTGCCGTGTTGAATCTGCACAGCTCTCCCTCTTCCCAGTGACACAGGGCAGTGACTGGCCACTCTAGAGCCCAGGGACCACTCCAGAGATCTTCGGTTCACTCTGTGGGAAGCCCTGTGTTGCACATCCCCACTCTTCGGCACAGCAAATGAGAGTGTGGGACAGCCGACATTTATTACCAAACCTTGGCCCCATCTCGCCTCCTCCAGAACTTGAACCTTTTGGACAAACACTGTAATTGAACACCAGAGCATAGGCTGGGAGAACCTTCCATTAGCTGTCACACTGACTGGGTGTTCAAAACTGCACAGTAGGCCAGGTGTGGTGGCTCACGCCTGTAAACCTAGCACTTTGGGAGGCTGAGGCCGGCAGATCACAAGGTCAGGAGCTCGAGACCAGCCTGGCCAACATGGTGAAACCCCATCTCTACTAAAAATACAAAAAATTAGCTGGGCATGGTGGCATGCGCCTGTAGTCCCAGCTACTCAGGAGGCTGAGGCAGGAGGATTGCTTGAACCTGGGAGGCGGAGGTTGTGGTGAGCCGAGATCATGCCACTGTACTCCAGCCTGGGTAACAGAGAGAGACTCCATCTCAAAAAACAAACAAACAAACAAACAATAAAAACCGTACAGGAGCCCACAGGTAAGCCAGGCACGGGGTATCACAAAGGGAAGAGCCAGCGAGCTTTCACACACTGACACTTCCCCTCCAGCTCTGAAACCACCCTGGTGCCCTGTGGAGGACCAGCACCAGGAAACACACATTCCATAGGTGACTTAAGGTTCCCAAATCCAGGGAGCTATTTTCCGACTGAGTTTACCCTGGGGCCCACCTACTTTTTGAGAAGTCTCATGCCCCTACTAAAAAAGCACGTAAACCCTTCTTTGAACTGTCTCAAAGTTATTTCTCCTTAAAAAGAAGCATTTCACTTAGGGTTTTGTTTTGTTTTTGTGTTTTTTGAGACAGGACTTCTTTCTGTTGCCATTACTGCAGTCTCGACCTCCCTGGCTCAAGTGATCTTCCCACCTCAGCCTTCTGAGTAGCTGGGACTACAGGTGTACACCACCATGCCCGGCTAATTTTCCTATTTTTTGTAGAGATGGGGTTTCACTATGTTGCCCAGGCTGGCCTTGAACTCCTGGGCTCAAGCAATCCCCCATCTCAGCCTCCTGAAGAGCTGGATTACAGACATGAGGCAAGAGGGGCATTTCTTTCATAGTTAGATCTCCATTTTTGGAGATGCATTGCAATTCTGAGGGATGGTGTTGTTGGCTTTCATCTTGCAGAAATCAATTCCAAAATTGAGTTATGGAGAATGATACGATAGAGTGCCTTCAAAACTGACCTAGGAGCCAGGCACAGTGGCTCACATCTGTAATCCCAGCACTTTGGGAGGCCAAGGCGGGCAGATTACTTGAGACCAGGAGTTCAAGACCAGCCTGGCCAACATGATGAAACCCTGTCTCTACTAAAAAAAAAAAAAAAAAAAAAAAAATTAGCCAGGTGTGATGGTGCACGCCTGTAATCCCAGCTACTCAGGTGGCTGAGGCACAAGAATCGCTTGAACCCAGAAGGTGGAGATTGCAGTGAGCTGAGATCTCGCCACTGCACTCCCACCTGGGTGAGAGAGGGAGACTCTGTGTCAAAAAAAAAAACAGGAAATACAACCTTAAAAGGAGACTGGTGTGTTACTTTGTTTTAATTTGGATTTTTCTGTTTCAGTTTGTCACCTCCAGCTAGGAAACAGACTGCAGTCCAGCATCTAAGTACAGTGCACAGAATCTCTGTGTGTGCATAGTGGCCTCCCCTTACAGGGTCAATTTTGGCCTTTGGCCTTAATCCCGAAGTATTTGTGTATGCTTTCTGTTCCTTGGCAAATAAATGAGAAAATAATTAGCCAACATTGGAAAGGTATTGTCCTAACAATGTCCCTTTAATGTTTCTTAGGAAAATTATGATGACCCACTAAAATATCCTTGCTCAATGTCTGTTCAGTTGAATTTAATAACATATCTTGCTAATGTTTGCATGTCTATGAAATGTGACTACGCGGAATTACTGAAACTTAACTATAAAATCCAAGGCATCTAACTTTTAAACTTATCTTGGTTCATCACGTATATTTACACTAGATTTTATACTGTCTTCATTTGTTTTTTTTTGTCTGTTTGTTTTGAGACAGAGTCTTGCTCTGTCAGCCGGGCTGGAGTACAGTAGTGTGATCTCGGCTCACTGAAACGTCCAACTCCCGGGTTCAAGCAATTCTGCCTCAGCCTCTGAGAAGCCAGGATTACAAGTGTGCACCACCACATCTGGCTATTTTTATTTTTAGTAGAGACGGGGTTTCATCATGTTGGCCAGACTGGTCTCGAACTCCTGACCTCAGGTGATCCACCCGCCTCAGCCTCCCAAAGTGTTGGGATTACAGGAGTGAGCCACTGTGCCTGGCCTCACAAATGCCTTTTTGTCACTGCAGATATTTCCCAACACTACAGATATTTCCCAACACTGCAGATATTTCCCAAGAAATGGGCTCATCCCTTCCAGTCTAGCACCTCACTCAACCCCAAACCTGATGGTTCTCTCACTTCCCAAAGCTGGGGCTGCCACACCCCAGTCTAGAACCCTATCTGCCCTGTTTGTGCAGATAGGGTTCGTACCCAGGTACCTCTTCATACCCTGGATATATGAAGGATCTCTGGCTCAGAGGCTTCTGGAAGGTGTGCTGCTCCCACTTACTCTGTGTTCTGATAGATGCCCACTGAGATGTTCAGCCCCTCCAGCTCTTCCTTGAGCATCTGCAGGTCTGAGTTGACCAAGCTCAGCTCCAGCCGCACTTGTTCCCGCACCTTTGGGTTCGCGGCCACTCTGTTCAAAGAGAAGAGGGAGAGAAGTGCCCTCAGCCAGGTATCCCGGCTTCTGGGTGAGCAGAACCAATCCCCAGTCCCTGCAGGGAGGATCAGGGCACGGCTTGCAGAGGAGGGCCAGGAGTGTTGGGTAAGGTATCCCAGGGACACGGAGCACCTGCCCAGCTTGCAGTACACCTGCCAGTACGTGGAGCTGCGGACACAGGCAATGACACTGTGAGCTGCAGACATGAACTCTATGACATCCTGCAAAAACTCCACCTTGAGAACAGAAAACAAAACTGCTCCCAGCCATGCCCTAAAATACCATAAGATATCCACTTGAAAAGAAATGAATGATTCTGGTTGGGCGTGGTGGCCCACGTCTGTAATCCCAGCACTTTGGGAGGCCGAGGCAGGTGGATCAGCTGAAGTCAGGAGTTCGAGACCAGCCTGGCCAACATATAGTGAAACTCTGTCTCTACTGAAAAATACAAAAACTAGCTGGGTGTGGTGGTGCACACCTGTAGTCCCAGCTATGCAGAAGGCTGAGGCTTGAACCTGGGAGATAGGGGTTGCAGTGAGCTGAGATTGTGCCACTGCACTCCAGCCTGGGCAACAGAGCAAGGCTCCCTCTCAAAAAAAAAAAAAAAAAAAAAAAGAAATGAATGATTCCTTTCGGTAGGAGAAATCCAAATAAATAAATAAATAAACATAAAATTTGTTTTAAAAAAAGAAAGAAATGGATGGTTAGCTGGGCATGGTGATGCATGGCTATAGTCCCAGGCAGGAGGATCGCTTGAGTCCAGGAGGTTGATACTGCAGTGAGCTATGATCACACCACCGCAATCCAGCCTGGGTGACAGGGCAAGACACTGTCTCTAAAAACTAAAATAAGATAAAATGAAATAAAATATAAATATATATATATATATATATATATATATGATAAAAAGTAAAATAAAATAAATGAATGAGAAAATGAAGGCAGAGGTAATGCTTCCTAATTCATTCTGTAAGACTAGTATTAGCAACCCAAGCCTAGCAACATATAAATAGGATTATACACCATAACAAAGTGGGATTTATCCCAGAAATGCAAGGTTGGTTTAACATCTGAAAATCAATATAATATAATATATTATATTAACAGAATAAAGGACAAAAAACACATGGTGACTTCAACAGATATTGAAAAAACTATGTGACAAAATCCATCACAGATTCATAATAAAAATTCTCAACAAAGTAGGAATAAAAGAGAATTTATGAAATCTGATAAAAGACACCTACAAAAACCCACAGTTAACATCACACTTAGTGGTGAATGACTGCTTTCCTCTTCTCACCACGAACAAGGCAAAGATGCCCACTTTTGCTATTTCTAATCAATGAGGCAAATAAAGAAATTAAAGGCATCCAGATTAGAAAGGAAGAAATAAAACTGTCTTTATTTACAGATGGCATTATCTTATATATAGAAAATCCTAAGGCATCCATAAAACAAATATTAGTACTAATAAATTTAGCAAGGTCACAGGGTATAATCAATATACAAAAATCAATTCTTTTTTTTTTTTTTCTCTAGACAGGGTATCACTCTGTCAGCCAGGCTGGAGTGTAATGTCACCATTATGGCTTACTACAGCCTCAACCTCCCAGGCTGAAGCCATCCTGCAGCCTCAGCCTCCCAAGGAGCTGGGACTACAGGTGCACACCACCACACTGGCTGATTTTTGTATTTTTTTGTAGAGATGGACTCTCACTATGTTGCCCAGGCTGGCCCAGAAATCCTGGGCTCAAGCAATCTTCCTGCCTCAGCCTCCCAAAGTGCTGAGATTACAGGCATGAGCCACTGTGCCTGGCCAATTCGATTTCTATATACTAGCAATGAACAATCTTGAAATTGAGAAAACCATTCCATTCACAATAGCATCAAAAAGAATAAAATACTCAGGAATAAACAAAAGAATCACAAGACATGTAAACTGAAAACTACAAAACAATGCTGAGATATATTAAAAGAAGAGCTATTCCATGTTTACGGATGGGAAGGCTCATTATTGTCAAGATGTCAAGCCTCCTTAGTTGGTACATTCATTCAATGCAACCTCAATCAAAATCCCACTAACCTTTTTAATAAAAATCAGCAAGCTGATCTTAAAATTCATATGGAAATGCAAAAAAAAAAAAAACCTACAGTAGGCAAAATAATTTTGAAAAATAAGAACAGAGTTGGAAGACATATTGATTTTAAAATTTACTAAGAAGCTGGGCTGGGCATGGTGGCTCACGTCTGTAATCCTAGCACTTTGGGAGGCTGAGGTGGGTAGATCACCTGAGGTCAGTAGTTTGAGACCAGCCTGGTCAACACAGTGAAACCCCATCTCTACTAAAAATACAAAAAATGAGCCAGGCATGGTGGTAGATGCCTATAATCCCAGCTACTCGCGAGCCTGATGCAGGAGAATCACTTGAACCCGGAAGGCAGAGGCTGCAATGAGCCAAGATTGTACCATTGCACACCAGCATGGGCAACAAGAGCAAAACTCCATCCCAAAAAAATAATAAAAAATAAACAATAAACTTACTAAGAAGCCATAGTCATCAAGATAGCATGGTACTGACATAAAGATAGGCAATGAAACAGAGTAAGAGTCCAGGAATAGGTTGGGTGTGGTAGCTCACACCTGTAATCCCAGCACTTTGGGAGGCCAAGACAGACGGGTCATGAAGTCAGGAGATCGAGACCATCCTGGCTGACACGGTGAAACCCCGTCTCTACTAAAAATACAAAAAAAAATTTGTATTTTTAGTAGAGCGTGGTGGCGGGCATGGTGGTGAGCACCTGTAGTCTCAGCTACTCAAGAGGCTGAGGCACAAGAATGGCGTGAACCTAGGAGGCGGAGCTTGCAGTGAGCTGAGATCGCACCACTGCACTCCAGCCTGGGTGACAGAGCGAGACTCCGTCTCAGGAAAAAAAAAAAAAAAAAAGAGTCCAGGAATAAATGTTTACATTTATGTAGCAAATCTTTACAACTGATTTGAACAAAAGTGCCAAATCAATTCAATGTGGAAAAGATTATTGTTTCAACAAATAGCGCTAAAGCAGGCAGACATCCATAGGTATGTCAGGGTCCCTAAAACCACCCCCAAGTTCAGTGTTAATCTAGGAGGACTTGCAAAAGTCATGGCTGTGGTTTACTACAGCAAAAGACACAAAGCATAATGAGCAAAGGGAAAGGCATATGGGGTGAAATTGGGAGGAGGCCCGGCCCAGGCTTCTAGGGGTCCTCTCCCAGTGGAATCCCACAGACCATGCTTAACTCCCCCATCAAGGAGTTGTGACAACACACGTAAAATGCCAAGAAAGCCCCCAGAAAGTTCCAATCAGGACTCAGGTCCCACTGGGAGGTCCCTCCCTAGCTGACTTCTTGGGCTCCCTCCCAAAGTGGGCAGAAGGGTCTGGGTGAGGGACCCGAGCCTGGTTTTCACTTCCCTAAGCCCGAGGGTCCTCTTCCTGGCACAAGGCCTTGAGGAGGCTTGGGAAGCCAGCCTTCAGGTCCCGCTGTTTTGTTATTTTGCTAAAGCATGTCCCGTCTGTAAGTTTGCCCCCTCGGGTCACTTTCTTCACCTTATCAGCAGGGCCCATGATTCCTTCTGCTTTCCAACAAGACGCCAGAGCATATTTTTAGACCAATGAAGTCGGTGGGACAGTGGGTGGGACCCAGAGAGTGACGGACAGTGAGTCGGCCTGGAGGGTGGGAAGGCGAAGTGAGTTCCCCTCCTGGGACGGGGCTGGGAGGGGACATGGAATGGTCTGTCAGCTATGAGTTTGTGGAAGGCAGAGTCAGTGACTTTCAGCTGACCTGCCTCGGTCTGGAAGATTCCAGTAGAGAAAGGGAGGGCCAGGGGCCTGGAGGCTGGTTCCAGGTCTGGGTGCTGGGCCTGAGAGCATTTCCAAAGCACTGAGCCTGGGACTGAAGGTAATTCACCATGAGGGTTCAGCTGGGGAGGACTGTCTGTGTGCTTCCCCCACCTCCCAGTCCCTCAACTCACCCCCAGTCCCCCTACCTGCCTTAACTCAGGAAAAAGGCCTCCCTCGTGAGCACTGGCAGCTGCCTTTGGAGGCATGTCACGGTCACACCCCAGGACACAACGCAGAATCTCAGGCTGGCAGGGGACATTTGAGATCAGCCAGCCCAGCCTCTCATTTTACAGCTGGGAATGGGTGCACAACGGCCATGGCTGCCCAAGGTCACAGAGCCCGGGAGGGAGCAGCAGGCACAGTGGAAAAAGTAAGGTCACGTGAGCCAGGTCTGGGCACCGGGTCCAGGCCTGCCACTCCCCCGCATGTGGCTCAGGTCGATGGCTCAGACTCTCAGCCTCAGGTCCACAGCTGAAGCAGTAGAGGAACAGCTGTTCGAGGGGCTGCCTGGGGAGGAGCGGGGCTGGGTGCCCTGTGCGCACAGCAGACACTTCATCAGCCACTCAAGTAGGCAGCCGAGCCAGGAGGGCCCTCTGGGCACCTGGGCCTCTCCGTAGGAAAAGGAGCAGGGACCCACTATCCTTTGGGTCAACAACGGCCTTAAGCAATGGGCTCGAAAATCCCTGGTTAGTGACCACCTTCTGTTGCTAGGCAAGATGGGGACAAAGATGGGGTCCAGTTCTCCAGTTGTTAAACATCTGTCTCATCAAGAAGATGGGACAGCACATGGAAAATAAATTTCTATGGTTATAATAACTGTCCCAGATTCTCTGTGCAGTAATGGCAGACCCGCTTTCCCTCTGAAAACAAGCAAGAATTTTGGATAAGACAATAACAAAATTACGTTAAAAGCATCAAAGGGCTGCTAAGCTAGTGGGAAACCTCCAGGCCAAGTTTCAGGGGAAAACCAAGAACCTAGAGAGGAGCGCTGGGGCCACTGTTGCTTGTGAGCATTTGCCAACCTGACAAGTTGGGCTTCGACCTTGGAGGGAGTAGGGGGGTAGACAGAGGTCAAGGTATGAGGAGGCTGATAGGGGATTCACCCCCATATCAAGCTGGGAGCCTGAAAGGCCTCACCTGGGTGAAGACAGAAGCAGAGATAACCCTGGTCCCTGCCCCAAAACAAGGAATTCATTAGCATTAAAAGGAGTGGGAGGAAAAAAGGAAAGGAAACTCACAGATTCAACCACAAAGAGCCTTGGATCTCCGGCGGACTTGGACCCCTCACCCATCACACCTGGGAGGCCCAGGGATGGTGGGGCTTCTGTGCACTTGGTTCCAGGTGGTCTGGGCTGTCCATGTGAAAGCAAACACCATCCTTGTGAGAAGGAACCTCTGTCTTTGGCCTCACGGAAACCCCACAGACACCCTTCCAAGGGCCCCAAGAAGCACACAAAGATATCCAAGTCTGAAAGGGAAGAAGGCACCATGAGTAAGAACCAGCAGACAAGCTAGCAGACACCCGCACAGTCTCCCCATATTTTTATACAATTACCAAACAAGACACTATGGTACATTTCAAACCATAATAGGAGAGATGGCCCATGTTCGGTGGCCAAGCATAGCACAGAGCTCCTCACTCCTCCAGGAATTCCACTGAAGGGTGGCAAGTTCTGGAGTTCAAGCCACTGGGGAGGCAACAGGAGTGCAAGTGGCCACGGTTCAGGCGCTGATGGGCAGAGGTGGGGAGGGGGCGCTCCCAAGGAGTCCACTGGGAGATGCAGGCAGGGGGCTTCCCAGGCAGCCTCACCAGCTTCCCTTCACACTGATCCCCTGTAAACGTGTGTCCGGCCTCGACGTAGGAGGAACAGGGAGAAACTGATTTTCTATTCATAAAATGTGCGCCTCTCTGCGCCTGCGCTGGCGCTGTGCGCCTTTGCGAGGGCGGAGCTGCGTTCTCCTCAACACAGACCCGGATTGCATCGTGAGGGCGAGCTGAGTTCTCCTCTGCACAGACTTCAGAGATACAGCGAAGGCGGAGCAGTGTTCTCCTCAGCACAGACCCGGGCGGACGGGTGGGCCGGGGGCACCGCAAGGGCGGAGCTGCGTTCTGCTCAGCACAGACCCGGGGGACACAGCGAAGGCAGAGCAGCGTTCTCCTCAGCACAGACCTTGGGAGCACTGCATCGCTTTGGGCAGAATAGGTGAATGAATGAATGAATGAATGAGTGTAATCACATGCCCTCCCTTTCCCTGTTTATCAAGCCTGGCATCACTTTAGAATCTCTTGTTAGAATTTATGACACCTAGGCTTTACCTCAGAACCTGAGAGTGGCACTCAGGTATAAGCACGTGTTTCCAAGCTCCCCAGGTATTCCATAGCACAGCCAAGTTTGAGACAGTGGGGTCTAAGAACCATGTAGAACTAATGAGAATCCTGAAGTGTCTGTGATAAAGGTAATAAGCTTTTTGTAAGATTACAGAGGACATAGATTAAGTTGGAAAGCCTGAGTGTTGAGATTCCTAGGCTCAGGAATTTTAATTTAACCAAAGTTAAATGTCTTAACTTGCAAAGACATGAATCTGTAGATTCCAGATTAATGGCAGGTGTGAATTGTACAATAGAAACTGATCTAGCCTACATGTCTTCTTGGACTGGCAGACTATGTTAATCTTTTTATTTTATGACAAGTTCAACATTATTCCCTTTTGTACTGAATTTTAGATTACTGATTTTGGGCACTCCAAGATTTTGGGAGAGACCTCTCTCATGAGAACTTTATGTGGAACCCCCACCTGCTTGGCTCCTGAAGTTCTTGTTTCTGTTGGGACTGCTGGGTATAACCGTGCTGTGGACTGCTGGAGTTTAGGAGTTATTCTTTTTATCTGGTAAGAAATATTTTCATTGCTTCACAGACTGGTAGGAGGTGATTAGATGAAGTCACAAATGTGTCTTGCTCTGTTGTCCAGGCTGGCATGCAGTGGCTTGATCTTGGCTAACTGTAGCCTCTGCCTTCTGGGTCAAGTGATCCTCCCATCTCAGCCTCCTGAGTAGCTGGGACTACATGCGCACACCACCATGCCCAGCTAATTTTTCTATTTTTTGTAGTGATGGGGTTTTGCCATGTTGCTCACGCTGGTCTTGAACTCCTGGGCTCAAGTGATCCTCCTGCCTCGGCCTCCCAAAGTGCTGGGATTACAAGCATGAGCCATTGTGCCCAGCCTAGCTCACTTTTTGACCATTGATTTAAAGAAAAATCTGACTTTTCATTATGCTGAAAAAGAAATCTTTATATCTGAATGCCACTGAGAATGCCACTTGATTTCTTTTCCTTTCTCTCTCTACCAATATTAAGCCTTAGTGGGTATCCACCTTTCTCTGAGCACAGGACTCAAGTGTCACTGAAGGACCAGATCACCAGTGGAAAACACAACTTCATTCCTAAAGTCTGGGCAGAAGTCTCAGAGAAAGGTATGAATATGAAAGGGTTAAGAATTTGTGGTATGCTAAAATGTGTGTGTCCTGTGGTGGGAGTTTCTTTCCAAATTCCATGGTGTTTTCTCCTGTCAATTCTGTTCTTATTTTCTATCGTTAGTTTCACACCATTTGAGAGGCACTGGAAATTATTAAGAGCATGCACTCAGGTCCTGGGTCTGCTACTACTTAGCTGTGTGGCCTTAGGCAAGTTATTTAACCTCCGTCTCCAATTTCTTTCTGTGTAAAGGGACCCTCAATAATCCCTACCTTAAAAGGTTTTTTGAGGGTTAGGTATAATGTAAACAAGTGCCTTGTACCTATTTTACTGAGCAAAATAAATGCATTTGTAACTTTTTAGTTACAAGGTTTCCTTTGAGTAAGCAAGCGTGTAAAAACTATATGTCTTTAGTTACCTTGTATTTTATAATTTGTCCTGGCAACTTTAGTTCCCTGAAGAGAAAATAGAAAATTAAATGTCAAATAACATAACATAGGTAATTGTGTTAAATGTCAGAATATTTCAGGAATAATAATGTTGTGATATACAGGCCAGCATGCATTTGTTGCTTGCTGGAGTAGTCAAGTTTTATTTCTGACAAGTCTGCAGTTCCAGGGAGCCTCTCCCTGGCTGAGTAACTGTCACCCATCCATCTGTAGATGTCAGGGAGAGTTTGCTGTGCATCCCAATTATCTTAGAATTGGGTAGAAGTTTAGCTTTAATTAGTTTGACCTTGAGTCTAGCAACAAGAGAGGGAACAGGCAGCGAAGAGGTCGTGACTGATGTCCCAGCAACAGGAGACAGGGAGTGTCATTATCATTCCTGGTCTTCTCACAGTACTCTGAATACAGAGAGTGAGGAAGATTAGGGGGCCCTGTCTGCTGACTCCCTGACGATCTCAGACCCTCTCTGCTCTTTCTGGATGGTGGCCTGTTAATTCTGGCATACTGTTACTGATAATATATTTATCCTTTTCACTGTGATTTGCCCAATTGTTGCTTCAGCTCTGGACCTTGTCAAGAAGTTGTTGGTAGTGGATCCAAAGGCATGTTTTACAACAGAAGAAGCCTTAAGACACTGTGGCTTCAGGTGGGTGTGGGACAGTGCCTGCTAGCATAAAATACATGGGAAGCCCTGCTGCCTGAGAGACATGAGACAGAGGACAGAAACATGTTTACTTTGTTGAATGTGTTTAATTGTTTTAGATGTATGGGGGGTATCTTGGACAGGTTACAACCTGTTTTTTTTTTTTTTTTTTTTGAGACAGGTTATCATTCTGTCACCCTGGCTGGAGTGCAGTGGCACAATCTCAGCTCACTGCAACCTCTGCACCCTGGGTTCAAGTGATTCTCCTGCCTCAGCCTCCCAAGTAGCTGGGATTAAAGGTGCATGCTACCACGCCCAGCTACTTTTTGTATTTTTTGTAGAGATGGGGTTTCGCTGTGTTGGCCAGGCTACAACCTTTTTGATATTACTCATGGCTGTTGGATGTACAAGCTCACTTTATGTCCTGTTCTGGTTCCACTTGGCTGCCCCGAGTCTCCAGTTTGGCCTGTGTTCTTTTGAGGGCTTGTTCTGGCTCTACTCCCAGCCATGTCCACTGCTCTTCATAGGTGGGGTGCATTCTAGCCATCTTCAACCTTAAATCAGGGAAGTGGGGGAGGGGGAGGAGGGCAGCCTCCCTGGGGAGAATCCAGCTATTTCTCAAGCCCAAGTGACTCGGTATAAAGGGTCCCACTGCTTGTTCATTCAGGTGAGTAAATGTGTCCTTAGTGAAGGCTGTCACCTGCACCTTTCATCTGTGTTACTGCTGTACTCCTGCTAGGGGTTGGGGCTGCCATTATTAAATGCTGACCTCATTTGGAACTGCCAAGAGTTGGAAGTACGTTGTGGCTTTGCTGGGTTAATCTTTAGTTTTGGAATTAGCTACGGCATTGGGCAGGTTTTTCTGATAGATGTCTGGTCTTCTGTAACGAGCAGTTCCATTCAGTACAGCCATGCCCCTTTCTATTAATTTTCTTTTGGTCTGTGTATTAGTCTGTTCTCACACTGCTATAAAGAACTGCCCAAGACTTGGTAATTTATAAAGAAAAGAGGTTTACTTGACTCACAGCTCCACATGGCTGGGGAGGCCTCAGGAAACTTACAATCATGGTGGAAGGGGTAGAAGGCATGTCTTAATGGCAGCAGGTGAGAGAGCTTGTGAAGGAAGTGAAGGGCAAAGAGCCTCTTATGAAACTGTCAGATCTCATGAGAACTCACTATCATGAGAATAGCCTGGGGGAAACTGCCCCCATGAGCCAATCACCTCTCAACAGGTCCCCTTCTCAACACCTGGAGATTACAATTTGAGATGAGATTTGGGTAGGGACACAAAGCCAAACTGTATCAATCCGTTTTCTGTGGAGATGGGGGACAGAACTGGTAGCTTGAGCTAGAGGCTGTTACTTGAGCTAAATGCTGTTTCTCTGGGGATTACTGGTCCAGGAACTCCTTGGGCAATCCAGCCTCAGCCCCGTACTTCTGGAACTCTGGGAAGACTGTCCCCATTCTCTGTTCTAATCCTCTACACCTAACAGTTTTGCTCAGGCCAGCTCAGGTTGAGAACAACAAAAACTTAAAAAAAAAGACAGATATATATATATATATATGTGTTTTGGATGTTGCCCTGGAAACTATAGTCTCCCCAGAAGAAATCTGTCAGATGATTTAGCATTTAATAGACCACAGAGATTTGAAACAGCGGGACCCTGGAGGAAAGGGGTTTGGAAACAAAGGGTGCCTTTGCATGTGGGGATTTTAATTTTGATGAGAAAGAGAAACATGTCTTTTGGCTCTTTTCATGTGTCCTAATAGGGAAACTCTTGGGTCTAAATGTAGAGGTACAGGAGCTGTGTTCATCTCTAGCAAAAAAATAGAGCTGGCCTGTTGAGCCTGGGAACAGGGTTTGCATCTGCCTGAAATTTATGAGCAAGCGTAGCCTATTTTTCTTGTACTTCTTTGTCTCAAAGAAAACTTATTAACAACCAAGGAGAAGGTGAAGTTCAACTCCGTTGCAGGATCTCCCTGGAATACTCTTTTAGCCACCTTTTGTTTTTGCAGTAAAAGGAGGAATGAGCATTGAATGAAGACAAGGATGAAGACTGACCATCTAAAACATCTGTTAGTGATAGTTTGGGTTTTATTTTGGGGAAATTCAGTGCTTTTGCAAAAACCAAATGGTTTTGTGGGTCTGGCGCTGGACTGAGTGTTGGGAATGTGGATTCTGGTCTCTGTTTTGTCATTAACAGAGTGGCCAGTTTTGGGATCATCCCTTACATCTACTCTCTGCTTCATATTTACTGCCTGAAATAGAGGATTTCTTCTGTTTGCTTTCAAGGGATATTATAATTTAATTTTTATTTTATTTATTGTTGGAGACAAGGTCTTCTTCTGTTCCCTAAACTGGAGTGCACTGGTGCAATTATAGCTCACTGCAGCCTCGACCTCCTGGCCTTAAGGGATCCTCCCGCCTCAGCCTCATAAAGTGCTTGGATAATAGGCATGAGCCACTGTTCCTAGCTAATTTAATATTTTGGAATAATTGTAGACATCATGAAGAAAATCAATGTTTATTTATTTATTTCCTTTTTTGAGATGGAGTCTCGCTTTTGTCTACCAGGCTGGAGTGCAATGGTGTGATCTCAGCTCACTGCGACCTCCATCTCTGGGTTCAAGTGATTCTCCTGCATCAGCCTCCCAAGTAGCTGGGACTACAGGTGCCTGCCACCATGCCCAGCTCATTTTTGTATTTTTAGTAGAGATGGGGTTTCACCATGTTGGTCAGACTAGTCTCGAACTCCTGACCTCAGGTGATCCACCCACCTTGGCCTCCCACAGTGCTGGGATTCCAGGCATGAGCCACTGTGCCTGACCTGATGACTTGGTTTAAATATAGGCCTGATTAGGCTTGTGACCACTCTGTTTGGCTTCACTGAAGGGCTGCCAAGAGATGGACTTTTGAGAGTGACACTGCAAGATAATTGAGATCCTAAGTAAAGCCGTGAGAGGGTGGGGAGAGGAATCCAGATGAGCTTGCTGCTGTCAAATGGCAATGGGGAGCTACACTGAGAAACTCAAAACATGGTGAACTCAAGTGTTCTGCCCTGCCTTGGCCTCCCAAAGTGCTGGGATTACAGGTGTGAGCCACTGTGCCTGGTCCTTCTTTCTTTCTCTTTCTTCCTCCTTCCTTCCCCCTCCCCTCTCCTCCATTCCTTTTTCCTCCCCTCTTTCATCCCCCCTCCCTTTTTCCTTCCTTGCTTCTTTCCTTCCTTCCTTCCTCAGGGTCTTGCTGTCTCACATAGGCTGGAGTGCAGTGGCATGATCACTGCACCATGACTTTCAGGCTCAAGTGATCCTCCTGCCCCAGCCTCCCAAGTAGCTGAGACTACAGGTGCATGCCACCATGTCTGGCTAATTTAATTTTTTTTTTTTTTTTTGGAGACAGAGTCGTACTCTTTTGCCCAGGCTGGAGTGCAGTGGTGTGATCCTGTCTTACTGCAACCTCCGCCTCTCGAGTTCAAGTGATTCTCCTGCCTCAGCCTCCTGAGTAGCTGGGATTACAGGCATGCACTACCACGCCTGGCTAATTTTGTATTTTTAGTAGAGATGGGGTTTAACCATGTTAGCCAGGCTGATCTTAAACTTCCGACCTCAGGTGATTCACCCACCTTGGCCTCCCAAAGTGCTGGGATTACAGGCGTGAGCCTCCATGCCTGGCCTAATTTTTAAATTTTTTTGTAGTGACAAAGTCCCAGTATGTGGCCCAGGCTGGTCTCAAATTCCTGGCCTCAAGCAATTATCCCACCTTGGCCTCCCAAAGTGCTGGGATTATAGGCATGAGCCACCATGCCCAACCTAGTGTTGTAAAATTTCCATATCCATCAAGTTGCCAAATGGTGGAGGACTTTGCTGTATCCTCTCCCTTTCCCCACTGTGGTATGCTTGGCTCAGTGGGAGGAGGGGCTGGAGTTGGGTGGGAAAGTACATGAGGCACTGGAATCAGATAACTCTGGGTCTGTATTCCGCACATGCCACCTGTGAGTGGCTGAGCTGGGCTTCTGGCCAGCACTCAAAGGCCACATTACTAGATATAGATGTTCCTTTCACCTTGCTGAAGATGGGGAGAGCTGCACCGGACCACCTCTCAGGGTTTCCTAATGCAAATCCTTGAACCCTGCAGAAGTGAGCATCCAGAGAGGTGGGAGCTACCCGTATACACACTGTCTGTGCCCTGCTCATCTCCCGTTCCTGCAGCATGAAACACCTGTAATGCTTTGTTCTGTTTATTGTCTCCCTTTCTCATTAGACCTGAACTCTGGGATACTGTGGGCTTAAGTACTTCTGAAAATTTCTATGGCATCTGCTGGGTGAATTTTCCTAGGGTGCTGGGCTGGTTGTTAAGACAGCCTGGGTGACTGGCCTCATTCATGGCAGGGGCAGCAGGTGGAGAGCGGTCCTGGAAGGATTTGAGGAGCTGCACGGAGTGAGACCCAGCCCCTGGCCCCTGATTGTCACCTTTCTCAGGATCTGGGATGCTAATTCAGAAACTCTTGACTGCTGGAGGCTGTGATTGACCCACTGAGAGCTTTTAGGCATGTGGATGTGACTCAGCCAGGATCGATGGAGCATTGACTGCTGATTGGACTCCTGTGGGAAGGTAGAGGGGGGCAACACATAATGCCTTCACTGTGGGAGCTTCATCAAGGGGATGATTCTTGGACGGACATCTTTTCCTCCCTCTTTCCACAGAGGCATGCTAGCCCTGTCATTCTAGGAGTTTATTATCCTTCAGACACAGCTACTTATGTTTTTAATTCCCTCACAGGATGAAGACATGAAGAGAAAGTTTCAAGATCTTCTGTGTGAGGAAAATGAATCCACAGCTCTACTCCAGGTTCTAGCCCAGGTATTCGTATTCCTGATGATCACTAAATGTAGTCTGGGCTTAAGGAGATGATAAGCAAAGATGATGAAATTCAAGATTTTCCTGAGTAGCAATTGCTTAACATTGTTTCAGTTATAATGTAGTAGAAACTCTGTTTGAACTTGATTCACTCCAGCACCCTTAGATTTAAAAACGCAGGATATGTTTAATATCTAACACATAATAGACAGATAAGCACAGCTAGGGATTGTCATCCAAAAGGTCACCTGCAAGGCAATTTCGAAAGACTCTATTAGGGGCTCAAATATAAATTTGTTGGAAAAATTAAAATTTGGGTCAGTAGTTGATTCCTTGATTACAAGTTTATTCTTTAAAGTTCTTTGTGAGTATAAGTTAATTCCAGTCCTACTTTGTTGTTGTTGTTGTTGTTGAATGGTAGCTGTCCTTTTTCCCACTGTTTCCTCCCCGCTGCCCCGATTTTTATTTTCTTGAGACAGAGTCTTAGTCTGTCACTCGGGCCAGAGTGCAGTGGTGCAATCTCAGCTCACTGCAACCTCTGCCTCCTGGGTTCAAGCAGTTCTCCTGCCTCAGTCTCCCGAGTGTCTGGGACTACAGGTGTCCACCACTGCGCCCAGCTAATTTTTGTATTTTTAGGTGAGATGGGGTTTTGCCATGTTGGTCAGGCTTGTCTCGAACTTTTGACCTGAAGCGACCTGCCCACCTCGGCTTCCCAAAGTGCTGGGATTACAGGCGTGAGTCACCGCACCCAGCCTTCCTCCCAATTTTATATATGGGAAAACAACTAAGGCACAAAGGTTGTCTTCCCGCAAAAGACCAAGACTTGGGGCTTCAACTGAGAGGTATTATAGTCCTTTTAAACTTGATATTTAGAAGAGGACGATCAAGAGGAAGTTGGTTATGCTACTTGCTTTCAGTATACATCGTTCAGAGGTCAGAAGCCATAGGGAGAGAAATATCTATTAGATAAGCATGTCTGAGTTGCGGGCTGTGGTGAGGACTCAGTTGTCAATGATGACGACCAGTAATTTTTGGTACTAGAATTTCACATCAAATGCCCCCACTTTACTGGAAGTATATTGAGGAACTTTGATAATCTTAAAGAAGCCAGTGATTTTCTTTTGAACATTTCTCCATTTTCCTTTATTTTCAGCCTTCTACTAGTCGAAAGTGGCCTCATGAAGGGGAAGCCGAGGGTGCCGAGACCACAAAGCGCCCGGCTGTGTGTGCTGCTGTGTTGTGAACTCCATGGTTTGAACATGAAAGAAATGTACCTTCTTTCACTCTGTCATCTTTCTTTTCTTTGAGTCTGTTTTTTATAGTGTGTATTTTAATTATGGAAATAATTGCTTTTTCACAGTCACTGATGTACAATTAAAAACCTGATGGAACCTGGGCTTTGTGCTTCTGCTTGATAATCGGTTCTTTAGTTGAATGGCTTTGTTATTTATTTATTTGAGACGGAGTCTCACTCTGTTGCCCACCCTGAAGTGTAGTGGTGCAAGCTTGGCTCACTGCAACCTCTGCTTCCCAGGTTCAAGCGATTCTCGTGCCTCAGCCTCCCGAGTAGCTGGGATTACAGGTATGCACCACCATGCCCAGCTAATTTTTATATTTTTTTGTAGAGACAGGGTTTTGCCATGTTGGCCAGCCTGGTCTTGAACTTCTGATCTCAGGTGATCCACCTGCCTCGGTCTCTCAAAGTGCTGGGATTACACACGTGAGCCACTGCGCCTAGCCTGAATGGCTTTTTTATATTTAAAGTTGTTGTGTGCCTTTCATCTGGAGCTACACCTTGGCTATCACTAGGCAGGTTTCCCAGGATGTCACCCTGGTCTCAGCCTGTGAGAGCTGAATACAAATTCTAAGGGCCCCTTGGAAAGTTCCGGGAAAAGGAGCATAGCAAGGTTGGGGGTGGAGTTTGTAGAGACTGGCTGGCTGGCTGCTGACATCTTCATGAGAACAGCAGGTACCTTGGTGCATAATAACAGGCCAGGTTATATTCTCATCCTTGCCCTCATAAAGATACAGGTCTACAGTCTCTGAAACCTTTGGGCTAGATAAGTTGTGAAATTTAATTACCCAATTTTAGGAAGGTGGTAAGGCATATCTACTATGTGTATGTGTAGCACCTCAGCGGAGTCCTACACATGTGGAGTCCTACCCCAGTGGAGACCAAACATGTTAATATTTCCACAGCAAATATTCACAGCAAGAGGGATAGAGAAAGATTATAGGTAGTTGCATATTGATTCATATCAGTCTTTTCTTCCAAATGAGCTACAATGACTCGTTTTTGAGAGCTGTTTGGGTTTTGGAAGTGGAGATAAGGCATGGTTCTGTCTTGTTGACCCAATAATGACCAGGGAAGCCCTGTGCAAAGACTTACCCTTGGCTGCTCTTGTCCTCACAGTGATTTTATGAGTGAGGTCCTCTAGCCACTGTCATGTCACAGGTGAGGAAACCAAAGTTAGAGGACGAAGGTAACTTTTCTGATGTCACACAGCTGGTAAATGGCAGAGCTGGGACCCAACCCAGGTCTTTTTGACTCTAATGTTCCTTATTGTCCACTGAATCTGCTTTTATAACTTTGCTTGGTTGATGCTAGGACACTTTGTAGCTCGCTGGCCATGCCATGAATTGAGTGCCGTGGTTCAATGGCCACTGGCGATTCAGTCAGGGCAGAATCAAGGGCACACAGCCATTTCCTTAGGAAATGGGGATGTGGTTGGAAATTTCTATTAAAGGGTATATAAGCATTCTGAGACTTGGCTGGCCTGGTGTAGGGGGTTTGTTGGGAATTTAGTTGGTTTGCATGTTTAAAGGAATAAGGCTGAGATTGCCCTAGATGGGTTTTAGCTCATTTGAATATTTAATGTGGAGGCTGTGGTTTCCTGGGACATTTTTCCCGCTGTGGAGAGTTAGCCACCTTTTCTCTGTTTCTTTTTTCTTTTTTTTTAATCGAGATGAAGTCGTATGCTTGTTGCCCAGGCTGGAGTGCAATGGTGCGATCTCGGCTCACTGCAACCTCCGCCTCCTGGGTTCAAGCGATTCTCCTGCCTCAGTCTCCTGAGTAGCTGGGACTACAGGTGCACACCACCATGCCTGGCTAACTTTTGTATTTTTATTAGAGATGAGGGTTTCACCACGTTGGCCAGGATGGTCTCGAACTCCTGACCTCAAATGATCTGCCTGCCTCGGCCTCCCAAAGTGCTGGGATTACAGGTGTGAGACACCACGACCGGCAAAATTTTTTAAGATACATTTCAGTAAGCTAAGGTTAATTTATTGAAGAAAAGCTTTAAAAATTTTTGGTGTAGCCTAAGCATATGGTGTTTATAAAGTCTACAGTAGTGTACAGTAAGGTCCTATGCCTTCACACTCACTGACTCACCACAGCATCTTCCAGTCCTGCAAGCTCCTTTCATGGTAAGTGCCCTATACAGGAGTACCATTTTAAAATCTCTTATACTCTATTCTTACTGTACCTTCTCTATGTTCAGGTACACAAGTACTTACATTGTGTTACAACTGCTTATAGTATATTCAGTAAAGTATCAGGCTGTACAGGTGTGTAGCCTAGGAGCAATAGGCTACACCATACAGCCTAGGTGTGTAGTAGACTGTACAAGGCTATACAAGGTTTGTGTAAATGCACTTTGCTGTTTGCACAATGATGCAATCACCTAAGGAGGCATTTCTCAGAACCATCCCGTGATTAAGAGAGGCATGATCGTACAGTCATCATCTCCCTGAAAGCTCAGTCAGCCCTGTGCAGTGCTACTGCCACACTCCCCTTTTGCACATGTAGAAATCAAGGATCTTTGGCTCCTCTGAGTGACTTGTTCCAGGTTTCTCAGTTTTCAAGAGATGGAGGTGGGACTCGAATTGAGATTTCCCTTTCTTGAGAACCTGTGGTCCTTAACCATTAAAACCACTTAAGAGGTCTTCTCTCTCGATCACTACCTACTAAGTGCTAGGCGCGGTGCTGAGGCGTTCTCTTGATTATTATATTGAGTCTTTAGATTTAGGAGAAACAGGCCGAGCGCGCTGACTCACGCCTGTAATCTCAGCACTTTGGGAGGCCGAGGCAGGAGGATCATGAGGTCAGGAGATGGAGACCATCCTGGCTAACACTGTGAAACCCCATCTCTACTAAAAATACAAAAATTAGCAGGCGTGGTGGTGGGCGCCTGTAGTCTCAGCTGCTCGGGAGACTGAGGCAGGAGAATGGCGTGAACCCGGGAGGCGGAGCTTGCAGTGAGCCGAGATCACGCCACAGCACTCCAGCCTGGGTGACAGAGCGAGACTGTCTCAAAAAAAAAAAAAAAAGATTTAGGAGAAACAAGTCCCGAAGCCCTGACCCTAACACGCAAGGGTTAGTGGAGATGTGGGACTTGAACTCAGCTTCTCCGTTGAGTCTGGCTGTCACCGGGACGCAGGCACGTGCTTGCACACCTCCACGGTGGCGATCCCACCCCCTTAGTAGCGTCCTTAGCTCGGCACTTCTTGCGGGGAAGTTCTTCTTGGCCCAGACCCTCGTCCTAGGCCCCGCGCCATGGGGGAAGTGAAAGGGGCAGTGTGGGGAAATGGCCGAGAGGTCGGGTCAGGGGTGGTCTGCAGAGAGGCAGGCGGCGGTGCTGAGTCGGGAACCGCGCGCTCACCCGCCCAGTCGGACGGTTCCGGCGCGGGTGGGTGAGACACTGGGAACAGCGGCCAGCTGCAGAGGGCCCGAGGCCGGGCGCGCGGGAGCGGGGCGCGTCGAACGCGCGCGTGCGCGGTTCGTGTGTGGGCCTGCGGGGGCGTGCGCGGTTGGGGGGCAGTGAGGGTCGCCGCGGCGGCGCGCAGCACGGCGGGAACATGGCGCGCGGAACCGGCGCACGCGCCTAGCTGGTGGGACCGTTAGCTCGAGGCGGACGCGGCCCGGACCCCGTGGATATGGAGCAGTGGCCGCCGCCGGCGCCCGAGCCGGCCCAAGGGCCGACCCCCGCAAGGAGCTGAAGGCGGCGGGAGACCGAGTCGGCGCCGGTGAGTGCGTGAGGGACTCGGGCCGGGAGACTTTCTTTGTCAAACTCCGGCGGTGGGAGCCGGGCCGGGCCTCAGCGACTGAGGAGCGCCTGCGAGGCGGAGGGTGTCTCGCAGTCCGGGTTCGATCCCAGCCGCGAGCCGTCAGGCGACAGGACATGGTCGGCCGCCTGCCTGCCTCAGTTTCCGCGAGAGTGTGTGTGGGTGTGTGTGGGTGTGTATGGGTGTTGGCCTGCACACACCGGGGGTGGGGGGTTCGGTATACAGTCGGCGCCTAATGCGCGCGGTGCCTCCCCCCTCCCCCCAGTCCCCGTGGGGCGGAAGCTGGGGACTGGAGTCCACCAGAGCAGTAGGCGGCACCCGCGGGGAGACAGGTGTCGGCGCAGCCCGGGAGGATCAGGTGCTACCTCTCCCGGGTGGGGTTTGTGAGGAGTGAGCTCTTCGTCCCCAGTGGCGAGCAAGTCTGTCGGTGGCTCATCACAGAGCACTGTTTTGGAAAGCGTTCCACCCACCTCAGCTTCGTGCTGTGTTTGGGCCACTAGTCAGGGGGAAGGATGCTGAGCGACATGGACTTTAGAGGTGGGGCTCCCGCTGGACGGGATGGCTCTGGGCTCTCGAGCTTACCCCCACCCTTGTCTCCTAAACCCGTTAGAGTGTAGGAATCATTGGGAGCACCTGATAAAAATGCCACGGATTGTGGCTCACCAAAGCAGGGAAGCCGATTTGGAACTTAAACAAGCTCCCAAGTTGTGATCAGTCGAGCTTGGCAAGCACTGTTTTAGAGAGTAGGCTTCCTGCAAGCAGGAGCTGTTTTTGTGTATACCTCACCATGGCATCTTGGTACCTGGCATGGTGCCTGGCACACGGTAGATGATCAGAAAATATCTGTAGAAAGTCTAAATTATTAGGGAGAGTGCAACATAGGAGTTCTTGAGACATTTTCAGGAGCTTCTTGAGATTAATATCTGTCAGATTTGTTTTACAGTATATGATTTTTCTCAGCTCCCAACTTTTGTGATTGTTTTTAATGCCATGTTTTCAGTATGTTCTAGGCAAAAGCAGGGTATATGTTGCTTAGTATACACTATCCACTAGGCCGGGTGCGGTGGCTCACTCCTGTAATCTCAGCACTTTGGGAGGCAGATTGCTTGAGCCCAGAGGCTTGAGGCTGTAGTGAGCCAAGGAGTTAGAGACAGGTGTGGGAAACATAGCGAGACTCGTCTCCGCAAAAATTAGCTGGGTGTGGTAGCGTGCACTTGCAGTCCCAGCTACCCTGGAGGCTGAGGTGGGAGGATCGCTTGAGCTCAGGAAGTACAAGTTGCAGTGAGCCAAGGTTGTGCCACTGCATTCCAGTCTGGATAATACAGCGAAACCCAGTCTCTTAAATAAGTAAATAAATACATAAATGATTATGTATACTCCAGCTAGGTTAAAATTAATTCTAAATCAAAATTCTAAATTAAAATATGCATATTTCTTTCTCTTCATCATTTGAGAACACTAGGCTTTTAGGATTTCATTCCGTTGGGGCAGGTAAATATCTACATTTTTGACAAAGCAAATATGAATTACTGTTAATTCAAGAAAGGTGGGAATTTGCTTAAACCTGAGTATTTGTAGTCTGTGATTTTTTTAAATTTTAAATGTAAATTTTCTTTTTTTTTTTCTTTTTTTTTGAGATGGAGTCTCACTCTGTCGTCCAGGCTGGAGTGCAGTAGCACAATCTCAGGTCACTACAACCTCCACCTCCCGAATTCAAGCGATTCCCCTGCCTCAGCCTCTGGTGTAGCTGGCATTACAAGTGTGTGCCACCATGCCCAGCGAATTTATGTATTTTTAGTAGAGAGGAGGTTTCACTATGTTGCCCAGGCTGGTCCCAAACTCCTTGACCTCAAGTGATCTGCCCACCTTGGCCTCCCAAAGTGCTGGGATTACAGGCATGAGCCATGGCACCTGGCCTTATTTTTATTTTTTTGAGACAGAATCTCAGGCTGCCACCCAGGTTGGAGTGCTGTGGCATGATCTCCACTCACTGCACCCTCCACCTCCCAGATTCCAGTGATTCTAATGCCTCAGCTTCCTGAGTAGCTGGGGTTACTAGACCCGGCTAATTTTTGTTGTATTTTTTTAGTAGGGACTGGGTTTCCCTATGTTGGCCAGGCTGCTCTGGAACTCCTGGCCTCTAGTGATCCACCTGCCTCGTCCTCCCAAAGTGCTGGAATTACAGGCATGAGCTACTGCTCCCAGCCAATCTTTGTGACATTTTGAAATTGAGGTTTATATTTTGTTCAGAGTCAAAGCTAAAATAGAATTGTTTGAAAATTAATATTTCAGGAACTGTTTTTTAATTAAGTTGAATTTTATTTTATTAGTTTCATTTCAGTAGGGTTTTAACTTAAAAAATATATAAATATATGTGTGTGTGTGTGTGTATAAATATATATATATATATATATATATATATTTTTTTTTTTTTTTTTTTTTCCCCTGACACGGAGTCTTGCTCTGTCACCCAGGCTGGAGTGCAATGGCATGATCTTGGCCTCACTGCAGCCTCCACCCTCCCAGCTCAAGCAATTCTTCTGCCTTAGCCTCCCGAGTAGCTGGGACTACAGGTGCCTGCCACCACACCCAGCTAATTTTTATATTTTTAGTAGAGATGGGGTTTCACCATGTTGTCCAGGCTGGTTTTGAACTCCTGATCTCAAATGATCTGCCCTCCTTGGCCTCCCAAAGTGCTGGGATTACAGGCGTGAACCACTGTGCCTGGCCTAAAAAATATTTTTAAAGACAGGATCTAGCTGTGTTGCCTCAGCTGGTCTTGAACTCCCAGTCTTGGCCTCAAGTGATCCTTCTGCCTCAGCCTTCTGAGTAGCTGGAAGCACAGCTGTGAGCCACCACACCTGGCTTTTTTTTATTTCTAATAAAAAATTAATAGAGTGTCTTGTTTCACTGGACAAAATACGCATATATAGGAAGGAAAGACTTTTGGACTTGAGATTGCGCTGAAGAAGAAAAATGGAAAAATTAGGCATTTTAGTCTCTCAGTATGTTATTTTTGTAGCTTATACAGATATGTCTTTTTAAAGTGTCTTTAAAAAGCTTTATTGAGATAAAGATAAATGAGATAAATTCACCTACCATGAAATCAACCCCTTGAGTGCAGAATTTTGTGGTTTATAATATATTCACAGAATCGCACAAACAAGACAGGTATCTAGATACTTTCAGACCATTTTCATCAGTCCACAAGAAATCCCATACCCATTAGCAGTCATCCTTATTCCCTTTTCCCCTAGTCCCTGGCAATAACTAGCCTACTTTCTGTCTCTGAGTTTAGCTCTTCTGGAGGTTTCACAGAATGAAATCTTACTACATATGGTCTTTTGTGATTGACTTATTTCACTTGGCACAGTGTTTTCAAGGTTTATCCATGCTGTAGCGTATATCAGCACTTCATTCTTTTTTAATGCTGAGTAATCTTTTGAATGGATATACCATATTTTATTAGTTCCTCTGTTGATAGGCACTTGAGTTTTTTTTCCAATTTTTGGCTATTATGAACAATGCTGCTATGAACATTTGTGTACAAATTTTAGTGTGGATGTATATTTTCATTTCCCTTGGGTATATCCCTAAGGAATAGACTATCTGGGTCATATGATAATTGTTTAAGACTACAGGCACGTGCCACCACACCTGGCAAATGTTTAAAAATTTTTTGTAGATAAAGGGTCTCGCTGTGTTGCCCAGGCTGATCTTGAACTCCTGGCCTCAAGAGATCCTCTCACCTCAGCCTCCCAGAAAGTGTTGGGATTACAGATGTGAGTCACTGCACCTATAAAAGAGGCTCATACCTCTTTTTACATATTTTTTTTGAGACAGGGTTTCACTCTGTTGCCCAGGCTGGAGTGCAGTGGTGGGATCACAGCTCACTGCAGCCTGGACCTCCCTCCATATGATTCTAGCTGTGGGTGTCTTTCCTGTAGTTTTTATTATGTTGTGGTATGTTTCTTCTGTACCCGTTTCTTTGAGGATTAATAGCATGAAGGATGTTGAATTTCACCAAATGCTTTTTCAGTTTCAGTTGACATGATCATACTGTTTTTGTCATTTATTTGATTGATATGATGTATCACATTGTATGTTGAGTGACCCTTGCATCCCAGGGATACATCGCACTTGATCATGATGAATTATCTTTTTAATGTATTACTGAATTTGATTCACTGGTATTTTGTTGAGGATTTTTGCATCAATATTTGAAATACTGGCCTGTAGTTTCCTTCTTTGATGCCTTTGTCTGATTTTGGTAGCACAGTAATAATGGTCTCATAGAATAAGTTTGGAAGTATTCCCTCCTGTTTTTCAAAATAGTTTGAGTAGGATTCGTACTAGGTCTTTAAATTGTTTGTTGTGAAGCCATCAGCAGTGAAGACATCAGTTCCTGGGCTTTTCTTTACTGGGAGACTTTTTCTGATGGCTTCAATCTCATTTCTTGTTACCAATCTGTTTTGGTCTTGGATGTTTTCATTATTCAACCTAAGTAGGTGTATACAACCTAAGTAGGTGTATTCCTAGATGTATGCATCTAGGAATTTGCCAATTTCTACTAGGCTTTCCAATTTATTGGCATATAATAGCCAGTTATGATCCTTTGAATTTCTGAAGTATTAGTTGTAATGTCTCCTTTTTTTTAATCTGTTGATTTTATTTATTTGAATCTTTTCTCTTTTTTCTTAGTTAGCCTGGTTAAAAGTTTGTCAATTTTGTTTAGCTTTCCAGAAAACCAACTTTTCATTTAATCATATGTGTTTTTTATTTCAATTTTATTTCTGCTATGATCTTATTTATTTTCTTATTTTCGGTTTAGTTTGTTTTTACTTTAATAGTTCTTTAAGATGTATTGTTTATTTAAAGTTTTTCTTTTGTTTGGATGGTAGGCACTTATAGCTGTAAATCTCTGCCTTTGTACTGCTTTCTGCATAACAAGTTTTGGTATACTGTGTTTTCATTACCCTTTGTTTCATGAAATTTTTGAATTTCTGTCTTAGTATCTTCATTGACCCACTAGTCATTTATTCAGGAGGGTAGTGTTTAACTTCCATGTGATTGTATTGTTTCCAAAATTACTCTTCTTATTGATACCTAGTTTTATTCCTTTGTAGTCAAAGAAGATGGCCACGGAGACAGCAGCGTGGTCAGAGTGGTAGGAGCCGGCCATCAGCGAGAGCTGCTCCATGCCTGGCTGCTGGGTGCTACAGCCTGTGGCCCACTGGCTTGCCTCACTGTGGTTGGTGGTGGCGGTGACAGAGACTGCAGCACGACCAAAGTGGTAGGACAGGGGCTATCCAGGGCTGCACCTTTCGCAGTGTGGGGTGGGTTGGGGGCGCTATCCAGGGTGTCATTGCCTGCATTAGGGGTACTGGTTGGTAGCACTGTACAGGGCTTCACTGCACATGGCAGGGAGGGTGGGTTATGGGTGCTTTCTGGGACTGCAATGCCCATGGAGAAGGACAGGTTAGGGCACTATCAGGTATACGCTACTGGTGGCATTGGGGGATGGAGGTGGGGGGAGCTATTGAGGGCAGGACTAGCCGTGGAGAGGGGTGAGTTCAGTGCTATCAGGGGCTGCACTGCTGGCGGCGGTCAGCAGAGTTGGCATCCAAGGAAGGAGTGGTTCTCCTCTCCCTGACTCCACACTCCAGAGAGCGACCCACTCTTGGTCATACTGGGGTGCGGCAGGCGCACAGCGTTTGCGTGGGAATCCTGAGCGTGGCAGAGCCCCCACACCCACCGTGGTTCCTGGGCCTGTGCACTCTGGGTCTGTGCCTCAGAGGCTGCCAGGCACCCCTGGGGACACCACGGGGGACAGGGCCCTGTGTGTGGAGGCGTCCGGAACAGGAATTGGCACCTGGGTGCGGAGGGCTGTCTGGGTCTGAATTTTTCTGCTTCTCCTACTCCCTGAGGAGTGCAGCCCTGGTGGGCCCAATGGTTCCTGTGGAGTGGGGAGCTGGGTGCTGTGGTGTCTCCAGCACCCACCCCAGACCCCAGTTCCTGGCCAGCTTGGGCCAAAGGGAGAGGCTGGACTTTGGAGGGTGGGTGTGAGTGCCTTTGCTGAAACTGGCCCCTGCCACCCAGTGGCTGGCATGACAAGGTGAGGCTCTAACCCTTCCACCCCTCACATCTTCCTCTAGGCTTTTCTGGCTTTGCCCGCCCAGCTGCTCCATGCCAGGAGGAGGAGGAGACACCTAGAGCCTGCGACACCACGGCTCGCCTCGCTGCGGGAGGGTGGCATCAACGGAGACTGCAGTGCACCAGAGTGGTAGGAGAGCGGCCGCACTAGGAGGGCAGGTGGCTGCAGCCAGGGTTGGGGGTCAGGCTTACAGCAATGGACGGGCTGCAGCAGTGGCCAGGTGGTAGGAGCCTTGTAGGGAGGGCTGGCGCATTGGCAATGGCTTTGCCCTGCCCATGCCGTGGATCTGACCCTGTACTGCCCTGCCTTGCCCTGTACCTGCCCTACTGTTACCTGGACTGTCTCGGCCCTGTCCTACTCTGGTCCCATCCTGACCCTGTCTTGGCCCTGTGCTACCCTGTCCTTGCCCTGGTCTTGCCCTGGCACTGGCCCTGCCCTGAACCTGCCCTGGCCTGACCTTGGCTCTGGCCCTGGCTCTGGCCCTGCCCCTTGTCCTGACCCTGGTGCTGTCATGGCACTGGCCCTGCCAATGGTCATGGTCCTGCTCCTGTTCTGGCCCTGACCTGGCCTTGGACATGTCCTGGCCCTGCTTTGGCCCATCCCTGCCCTGGCCCCACCATAGGCCTGCCTGTTCTACCCTCTCCTGGCACTGACCTTGCCCTGTCATGGCCTAGTGGTGCCATTGCCCTGCCTTACCCTGTGCTGGTTGTGCCTTGGCCCTGCTTGGTGCTGGCCGCTCCCTGGACCTGCCCTGACCCTGCCTTGGCTTTTGCCCTGCCCTCACTATGGCCTGGCCCTGACCCTAGCCCTGGTCCTGCCATATCCCTGGCCCTGCCCTTATCCAGGCCCTGGCCCTGCTGCTGGCCTGGAACCTGGTCCTGTCAAGGACCTGCCCTGACTCTGCCATGGCCCTGGCCCTGCTCTGCCTTGTTCCTGGCCCTGACCCAGACCCAGACCCTTTCCTGGCTCTGCACTGGCCTTTCCGTGGTCCTGAGCTGGCAGTGGTCTGCCCCTGGTCTTGCCATCACCCTGCCCTGCTGTGCTCTGGATGTGTCATCACCCTGACCTGGCCCTACTCTGCCTTTGACCCTGCCCTGGCCTTACCTTGGCCCTCACCCTAGTCTTCACTAGGCCCTGCTCTGGAGCTGGCCCTAGCACAGACCTGGCCCTGACTCTGGCCCTGGTCTTTGTCCTGCCATAGCCCTGGCCCTGAAGTGAACTTCGAGGTGTCCTGGCCCCGGCGTAACATAGCTCTGCATTGGCATGTCCCTGCCCTGCCGCTACCATTGCCTTGCCCTGCTCTGCCCTGTCCCAGTACTGACCTGGCCATGCTATTTCCCTGCCCTACCCTGCCTTGGCTGTGCCCTGGCTCGGTTCTGGCCCTGGCCCCGGCCCTGCCCTGGACATGCTCTGACACTGCCTCAGCCTCGGCACTAGCCTGGCTCTTCTTTGGCATCAGCTCTGCTCTCTGTGTGGACCGGCTCTTGTCCTGTCCTGCACTGGCCATACCATGCCCTGCCCTGCCCTGCCCGACTCAGCCCTGGCTCAGCCCTGGCCCAGCCTTGGCCTTGGCATTGCCCCTGGTCCTGCCATATTTCTTGCCCTGTCCCTACCCTGGCCTTGGCCCTGACCCTTACCTTGCCCTGGCTCTGCCCTTGCCCTAACGCAGCCCCTGGCCCTGTCATGGCCCTGCCCTGGACCTGTCCTGGCCCTGGCCCTTCCCTGCTTGAGACCTTGCCCTGGTTCTCCCCTGGCCCTGACCCTGAAATGCCTGGCCCTACCCTGGCCTTGCACTGCTCTGGCCCTTGCCCTGACTCTGGTCCTGTCACTGGCCTAGCCCCAGCCCTGTTGCTGGTCTTACCATGGCCCAGACCCTGCCTTGGCCCTTCCCTGACACTGTCCTGGACCCTGGCTGTGCCAAGATCCTGCACTGACCGTGTCCTTGTTTTGCTCCTGCCCCGAACCTGGTCCTGCCCAGGCCATGGCCATGGCCCTGGCCCTGCCCTGGCTGTTCCCTGGCCCTGCCCTGCCTTGGCCCTATGCTTTCCTGGCCCTGTCTTGCCTGTCCTGGCCCTGCCTTGGCCCTAGCCTGGCTTTGACCCTGCCCTGGCCCTACCTTGGCCTTCACCCTAGCCTTACCTGGCCACTCTGTTGGACCTGGCCATAGCACAGACCTGGTTGTGGCCCTGGCCCTGCCATGGCCCTGTCCCAGACCCTAGCCCTGCCAGGTACCTGTCCTGGCCCAGCTCTGGGCCTGGCTTTGTCCCTGGTTCTTAGATGAACCTGGCCCTGCACCTGCCCTTGCCCTTGCCCTGGCACTGGCCTTGGACATGTCCGTGGTCCTAACCCTGGCCCTGCCCTGGAGCTGCCACTGTCTTGGCCCTGCCCTGGCTCTGGCCCTGCCCTGGCCCTGGCCCTGCCCCGGCCCCAGCCATAGACCTGCCCTGGTTGGTCATGCCCTACCTTAACCCTGTGCTACCCTGGGCCTGCTCCACCCTGCCCTGGCCCTGCCCTCCCTTTGGCCCTGCCATGACCCTGCCTTGGCCCTCACACTGGCCCTAGCACAGACCTGGTCCTATCTGTGGCCTTAGCCTGGCATTGACCCTTGCTCCTGACCCTGGCCCTGCCATGGCCCTTGCCCTGCCAATGACCCTGACAGCCCTGGCCCTGGCCCTGTCTTGGCCCTGGCCCTGAACTGGCCCTGCCCTGACCCTGGCCCTGAAGTGGATTTGCAGGTGTCTTGTCCATGATTTAACCTGGTCTTATCATGGCCCTGTCCCTCCCCTGGCTCTGTCCTGGTCTTGTGCTGACCCTGACCCAGACCTTGGCCCTGCCCCAGCCTTGTCCTTGACCTGGCCATGGCCCTGCCTCTGCCCTGGACCGAGGCTGGCACTGGCATGGACCCTGGCCCTGGCCGTTCACTACTTAAGGCCATACCCTGGCCCAGCCCTGGTCCTGACCCTGTCCTGGCCCTAATTTGGCCTGGCTCTACCCTGGCATGCTATTCTGGCCCTGGCCCTGACCCGGTCCCTGTCCCTGTCCTGGCCCCAGCCCCGTTGCTGGTCCTGCCATGGCCCTTGTTCTGACATTGCCCTTTCCTGGTTCTGGCCCTGGCCCTGTCCCAGCCCTGCTCTGGCCCTGGTCTGAACCCTGGCCCTGCAATAGACCTGCCTTGGTCCTGCCCAGACCCTGGCTCGGGCCCTACCTCTGCCCTGGCCATACCCTTGCCCTGGCCTGGACCTCGGTCCTGGTCCTTGTCCTGCCCCAGCCATGGTCCTGGCCCTGCCCTGCCTGTGCCCTGTTCTATCCTGGGCTGGCCCTGCCATGGCCTGGTCTTGCCATTGCCCTGCCTTAGCCTGCCCTGCTTGTGCCCTAGATCTGCCCCGGCCTTTGCCCCGTCTTGGTTCTAGCCTTGACGCAGCCCTGGACCTTCCCTGACCTTGCCTTAGCCCTGGCACTACCCTGGCCTTGGCTTGGCATTTGCCCTACTCTATGGCCTGGCTCTCGTCCTGCCCTTATGCAGGCCTGACCCTGCCTGTGCCTTGGCTTTGGCCTGGACCTTGGCCATACAGTGACCCTGCCATGACCCTTTCCTGGCCCTGGCCTGGAACCTGGCCCTGCCAAGGACTCGCCCTGGCTCTGTCATGGCCCTGGCCCTTTTCTGGATTTGGATGTGTCCTGTCCCTTATTTCCCCGGCGCTTCCCTGGCTCTGCCATACCCCTTCTCTGGGGTAGGGCCAGGGTCAGGACCAGGGTAGGGCCATGGTAAGGCCTGAAGATGGGAAGGGCCAAGGCAGCGGCATGACCAGGGAAGGGTCAGGGCCAGGAATGTGGTAGGACTAGGGGCAGAGCTGGTACTAGGGCTGAGCCGGGGCAGAGCAGGAGAGATTACGTTAGGCTGTTATGTAAAATTTTTATTTTAGATTTTTAAGATAACTACAGTAGTAGTAATAATGTCTATACTATGTTGTTTGTAATAGTAATAATATTTGCAGTAAATAATCACTAAATTTTAACTAATACTATCTTTGCTTCCAGTAGTATTCTATGAGTATAATTTTATCAATATGTAAATATGTGAGGCATTGATTCTCACAATAATTCTACATGCTAGGTACTTAAAGCATCCCCATTTTCCAAATGTAGGAAACAGGCATAAAGAAGTTAAATACTTGGCCAGATTACTCCTGTAATCCCAGCACTTTGGGAGGCCAAGGCAGGCAGATGGCTTGAGCTCAGGAGTTTGGAACCAGCCTGGGCAACATTGTGAAACCCCATCTCTACTAAAAATGCACAAAAAGAGCTGATTTAAGTTTCTTGTAGGATTCTGGTTATAAAACACTGCTCAAACACACAGGGCATGGATAGGGCAGGGCCAGGGACAAGGTCAGGCCAGGAAGGGGCCAGGGCCAAGGCAGGGCCAGAGCTGGACTTGGAGGTGTCCTGGTCTGATTTGCCCTGCCCCAACGTTGGCCCAGCCCTGCTCTGGCACTTCTGTCATGCCCTGTCCCTGGCCTGAGCATTGGCCCTGTCCCTGTCCTGCTTCTGGCCCTGCCCCGGAGTTGACCAGGCACTACCATGGTCCAGTCCTGCGTTGCCCTGCCCTCCTCTGCCCTGGCGCTGCCATGGCCCTGCTTGGGCCCTAGCTCTGCCTCGACTCTGGACCTGCCCTGACTCTGCTCAGCCCTGGATCTACCCTGACTCTGCCTTGGTGTTGCCCTCCCATCTCTATGGCCTGGCTCTGGCCGTGCCTTGCACAGGCCATGCTCTGCCCTGCATGTCCCAGCCTGGGCCCAGCCCTTGTCCTACCATATTCCTGACCCCAGCCGTACCCTTGTTCTGGCCTTGACCCTGCCGTGGCCCTCTCCTGGCCCTTCCTTGGTCCTGCCCTCCCCTTCCATGCCCTGGCCTTGCCCTCACCCTGCATTGGCCCTGCACTGGTCCTGCCCTGCCCTGGCACTGCCTTGGCTACGGCCCTGCCTTCTCCCTGGCCTTGCTCTTGCCCTGACCTGGCCTGACCCCAGGCCTACCGAGTCCATGAAATGGCCCTGGACTTGCCTTGCCATCGTCTGTCCTGGACCTGTATTGTCCCCACCATGCTCTGGTCCAGCACTTACCCTGGCCCTGTTGCTAGTCCTGCCACTGCTATGGCCCTGCCCTGTTTTTGGCCATGCCCTGTGCTACCTTAGCCCTGCCCTGCCTTGGCCCTACCGTGGCCTTCTCCTACCCTGGCCTGGCCCTACACTAGCCTTTTCTACCCTGGCCTTGCCCTTCCCTGGTCTTGCCCTGCCCTGGCCTTGCCCTGCCCTGGCCTTGGCTTTGCCTTATCCTGGTCCTGGTTCTGCCCTGGCCCTGCTCTTGCTCTGGATCCTCTCTGGTTTTGCCTTCTCCCTGGCCCTGCCCCTGGCCCAGTCTTGACCCTGGCCCTGGCCCTGACAATCCCCAGGCCCCACACTGGCCATGCTTGGCCCTGGCCCCTCCTTTGGCCCTGCACTGGCCCTGTGCTATCTTAGTCCTACCCTGGCCCTGAACTCGCCCTGGCCCTACCCTCACCCTACACTGGCCCTGCCCTACCCTGACCTTGCCCTGGCCTGGCCCTGCCTTTGGCCTGCCCTGGCTCTGGTTCTGCCCTGGCGTTGCCCTTGCCCTGGACCCTCCCTGGCCATGTTTTTTCCATGGTCCTTCTCTGGCCTTGCCCTTGCCCTGTCCCCTTTCTGGTCCTGCCATGTTTCTGGCCCTGCCCTGTCCATGTCCTGGACCTGACTCTGGCCCTGGACCTCCCTGTCCCTGCCCTGCCATACTCTGGCCCATTCTTGCTCTACACTGACCCTGCCCTGCCTTGGCCCTGTGCTACCCTAGCCCTGCCCTGGCCTTCTGCTGACCCTGATCCTGCCATGGCCCTGGCCCTGCCATGTCCCTGCCCTGGCCCTGGTTCTGCCCTACTTCTGGCCCTGGCCTTGGTCCTCTCATGTCCCTGGCTATGACCCTGCCCCTGGTTTTTCTCTGTCCATGACCCTGCCCCGGTTCTGTCCTATCCCTGGCCCTGTCTCAGTTCTGTCCTAGCCCTGGCCTTTCACAGTACTTTATGCTTAGTAAGGGCTCCATGGTGTCTGTGAGTTGAATGTTGTGTTCATAGTATCTGCCAAAACAGAAAGAAAAAAAAATCTGATGATGAGAAGTTAAAGCTTTGTATATAATATGCCTTGAATTGTAAGTGCTTGTTATTAGTTGTATTACATATAGGTCATGGTTTTGTACACATAACTCCAAACCATTGATACTGTTAAAAGAGTATATGAATATATGAAAGAATGTATAAACGTAAGAATGTATGAGTATCTAATGAACTTTCCAAATTAATTTTTATTTTTAGCTCTATTAGATTTTTCTCAGTGTAACAAATGTTTATTCCTATGTAATTAAGGGCGTATTTCCTGTACAGAGTATTCATATTACCTAATTGAAAATTATATAATACAAAAATATAATATTATTTTTAGGCCAGGCATGGTGGCTCATACCTGTAATCCCAACATTTTGAGAGGCCAAGTTGGGAGAATCATTTGAGTCCAGGAGTTGACCAGCCTGGGCCACATATTGAGACCTTTTCTTTATTAAATAAATAAATAAATAAATAGGTTGGGCACTGTGGCTCATATCTGTAATCCCAGCATTTTGGGTTGCAGAGGCAGGAGGATTGCTTGAGCCCAGGAGTTTGAGACCAGCCTGGGCAGAATAGCAAGACTCCATCTCTACAAATAATAAAATATTAACCAGGTGTGGTGGTGCGCACCTGGGGTCCCGGCTACCCGGGAGGCTAAGGTGGGAGGTTTGCTCAAGGCTGCAGTGAACTGTGAATGCACCACTGCATTGCAGCCTAGGCCACAGAACAGGACCTTGTCTATAAATAAAGAAATAAGTAAAAACATAAATAAAAATAAGTAAAAAGAAATATAAGTAAATATAAATATAAATACATGTAAATATACAAATGAATACATGAAAACAATTTTTAAATTTAACATCACTGAGGGCATCCTATCCATTTCATTTCATGATTCCATTACGTCATTTCACTTAGATGAAATGATAATATGACTTGAGATGAGATGAAATGACTAAATGATGAGATGAGATGAAATGATGAGATGAAATTTTGAGATGAAATGGTGAGTAGAAATGATGAGATTAAATGATGAGACAAAATGACAAAATTGAAAAGAAATTGAAAGGAGATGAGATGAGATGAAATGAGATGAAATGATGAGATGATGGATGAAATGATGAGATGAAATGAGATGAAATGATGAGAAGAAATGATGAGATGAAATGAAATGAAAAAATGAAATGATATGAAATAATGAAATTGAAATGAGATGAGATGATATAATGAGATAAAATGATGAGATGAAATGAGATGAATGATGAGATGAAATGATGAGATGATAAAATGAAATGATGAGATGAAATGAGATGAAAAATGATGAGATGAAAAATGAGATGAAATGAGATGAAATAATGAAATGAGATGCAATGAAATAATGAAATTATGAAATGTAATGATGAAATTGAAATGAGATGAGATGAAATGATGAAGTGAGATGAGATGAAATGAGATGAAATGATGAGATGAAATGAGATGATGAGATGAGATGAGATGAAATGATGAGATGAAATGAGATGAAATGAGATGTAATGAAATGAGATGAAATGAAATGACATAATGAAATGCAATAATGAAATGAGATGAAATGCAATAATGAAATGATGAAATAAAATGATGAAATAAATGGAAATGAAATGGAAATGATGAGATGAGCAGAAATGATGAGATGAAATGATGAAATGATGAGATGAGATGAAATGATGAGATGAAATGAGATTAAATGATGAGATTAAATGATGAGATGAGATGTGATGAAGTGAGATGAAATGATGACAAGATATGATAACATGAAATCAGATGAAATAATGAGATGAAATGATGAGATGAAATGATGAGATGAGATGAAATGTGACGAGATGAAATGACAATGAAATGAAATAAATGATGAAATGGAATAATGAAATGGAAATGATGAGATGAGATGCAATGAGTTGAAATGATGAGATGAAATGATGAAATGATGAGATGAAAAGATGAGATGAGATGAGATGTGATGAAATGATGACACGAAATGATGACATAAAATGAGATGAGACGAAATGATGAGATGAGATGAAATGGTGAGATAAAATGATATGAAATGAGATGAAATGATGAGATGAGATGAGATGATGAGATGAACTGATGAAATGAAATAATGAGATGAAATGAAATAATGAAATGAAATTGAAATAAATTTGAGATGAGATGAGATGATGAGATGAACTGATGAAATGAAATAATGAGATGAAATGAAATAATGAAATGAAATTGAAATAAAATTGAGATGAGATGAAATGAGATGAAATGATAAGATGAAATTATGAAATAAAATGATGAAATGATGAGATGTGATGAGATGAAATGATGAGATGAGATGACATGAAATAATGAAATGAAATTGAAATGAGAAGATATGAGATGAGATGAAATGATGAGATGAAATGATGAAATGATGAGATAAGATGAAATGAGTTGATGAGATGATGAGATGAAATGATGAAATGATGAGATGAAATGAGTTGATGAAATGATGAGATAAGATGAAATGAGTTGATGAGATGATGAGATGAAATGAGATGAAAAGATGAGATGAAATGATATGAAATGAAATTAGATGAAATGTAATGAGATGAAATGAAATGACATAATGAAATGAAAAAATGAAATGAAATAATGAAATGAGGTGAAATTAAATGAGATGATGAAATTAAATGATGAAATGAAATAATGAAATGGAAATGAAATGGAAATGATGAGATGAGATGAAATGATGAGATGAATAATGTGATGAAATGAGATGAAATGATGAGATGAAATGAAATAATTAAAGGAAATTGAATTGAGATGAGATGAGATGAAATGATGAGATAAAATGAGATGAAATAAATGATGAGATGAAATGACGAAATGCTGAGGTGAGATGAGATGAAATGAGATGAAATGATGAGCTGAAAGGATGAGGTGAAATGATGAGATGAAATGATGAGATGAGGTGAGATGAGATGAAATGAGATGAAATGATGAAATGATGAGATGAGATGAGAAGAAATGAGATGAAATGAGATAAGATGAGATGAAATGATGAGATGAGATGAGATGAAGTGAAATGAAATGAAATAATGAAATTGAAATGAGATGAAATGAGATAAAATGATGAAATGAAATGATGAAATGAGATGAAATGATGAGATGAGATGATGAGATTAAATGATGAGATGAAAAATGATGAGATAAAATGATGAGATGAATTGAAATGAGATGAAATGAAATAATGAAATGAGATGAAATGAAATGATGAAATGATGGTATTGAAATGAAATTGAAAGATGAGATGAGATGAAATATGAAATGTTGAAATGAAATGATGAAATGAAGAGATGTGGTGAGATGAAATGATGAGCTGAAATGATGAGATGAAATGAAATGAGATTAAATGAGATGAAAAATGATGAGATGAAAAATGATGAGGTAGGGAGGAGCCAAGATGGCCAAATAGGAACAGCTCCGGTCTACAACTCCCAGCGTGAGCGACGCAGAAGACGGGTGATTTCTGCATTTCCATCTGAGGTACCAGGTTCATCTCACTAGGGAGTGCCAGACAGTGGGTGCAGGTCAGTGGGTGCGCGCACCGTGCACGTGCCAAAGCAGGGCGAGGCATTGCCTCACTTGGGAAGCGCAAGGGGTCAGGGAGTTCCCTTTCTGAGTCAAAGAAAGGGGTGATGGATGGCACCTGGAAAATTGGGTCACTCCCACCCGAATACTGCACTTTTCCAACGGGCTTAAAAAACGGCGCACCACGAGATTATATCCCGCACCTGGCTCGGAGGGTCCTACGCCCACGGAGTCTCGCTGATTGCTAGCACAGCAGTCTGAGATCAAACTGCAAGGCGGCAGTGAGGCTGGGGTAGGGGTGCCTGCCGTTGCCCAGGCTTGCTTAGGTAAAGCAGCTGGAAAGCCTGAACTGGGTGGAGCCCACCACAGCTCAAGGAGGCATGCCTGCCTCTGTAGGATCCACCTCTTGGGGCAGGGCACAGACAAACAAAAAGACAGCAGTAACCTTTGCAGACTTAAATGTCCCTGTCTGACAGCTTTGAAGAGAGCAGTGGTTCTCCCAGTACACAGCTGGAGGTCTGAGAACGGGCAGACTGCCTCCTCAAGTGGGTCCCTGACCCCTGACCCCCAAGCAGCCTAACTGGGAGGCACCCCCCAGCAGGGGCACACTGACACCTCACACAGCAGGGTACTCCAACAGACCTGTAGCTGAGGGTCCTCTCTGTTAGAAGGAAAACAAACAGAAAGGACATCCACACCAAAAACCCATCTGTACATCACCATCATCAAAGACCAAAAGTAGATAAAACCACAAAGATGGGGAAAAAACAGAACAGAAAAACTGGAAACTCTAAAAAGCAGAGCACATCTCCTCCTCCAAAGGGACGCAGTTCCTCACCAGCAACGGAACAAAGCTGGATGGAGAATGACTTTGACGAGCTGAGAGAAGAAGGCTTCAGACGATCAAATTACTCTGAGCTACGGGAGGACATTCAAACCAAAGGCAAAGAAGTTGAAAACTTTGAAAAAAATTTAGAAGAATGTATAACTAGAATAACCAATACAGAGAAGTGCTTAAAGGAACTGATGGAGCTGCAAACCAAGGCTCGAGAACTACGAGAAGAATGCAGAAGCCTCAGGAGCCGATGCGATCAACTGGAAGAAAGGGTATCAGCGATGGAAGATGAAATGAATGAAATGAAGCGAGAAGGGAAGTTTAGAGAAAAAAGAATAAAAAGAAATGAGCAAAGCCTCCAGGAAATATGGGACTATGTGAAAAGACCAAATCTACGTCTGATTGGTGTACCTGAAAGTGATGGGGAGAATGGAACCAAGTTGGAAAACACTCCGCAGGATATTATCCAGGAGAACTTCCCCAATCTAGCAAGGCAGGCCAACATTCAGATTCAGGAAATACAGAGAACGCCACAAAGATACTCCTTGAGAAGAGCAACTTCCAGACACATAATTGTCAGATTCACCAAAGTTGAAATGAAGAAAAAAATGTTAAGGGCAGCCAGAGAGAAAGGTCGGGTTACCCTCAAAGGGAAGCCCATCAGACTAACAGTGGATCTCTCAGCAGAAACTCTACAAGCCAGAAGAGAGTGGGGGCCAATATTCAACATTCTTAAAGAAAAGAATTTTCAACCCAGAATTTCATATCCAGCCAAACTAAGCTTCATAAGTGAAGGAGAAATAAAATACTTTACAGACAAGCAAATGCTGAGAGATTTTGTCACCACCAGGCCTGCCTTACAAGAGCTCCTGAAGGAAGCACTAAACATGGAAAGGAACAACCGGTACCAGTCACTGCAAAATCATGCCAAAATGTAAAGACCATCGAGACTAGGAAGAAACTGCATCAACTAATGAGCAAAATAACCAGCTAACATCATAATGACAGGATCAAATTCACACATAACAATATTAACTTTAAATGTAAATGGACTAAATGCTCCAATTAAAAGACACAGACTGGCAAATTGGATAAAGAGTCAAGACCCATCAGTGTGCTGTATTCAGGAAACCCATCTCACATGCAGAGACACACATAGGCTCAAAATAAAAGGATGGAGGAAGATCTAACAAGCCAATGGAAAAGAAAAAAAAAGGCAGGGGTTGCAATCCTAGTCTCTGATAAAACAGACTTTAAACCAACAAAGATCAAAAGAGACAAAGAAGGCCATTACATAGTGGTAAAGGGATCAATTCAACAAGAAGAGCTAACTATCCTAAATATATATGCACCCAATACAGGAGCACCAAGATTCATAAAGCAAGTCCTGAGTGACCTACAAAGAGACTTAGACTCCCACACATTAATAATGGGAGACTTTAACACCCCACTGTCAATATTAGAGAGATCAACGAGACAGAAAGTCAACAAGGATACCCAGGAATTGAACTCAGCTCTGCACCAAGCAGACCTAATAGACATCTACAGAACTCTCCACCCCAAATCAACAGAATATACATTTTTTTCAGCACCACACCACACCTATTCCAAAATTGACCACATACTGGGAAGTAAAGCTCTCCTCAGCAAATGTAAAAGAACAGAAATTATAACAAACTATCTCTCAGACCACAGTACAATCAAACTAGAACTCAGGATTAAGAATCTCACTCAAAACCGCTCAACTACATGGAAACTGAACAACTTGCTCCTGAATGACTACTGGGTACATAACGAAATGAAGGCAGAAATAAAGATGTTCTTTGAAACCAACGAGAACAAAGACACAACATACCAGAATCTCTGGGACGCATTCAAAGCAGTGTGTAGAGGGAAATTTATAGCACTAAATGCCCACAAGAGAAAGCAGAAAAGATCCAAAATTGACACCCTAACATCACAATTAAAAGAACTAGAAAAGCAAGAGCAACCACATTCAAAAGCTAGCACAAGGCAAGAAATAACTAAAATCAGAGCAGAACTGAAGGAAATAGAGACACAAAAAACCCTTCAAAAAATTAATGAATCCAGGAGGTGGTTTTTTGAAAGGATCAACAAAATTGATAGACCGCTAGCAAGACTAATAAAGAAAAAAAGAAGAATCAAATAGACGCAATAAAAAATGATAAAGGGGATGTCACCACCGATCCCACAGAAATACAAACTACCATCAGAGAATACCACAAACACCTCTACGCAAATAAACTAGAAAATCTAGAAGAAATGGATAAATTCCTCAACACATACACTCTCCCAAGACTAAACCAGGAAGAAGTTGAATCTCTGAATAGACCAATAACAGGAGCTGAAATTGTGGCAATAATCAATAGCTTACCAACCAAAAAGAGTCCAGGACCAGATGGATTCACAGCCGAATTCTACCAGAGGTACAAGGAGGAACTGGTACCATTCCTTCTGAAACTATTCCAATCAATAGAAAAAGAGGGAATCCTCCCTAACTCATTTTATGAGGCCAGCATCATTCTGATACCAAAGCCAGGCAGAGACACAACCAAAAAAGAGAATTTTAGACCAATATCCTTGATGAACATTGATGCAAAAATCCTAAATAAAATACTGGCAAAACGAATCCAGCAGCACATCAAAAAGCTTATCCACCATGATCAAGTGGGCTTCATCCCTGGGATGCAAGGCTGGTTCAATATACGCAAATCAATAAATGTAATCCAGCATATAAACAGAGCCAAAGACAAAAACCACATGATTATCTTAATAGATGCAGAAAAAGCCTTTGACAAAATTCAACAACCCTTCATGCTAAAAACTCTCAATAAATTAGGTATTGATGGGATGTATTTCAAAATAATAAGAGCTATCTATGACAAACCCACAGCCAATATCATACTGAATGGGCAAAAACTGGAAGCATTCCCTTTGAAAACTGGCACAAGACAGGGATGCCTTCTCTCACCACTCCTATTCAACATAGTGTTGGAAGTTCTGGCCAGGGCAATCAGGCAGGAGAAGGAAATAAAGGGTATTCAATTAGGAAAAGAGGAAGTCAAATTGTCCCTGTTTGCAGACGACATGATTGTATATCTAGAAAAGCCCATTGTCTCAGCCCAAAATCTCCTTAAGCTGATAAGCAACTTCAGCAAAGTCTCAGGATACAAAATCAATGTACAAAAATCACAAGCATTCTTATACACCAGTAACAGACAAACAGAGAGCCAAATCATGAGTGAACTCCCATTCACAATTGCTTCAAAGAGAATAAAATACCTAGGAATCCAACTTACAAGGGATGTGAAGGACCTCTTCAAGGAGAACTACAATCCACTGCTCAAGGAAATAAAAGAGGATACAAACAAAGGGAAGAACATTCCATGCTCATGGGTAGGAAGAATCAATATCGTGAAAATGGCCATACTGCCCAAGGTAATTTACAGATTCAATGCCATCCCCATCAAGCTACCAATGACTTTCTTCACAGAATTGGAAAAAACGACTTTAAAGTTCATATGGAACCAAAAAAGAGCCCGCATCACCAAGTCAATCCTAAGCCAAAAGAACAAAGCTGGAGGCATCACACTACCTGACTTCAAACTATAGTACAAGGCTACAGTAACCAAAACAGCATGGTACTGGTACCAAAACAGAGATACAGATCAATGGAACAGAACAGAGCCCTCAGAAATAACGCCGCATATCTACAACTATGTGATCTTTGACAAACCTGAGAAAAACAAGCAATGGGGAAAGGATTCCCTATTTAATAAATGGTGCTGGGAAAACTGGCTAGCCATATGTAGAAAGCTGAAACTGGATCCCTTCCTTACACCTTATACAAAAATCAATTCAAGATGGATTAAAGACTTAAACGTTAGACCTAAAACCATAAAAACCCTAGAAGAAAACCTAGGCATTACCATTCAGGACATAGGCATGGGCAAGGACTTCATGTCTAAAACACCAAAAGCAATGACAACAAAAGCCAAAATTGACAAATGGGATCTAATTAAACTAAAGAGCTTCTGCACAGCAAAAGAGATTACCATCAGAGTGAACAGGCAACCTACAAAATGGGAGAAAATTTTTGCAACCTACTCATCTGACAAAGGGCTTGATATCCAGAATCTACAATGAAGTCAAACAAATTTACAAGAAAAAAACAAACAACCCCATCAAAAAGTGGGCGAAGGACATGAACAGACACTTCTCAAAAGAAGACATTTATGCAGCCAAAAAACACATGAAAAAATGCTCATCATCACTGGCCATCAGAGAAATGCAAATGAAAACCACAATGCGATACCATCTCACACCAGTTAGAATGGCAATCATTAAAAAGTCAGGAAACAACAGGTGCTGGAGAGGATGTGGAGAAATAGGAACACTTTTACACTGTTGGTGGGACTGTAAACTAGTTCAACCATTGTGGAAGTCAGTGTGGCGATTCCTCAAGGATCTAGAACTGGAAATACCAATTGACCCAGCCATCCCATTACTGGGTATATACCCAAAGGACTATAAATCATGCTGCTATAAAGACACATGCACACGTATGTTTATTGCGGCATTATTCACAATAGCAAAGACTTGGAACCAACCCAAATGTCCAACAATGATAGACTGGATTAAGAAAATGTGGCACATATACACCATGGAATACTATGCAGCCATAAAAAATGATGAGTTCATCTCCTTTGTAGGGACATGGATGAAATTGGAAATCATCATTCTCAGTAAACTATCGCAAGAACTAAAAACCAAACACCACATATTCTCACTCATAGGTGGGAATTGAACAATGAGATCACATGGACACAGGAAGGGGAATATCACACTCTGGGGACTGTGGTGGGGTGGGGGGAGGGGGGAGGGATAGCATTGGGAGATATACCTAATGCTAGATGACGAGTTAGTGGGCGCAGCGCACCAGCATGGCACATGTATACATATGTAACTAACCTGCACAATGTGCACATGTACCCTAAAATTTAAGTATAATAAAAAAAAAGAAAAAAGAAAAATGTTGAGATTAAATGCGATGAGACGAATTGAGATGATATGAAATAATGAAACTAGGTGAAATAATGAAATGAGATGAAACGAAATAATGAAATGAAATTGAAATGAGATGAGAAGAAATGAGATGAAATGTTGAAATGAAAGGAAGAAATGATGAGATGAGATGAAATGATGAGATGAAATGAGATGAAAAATTATGAGATGAAAATATGAGATGAAATGAGATGATATGAAATGACATAATGAGATAAATGAGATTAGATGAAATGAAATAGTGAAATGAAATGATGAAATGATGAAAATGAAATGGAGATGAGATTTGATGAAATGATGAGATGATATGATGAGATGGGATGGGATGAGATAAAATGATGAGATGAAATGATGAGATGATGAGATGAAATGATGAGGTGAAGTGATGCACTGTCACGTGTGTGTCTATTCTTTTTCCCAACCAACAAAAATTATAATTCATTAATTTTAATTTTATTTAACAATACTCTTAAGAGTTGAAGGAAAAATATTATCTACATTATGGGTTACAATCTAAGTATAAATAATACATAAATATATTAAAACTTATAAAGAATATGTTTTGGAATCGAATATACCATGCTTCTGTGATGACAGTTATTTCATGCTGGTTGTCACAATTTTACGTGAAAAACTAATGAAAAAATGTTTTTAACTGTTTCTAAAAATAAGTTTCCAAAACAGTTTTACATTCGAAATATGAAAAAGATGTCTTTGTGTTCCTTAATCTGATGAGATTTTCACACTCTGCACATGATAATTGTTAGATTTTTATTGTGTTGATAAATTGTATATCAAATAAAAAATGTTATTACCTCTTAAATTAGGATTTTTAGGTGATATAGGCAGAAAGGAAGGCAAGTTTTTATAACTTTGTCTAAATGAACTTTCTAAATGCCTGAGTATGAAAAGATAGCATGTCTATAAATCACAATGTATATATTACTGTATGACCTAGGACCAATCAAAACTGTTATCTCTGATAACATTATATTGTGCCCAATATAAAATAGATATAATAATACCTCAAACTTCAATCTAGGCATTGTCATTGAATATCTTAAGAATATGCAGCAAAGGTGCTTTTAAAAATACAAGCTAGTGATTGTACTAAATTTGTAAATCACATAGGATAGTGGGTCATTTTAAGAATATTAGTTATTTCAATCTATAAACTTGGATGTCTTTCCTTTTTTGTGTTTTCTTTAATTTCTTTCATTAATATTTGTCATTTTTGTTGTCAAAATCTTTTACTTCCTTGGTTAAATTTATAAGTACATTTTTATAGCTATTGTAAAAGGATTTGCTTTCTTAATTTCTTGTTTCAGCTAGTTTACTATCAATATATAGAAATGCTACTGATTTAAACAGGGACAATTTGACTGTCTCCTTTCCAATTCAGATGTCCTTTATTTCTTTCTCTCACCTAATTGTCCTGGCTAAGACTTTCACTATGTGAAATATGATTGGTGAGAATAGGCATCCTTTTCTTGTTCTAGTAAAATCTTTTTCTTGTTCACAGTAAAATCTTTCACCTTTTCCACACTCAGTATGATCTTAGTTGTAGATTTGTCCTTTATGTCCTTCTGTGTTAAGGCATATATTTTCTATACTAAATTGTTGAGAGGTTTTTTGTCATTCAAGAATATTTAATTTTGCCAAATGCTTTTATTGTGTTTATTAATTAAATCATATGGTTTTCAGTATATATCCAAAGAAAAGAAAATCAGTATATCAAAGAGTTAGCTGCACCCCCATGTTTATTACAGCACTATTCACAATAGCCAAGATATGGAATCGACAAAAGTGTCCATCAACAGATGAATGGATAAAGAAATGTGACATACATATATAATGGAATATTATTTAGTCATAATAAAGAACAAAATCCTGTTATTTGTGGCAACAAGAATGCAAGTGGAGGGCATTATGTTAGGTGAAATAAGCCTGGCATAGAAACATAAACACCACATAACTACGTGTACTCACTTATGTATGGAAGCTAAAATTTTTAATCTCATAGAAGTAGATAGTAGAGTTTTGGTTACCATATCCTGGAAAGAGTAGGAGAAAGAAGAGTATAAGAAAAATGTGGTTAATACATACAAAATTACAGCTGGAGAGAAGGAAGAAGTTCTAATTCTCTACAGCACTGTTGGGTGACTGTAGTTAATGGGAATTTATTGTGTGTTTTCAAATAACTAAAATAAAAGATTTTGAATATTCTCACTGCAAAGAAATAATACATGATTTAGGTAATGGATATGATAATGACTCTGACTTGATCTTTACGCATTGCATAAATATATCAAAATATCACTCTGTACCCCATAACATGTACATTTATTATATGTCAATTAAAATAAATTTAAAAGACAAAAAATGAGGTAAAGGTAAATGTACAGAATTTAATTACTTTTTCTTCTATAAAACCCGAGTCAGTACCAAGAAGAGTCAATTTATTAGTTTTCTAAAATAAAAAAAAATCAAAATGACCAAAAAAGAGCAATATCCAAGAAAACATTGAAAATGAAACACAACATTTAGTAAGAATGGAAAACTTGGGCACTGTATCACCCTGTTCCTAGATACCGATTTACTGATGGCCATTTAAATAGAATTTTATTCTATCTAATTCATTTATACTCCCAGAGTTCGAAATTACATTTTACCTACAATAAATGAGATAACACCTGTAAATTATATGGTACTCTGCCTAACACACGTTAATAACTCAATACATGTTAGCAATAAACTTTTAGTATAGCAGTCAAAGTATTAATTTCTCACATTGCAATTTCCTTCAAAGACATGAATACAACCTTTCTAATGACTCCTTGTTTATCAAGATACCTCTTCAAATTATTCTATTTATTTCATTCAGTATATTATCTGTGTATACCGATATGATATTACACTTTTTTTTTTGAGATGGAATCTCATTCTGTTACTGATGCTGGAGTGAGGAGGCATGATCTCGGTTCACTGCAACCTCCACCTCCCAGGTTCAAGCGATTCTCCTGTCTCAGCCCCACGGGTAGCTAGGACTACAGGTGCACACCACCATGCCTGGCTAATTTTTGTATTTTTAGTACAGTCAGAGTTTCACCCTGTTGTCCAGGCTGGTCTCGAACTCCTGACCTCAGGTGATCCACCCACCATGGCCTCCCAAAGTGCTGGGATTACAGGCATAAGCCACCGCACCCAGCCTGATATTGCACTCTTGGATTTTGAACACTGAATATCTTTTTGAAAGATTACACCTCTTTACCTCTTTGTGCTTCAGAAATTATTTTCCTTCAAGTGTTCTAAGAGTCTAATGAAGAATGAAGTCATGTTTTATCACTTTTGTCCTTAAAGATTTCAGACATGCTGAAACTGATTGAAGTATAATTTGCTACCAGATAGATTAATTATCTCTAGTTGTAGGAGTGGATACATCTTTAATGGTATATCTTGGGTTATTGTCTTATTTTTGATGCAGTATTCTATAAATAATTTATTAAACCTGGCATCCTTGGGTGAGCATAGATTTTTCAACTTTGGTGTTATATTGTGTTTGCTTTTAAAAACTGCTTTTGAGGCCAGGTATGGTGGCTCTTGCCCATACCTAGCACTTTGGGAGGCCAAGGTGGGCGGATTACCTCAGGTCAGGAGTTCAAGACCAGCCTGGTCAACATGGCAAAACCATGTCTCTACTAAAAACACAAAATTAGCCAGGCATGGTGGTGCATGCTTGTAGTCCTAACCTCTCGAGAGGCTGAGGCAAGAGAATCACCTGAACCTGGGAGGCAAAAGTTGCTAGGTTGCTGTGAGCCAAGTTCGCACCATTGCACTCCAGCCTGGGTGAAAAGAGCAAAACTCTTTCTCAAAAAAAAAAAAAAAAAAACCCACCAAAAACTGCTTTTGAATGGAGTTGTACATACAATTTTGATGAAAAAAATTATCAAGTGCATAAGTGCATAATAGAAAAACCAATAATACTCCAAGCACAAGTTAGTACTAAAAAAAATATGTTGAGTATTCTCTACTACAACTTGCTTTTTCCCTTCATGAACAATTTGTGTTTTACTGAGAAGACTCATTGTTTATGGTAGACATTAGACTACAGATGAATATGTACTTTAAACACTCTTAGTTGCTTTCTTAATTTTATATCTGCTGCTTTATGCTTCTGTTTATTTTCATTCTTTCCAATGTCTACCTTCTAGTAAATTTGAATATTTTAATCCGAGTTTATATACTATTTAATATTGCTTGTATAGTTTAGTATTTTTAAGACTCAAAAAGTTTTACAGAAAGAAGAAAAAGATCAACATGTTATTAATCATTTAAAGATCATTTTAAAATCTTTGACCTTTCTATTTTAATGAATAAAATGTTAGTAGTTATTAGTATAAAATAATTTATGTCTTTTGGACTTAGCATCCAGTATTTCTTTTTTAATAAAGAAAATAATATTCTCTTGCAATATACTATGTTTATCTGGGTTTTGAAAAATGATGTTTCCTAATATGAGAAAGCCATTTACATTTTTAAATCTACAAAGGCAAATGGAATGGTACTAAATTATTTACATAATAATGTTTAGATGGTGGCCCTTATTAACATTCTTTCTATACTTCCTACAGAGTTGGGGATATGCAATCCTAGAATATTTCTGGGAGCTAATCCTTTATCTTGATGAATGAAACAAGACTTTTAAATAAAATTAAACTTTCAAATTTTCCAGGTAATGGGCCTGTCTTTTAATTCAATGGATATGGAGCATAATGAATTATCCCCTGTTCATTGGGTAATAAGTTCTCATTCTTATAATACTCAAAATGTCCTTTAATTTTTAATTTTTGATAGTCATATCATTATCCCTAGGTATTTTAGCTTCTATCTTAAATTCTAAAATGATTTTGAAACAGGAGAAAGTATTCTTTATTACTATATGTATTAAACATCATGGTTTTCAAATTTAACTGCAAATGTATCTTTTCATTGCTTCTTGATGACGCCCTTCACCCTATCCATATTATCACTACCAAGTGGTGATTACTTTTCAGGTTCACATACTTATTCTTTAGAAAAATCTTGTCTGTGCCTTATAAAGAATATGATTGTTGGCATTCAAAAGCCAGTGAAGTATACATTATTAGCCTGTTGCCTAACTCATTTCTTTAAGAAACTACACTAATTACCCACATACTTATGTTTTTATTTCCTCATTATTTCTGGAGGAAACAAATACTGCTAACATGATATTTGTAAGACAGAAAAAAGTCTTTTCTTGAAAAGTGCTGTCATTGTAGTACTAACTTATAGTATCAACTTCTTTATCAACTCCTTATGCGCTTTTTATTCTGAGAGAAATAAAAAAGCTAAAAGTGAAATGACTTTTTTTACTGTCCATATTATAAGCACCCATCTTGGTAATTTAGGGTCTTTATAGTTAGGGTAAGTTGTGTCATACCGAGGTTACAAAATGAAAAGTATTTCGTCTCTTTGGGCCTTTCTTTATTCAGTAATACTGTCAGTTTGGCTTTTTTTGTAGGTCAACTTATTGAACTCAGTATTCTGAAATAATATGTTTACTATCTTTTGATAAGCATTTAAAATATTAGATTTATTGTTATTCTTCTGACTTTATTGGGCTGGAAGAATAATTGTTTCACTCCATAAAAGCCAAGTTGCGGAGAAAAACACATAGACATTCAACTGCAAAGCAGAGAAACTTGACTATTTTCTGCAATTTTAAAGTGTATATTGAATAAAACCATCTTTTTATTTTCTTTTTTGCTCACTGGCAAATATTAACAACATCAAGTGTATTATTATAATGTTATCTAGTTAAAAATCTCAAAAAGTTTTCATAATTACCATTTTAAAATATATAAATAGGGGACCTAATGTTAATTTTTATTGTCTGAGACCATGTCTGTTATTTCACTCTTTAAATTCAGTTAGTAATGCAGAACCTAGCACTTAGTAGATACTCAAAAATTATTTGCTGAATAAAAAAAGGTTAAACGTAATATATACAAAATGTACTGGAAAAAATGCACCAAACAATTTTGTTATACCAGTTTAATGTAAATATTGCCTTTAAAAGATAATATAGTTTTCAGGTGTCTACAGTGATTTTGTAATATTTGTGCACATATAAAATAATATTTCCAAAAATGTAATCCAGTGGGGAAATATACTTTCTAAATTCTAGATTTATAATTTAGGGTTTAAATTATAAAATCATTAAATAAGACACAAGTGAAATATAGTCAAATATCCCCTTGGAAAAAAATTAAGTGGCCTCTAAAGTGAGGTATTAATATATGTAATTTTACAATCCACTAGTGATAGAAGTAATTAAATATGCCACCAAATTGATTAACTCCTACAGTGTTAAAAGAGAAGCACTAACAATGCCAGTGAACATGTAACATGGATTTAAGCTACAAGTCATAGAAATGTGATGAGAAGCCTCAGCGCTGTAAAACAGAGGGTGGAGGAAAGATTTTCCTCTCTCAAATGAGCTTTGTGAGGTATACTTTTTGAAGGATAGGAAGTTGAAGTGTTCAGGACTTTTATGACTATTCTACTTTGGCTTAGTTTACATGATTCTTAGTTTATTAGCCTAGAAATGGCCAAGAAAACTTAAGGTTCAATAATTAGTTATAAATATGAAATAGCCCCAATTTTAAGATAAAAACAACTTATAAATGTATTTGTCTGTAAAAATTGTGTATATTTTTACAGAACATCTATTTCTTTCTTTTTTTATTTTCTTGTATTTTTTTATTATACTTTAAATTCTAGGGTACACATGCACAATGTGCAGGTTTGTTACATATGTATATATGTGCCATGTTGGTGTGCTGCACCCATTAACTCATTTATATTAGGCATATCTCCTAATGCTATCCCTCCCCCCTCCCCCCTCCCCCCACCCCACAACAGGCCCTGGTGTGTGATGTTCCCCTTCCTGTGTCCAAGTGTTCTCATTGTTCAATTCCCACCTATGAGTGAGAACATGCGGTGTTTGGTTTTTTGTCCTTGCGATAGTTTGCTGAGAATGATGATTTACAGCTTCATCCATGTCCCTACAAAGGACATGAACTCATCATTTTTTATGGATGCATAGTATTCCATGGTGTATATGTGCCACATTTTCTTCATCCAGTCTATCATTGTTGGACATTTGGGTTGGTTCCAAGTCTTTGCTATTGTGAATAGTGCCACAATACGTGTGCATGTGTCTTTATAGCAGCACGATTTATAATCCTTTGGGTATATACCCAGTAGTGGGATGGCTGGGTCAAATGGTATTTCTAGTTCTAGATCCCTGAGGAATGGCCACACTGTCTTCCACAGTGGTTGAACTAGTTTACAGTCCCACCAACAGTGTGAAAGTGTTCCTATTTCTCCACATCCTCTCCAGCACCTGTTGTTTCCTGACCTTTTAATGATCACCATTCTAACTGGTGTGAGATGGTATCTCATTGTGGTTTTGATTTACATTTCTCTGATGGGTCTATTTCTTTAAAACAAAAGGAGGGGAGTCTCTCATTTACATTAGTTTTTTTCATAGCCTTTTGAACTTTGCAATTTCTATGTTTCAGAACCTATTTCTTACAGTTTTTCTATGCTAAACTCTGTCCTAGTCAGTTCTAGAGTGTATGAAGAACCAAATGATGTAATTGTATGCGACCTGGCTGTAGTGGAACAAATTTGACTCTAAAGTATGCAGGCTCTAATTTTCCTGTCTGGTTTTGGTAAGTATTCCTTACATAGGTTTTTTCTTTGAAAATCTGGGATTGAGAGGTTGATGAATGAAAATTAATCCTTTCACTTTGTTGTATGTAGGTTTGCAATAATTAGCTCAGAGTGGAGTTTTAAGGTCATGGAGGGGTCTGATGACTTACAAATAATGGGCTCTGATTGGGCAACTACTCATCTGAGTTCCTTCCATTTGACCTAATTAAGCTTGTGAAATTTACACTAAGCCATGAGCTCATCTTTAAAAAGTTTTATTAAAAGATTTTCAGCTGTTCCAAATGGGACCTATTAGTGGAATGTGTTTTAAAGGATCATATCAGATGAATGAAAGGTATTTGATCCTTCGTTTCCTTAATAATAAAATGATGGTTTGGAAAAATAGGCTGCAGTCTAACCACAGTGCTATTATTAGGCTTTCTTGTTAAACATAGGTCTAAGCCTAAGTATGTCAATAGAACAAATACTTACTGTTTCATTTCTAGTAATGAAAAAAAAAAAAAAAACAAGTCTTCTGGCATAAGGATGATTTTCATCTGGTCATTTTGAAACATTTTTGTAAAATAAATTTACATCTATAAAGAACATTTTTATTTGTAAGGAGGGGTATGTCTCTGTGCACTGGAAGAGAGGGAGGACTAAATCACTGGGAAGTCTTATGATAAAGAAGCCATTGGCTTAAATCAGCAAAGCAAGCCATCCCTTGGTTTAAGGTGTTTTTCCTGGCCATCCTGTCTTGACTAGAACTTTACCTACACCTTCCTTTTTGGTTTAGGCAAATTATAGTATCTAAAACTGAAGTCTCAGCTCTGTGTCTTTGAGATATAAATGTTCTACCATGTCTTCTCTGGAACCTGATAACTATCTATCTCTTTAAAATGCAAGTCTAGGGAGATGACTCATCAGAAAAAGAAGAAAAAAGAGGTATTTGGAAATTGTGCAAATTAAAGCAGCCCCTGATGCCAAAGTCTACACATTCCTGAGTGAGTCAGTTCTGGCCAGTTCTAGCTGGGTCAAGAGACCTCTGCCGTGCAGGCCTGAAGAGCACCTGGATGGCAGACACCTGAGGAGCCAGGTGCCTGAAACTTCCTCCACCTGCTTGAGGTGCGCCAAAGCCCAGGTGCTGGCTGGACAACCCCTTCTGGCTGCCTAAGCAGATGGCAGAAGAAGGAAACAAGGTCAGAGGCAGAGTGTTGAACCCTGCCTCCCAGGTGGGTGGAAGATGCCTGTCACCAAACTAGGGCCCAGCTTGCTGGGTGAGATGGGTGAACTGGTGATCCCCCGAGAGAGTGGACGTCAGAACTACGTGTTCCTGGACTTCACCTCAGCCAGCGAAGGAAAGAGAGGGTTAATGTTAACTGCACGAGGCCCACTCTAGCCTTAAATTCTGTAATTCAAACCTTTCCCTTGGAGACAAAACAAACATGAAAAGGAATTCTGAGGTCAGGGGACAAGAATCACAAGTTCCCTAGTGGGAGACTGAGGAGGCAGTGTCCTTCCTGCTCTTGGTCTACTGGCTAAGAACCTTCCTCAGCCTGACCTTTGCACATTGCACTTTCAGCTCTGTTTGCAATTTTCCTCCTTTAGTGCTGAGGGAATCCCAGTGTTCGATCCTGAAATCTATCGGTTCCTAATGGGTGGTTAAAAAAAACCTCAGCGAGAGAAGCAGAAAATGTTTCCTCTTCCTGAAAAACTGTAGAAAGGCAGGCACCATTCTGGGTGAGGACATGGTCCTTGCAAATGTCTTTGTGTTTTTTTTTTTTTTTTTTTTTTTGAGATGAAGTTTTGCTCTTGTTGCCCAGACTGGAGTGCAGTGGTGTGATCTCTGCTCATTGCAACCTCCGCCTCTTGGGTTCAAGCAGTTCTCCTACCTCAGCCTCCCAAGTAGCTGGAATTACAGGCACCTGCCACCACACCTGGCTAATTTTTTGTATTTTTAGTAGAGATGGGGTTTTACCATGTTGGCCATGTTGGTCTCGAACTCCTGACCTCAAGTGAGCCACCCGCTTCTGCCTCCCAAAGTGCTGGGATTACAGGAGTGAGCCACCGCATCCAGCCTGCAAACGTCTTTAAAGACAGCATGTTTCAGAGGCTGTGACAGTGCCCTGTGAACATGCCAATTCTCGCAGTCCCGGCAGCTCTGAGGAGCAGGCCCGGCTCCTTGCCAGGCTGATGGTACTGAAACTCTGCTCTCCAAGACATAACCTGATGGCCGTGCAAGATTTCTTAATCGACTGTGGACCGTGAGAGTCTGCATCTCATTTTAATTAAGATGGGAAAAGAAAGAACAAAAGAGCAACTCCAAGATTATAGAGAAACTGGATTTTAGTATAATATTCAAGTGTAGCATTGCTAATAATAACAAACCTTTCCCCTCCCAAACGGTAAGCACTTGCACTGCCTATTATACAAAAATTCAACCACCCTCTCTGTTCCCCCGATATCTCCTCCCCAGTGACCCCCCTCTCATGCGGCCTCATGAGCCTGGCCAGTGATGAATGGCACTTTCATCGGCATGAGACTCCACGTGAGTGGGACTCAGCTGGGACCCCTCTCCACGTGGGAGCTGGAGAAGCCACCCTAGTAGCAGCTTAAAGTGTCCGTGATGTCCCTGCTGCTGAGCTAGGGGCCGCCTCTGAGCTGGTCTCGGGGTGTGAGCTGCTGCTGGTAGTGGGCTCTGCCCTGAGGGCCTGGTGGCTGGTCAGAACGGCAGGCACACATGGGTGACTCCCCAGGAACTCAGGCCACCTCCCCACCACAGCCCTGCACCATGTGCTCCAGGCATGTGCTGAGTGCCTGGTCAATCACCAGTGCCCTATTGATCCCAGTCTCCAGAGAGATCATTTAGTGTCACTCCACAGAGGGGGAAACTGAGGCCCAGAGAAGTAAGGTGACTCTCCCCAGTCACAGGGCTGGTCAGCAGTAGGATGGGAGGCTGGTCCCTTGCTGTCTGACTCCCTGAGCCCACCCATATCCCAAGGCAGCCAACCTCTGCTCGCCCTGGTTCAGGCCCCGACTGGCCCCTGTGGTGGGTGATGTCTATCTTCCTGGCCTTTGTGCTCCCAGCCAACTGGGATGGAGCCTCCAGCTAGCATGACAGGTTGTAGCTATGGACAGAAGAGTGGCTGTGAGGCTGCCAGGAATCTCACCAGGGCCCCCTCCCAGGGCCTGTCCAGAGTGAGGTCTGGGTACCCCAGGCATTGCCAGACCACAGGATCTGATGTTGACCTGTTGACCAAGAGGCCATGGCCACAGGCTTTCTGAGGCTGGCCCCCAGGGAGAGTTCAATCCCACTATCCCAATTCCTGTCCTGGCCTTACCTCTCAGTCTCACCAAGCTGCTTCATGGTCCCAAACCATGACCCAAAGTGCTGCTTGGGCTCAAGGTTGTAATTATTTGCAGCCAACTGGAGCAGCAGACCTCCTTGCTTACTTTGAATTCCTGGGTCCAGAGGGGAAAACTGGGTGGTGACAGGGACTGGACAGGGATGCCACAGGGGCCCTGTGGGGGTGTTAGATCGGGTGGTGGCCAGTCTTTGCTCATAGGGGACCCCCTTCTCCTCTCCAGTCCTGTCCCCACCTGTTCTCAGAGCTGGCTCAAACAGCAGCTCCTCCAGGAAGGTGTCCTTGGTTTCAACCTGGTACTCCCACCTGCAGGTCTTCCTGGAGTGTCTCCTCTTTCTCTCTGTCTCCCCATAAATCTAAGACGAGGGGGATGGATTTGCCCACCGCTACTCACCGTATGACTCTTGTGAGGTTGATCAGTCTCCCCTGGAAGGCCAACAGCTGAAGTCCATCAGAAAGGGTCCTCTGGCCCAGAGCCAGCCCCTGCCCACCCCTGTCATGCTGCACCCAGGGTGCAAGCCCCAGATCAGGTCTGGGTGACAGGAGGGGTATAGAGGGGCTGAGGCTCAGGGGCCTTCTAGCCTAACTTGTCTGGAGACAGTTGGGGAAACTGAGACCCCAAGTAGGGAGGTATGGCTCCGAGAGATTATTCTCATTAACCTGGAACATTTTTGCAAGCTGTTAGGTATAGGAAGTCTGTCACAGGTAAGAGAAATGCTTTTTGAGAGCATGAGAGACAGCAGGGTTGTGACAATATTGAAACACTGCCGTGCAGATTCACCAATTGCCACCACCGGGAGCCCCCTGAGAGTCATTGCAGATGCACAGCCCTCCCCTGCAACCCCTGGACCTCCCCATGGTCTGGCATCTAAAGGGTTATGCCTCATGGCAGGAATCAGGGCCCTCAGGATGCCCTGCCCACTCCAAGGTCTGCCTCTGCTCTGATTGGTCACTGACATTCAGATTGTCACCCAAATATAAGGATGTTAGCAGAAAGACTCATTCAATACAAGTGGACTCAGACATAGATAGGAATTGAGTTGCAAAAAGCCCCTTTTGTTTCTTTTATTTTGGAAAAAACTTTTATTGTGAAATTCACATATATATATATATGGAAAAAACTGAATCAATGCAAAAGGATAGACAATGAACAAATGAATTCCCCTTCCACTCCAGATCCCCAACTCAGATCCAGACCTCCTGAGCCCACTTTCCCCATCTCATCACAGATCCAGACCTCCTGAGCCCACTTTCCCCATCTCATCACAGATCCAGACCTCCTGAGCCCACTTTCCCCATCTCATCACAGATCCAGACCTCCCCCACTTTCCCCATCTCATCACAGATCCAGACCTCCTGAGCCCACTTCCCCATCTCATCACCAGTGATTTCTTGGGCTCTGCATTAGTTTTCTATTGCTGCTGCAACAAACAGCTACAGACTCAGTGGCTTCCATTTCTGTCTTATAGTTCTGGTTGCCAAAAGTCCTAAGAGGATCTCACTGGGCTAAAGTCAAGGTGCTGGTGGGGCTATGTCCCTTCTGGAGGCTCAAGGGATGAATCAGGTCCCTGCGTTTTCTAGCTTCTAGGGGCTCCAGCTTCTGGGTTTGTGGCCTCCTTCCTCCATCCTCAAAGCCTGCAACAGCAGGTGAAGTCCTCGCCCATCGTGCATCACTCTCCCTTCTGCCTCCTTCAACTTTTTTTTTTATATTTAGGGGGAACGAGTATAGGATTCTTACATAGTCAAAAAGCTCCTTATAGAGAAGCTCAGAACTTTCAATACAGCTTTGCCTTTTTTGCCATTTAAATTTTCCATTTAATTTAAATGTATTCTCTCATTTGACCTTCATACTCTGTGGAGAAATATTCCTATTTTGGCTTGTATTGACAAGTTGTTTTCACACAGCCCCCACATCACCCAACCAACCAGCAGAGATCCTCCTTCCCAAGAAACAGATAAAGAAACTGAGGCCCAGGAAGGCTAAGAGTCCTGCCAGGATTATTCACCTTTCAAGGTAAGGAGCCAGTTCCAGACCTGGGTTTGTGCAGCTCCAAGCTCCCCCGTCTTTCTACAATGCTAGATTTAGACTAAAGCAATCTAGCAAGTGTGGCCACACAATGGTCAAGTTGGATTTAGATGATGTTCTCTATAAATCCATTCTCCTCTCCCGTGTAAGCAAGGCAAAGTACTCCAGGCCATGGGGAGTCCCTGAAGACTCGATGAACTGCAGTGGCCACATCAGGAGGTTGCAGGTTAACCAGAACTCACCGACACAGCAGGAGAGCAGCTTGGAACCTGCAACCTAGCCAAAACCTAGTGCCTTGGATTGGGGGAGAAAACATGCAGCCATTCCTCTCTCTCTGCTGGCTAGAGGGGATTCTGGCTTTTCCTGCCAGAGCCACCCCTTTCCCTCCTCCTAAAGTTGATGGTGGTTCTTTAAGGAAAGGGAGAAGTGCACGGTGTGATAGGGCAGGAAGAGAAGAAAACGGAGGAGAGGAGGGGACTTTCCCATAAGCAGGCAGAAGAAAAGGCAGCTGTGGTGTGTGATGGACATGGATGCAGTGGTGTCCAATGTGGGGTCAGCCCTAGAGGAGAGACAGAGAGAGAGACAGAAAAGTGAGAGAGTCCTGACCCTTATTATTAACATGGGATCTGCCTGCAAATGCTGTTTAGGGTCATCGCCTCTTCCTGTACTGCTATTTTTGAGAGTGATGCTCCTGAGCCCCACGACCCAGTCAAATTTGATGTCCCTTTGAGCCAGATTCAGTGCTGGGAGTCCAGTGTGATCTGCCTGGATCTTGCTGCATTGAGAACAGGCCAGATCTTGACCCCAATACAGGGGCTGGATATGAACAGGCAACAGCTGGGTTTCTGAGTCAGAAAGACTTGGTTAATTGCTAATTGCTTAGGCAAGTAATTTAATTTTTGTTGCGTCAGATTCCTCAGCTACAAAATGCACATGACAGTACTTATTCCTCCAGGTTGTGGGGAAAATGGAGATTCTAAGCACGATGTCCATTTCACAGAAAGATACCAATTTGGTGGCTTATTTCCTTTCTACCTTCAGAAGTGGCTATCCCTGCCACCCAAACAGACCCTTGACTCTCAAGTGGACGGGGTCCCATTTGCACAGGGGGAGACCTTACAGCCTACGTTGAGTCTATACTTACCACTTAGTGAGCATGGTATCCACTCAGGGGCCTCTGTGGGCATCTGTCTCCTCTGCAGCATCTTTCCTCCCCACTGCTGGGTCTGCACATGACCCCCTCCTTGGGTTAGGCCTCTGATCAGTGATGACCTTGGTATGGTGGTAATGGTCAGTCTTGGCATCAAATGAGCCAGTTTATATCATCAGCTATTCAATAAAATACTAATCTAGGTGTCACCTTGAAAGTATTTTGTGACATTGTTATGTACATATTGTTACAAATGTGCATGATGCATTTACTACAGCATAGAATTTTGCCTGGGTGCCACCCTGAAGTCTGTCCGACAGATCATAGCCATGTTAGTCCCACAGTCGTAGGGGCCAATTGATTAAATTATTTTATCTCCCTTGAGAACTAAAACTAAAATCCTAAGGCCCCCACCCATCTTAACAGACCCCCTGTTGGCCAATGGAACCTCAAATAAAACTTAAAATTCAGTTCTTGGCCATGACAGGACAGGAAGTCAGACATACCTCCCTGTACCTCCCTCCCTCTTATGGTTTAGACCCAACAACTGAACAGCATTAATGTTAAAATAGAGATCATGAGACTGACAGAACAGACTCTTTGTGGCAATAAGACCTCAAATTATAAACAGGACCTAGGGCCATGCCAGGCGAGGGTTAAGTCTTGTACCCTACTCTTAAAGAATTAACTAGATTCTAACTACCACATGGGTTTTATTTTTCTCTAGCAGCCAAGCAAGCACTGGCTGTGAGAGATGGCTGTGAGAGAAGATTAAAACAATTACAACTCACCCAGTTCACAGATGCTGAGTAACTGATCTCCTGCCCCACTAACCTTAACGACAGCTTTCTCTGGACAAGGGACTGATTTCAGTAACTTTCTCCTGATAAGAGACCATCCTCCATGGACTGGTTCTGGCCAGTTTTAGAGGCTGTGCCTTTACGAGGCTGAGTACCTTCATGTCCCTGCTTCACTTTTTGATGTGTAGGGCCTAATTATAATACATTTAAATGTCAAGTCTCCACCCCAGAATGAACATGCATGTTTATTGAATATGCATGTGTTAGGACCTCTTTTATGAGTATTCTCATAAAATGATATAGCTCCTCTGATATCCTATTGAGTATGTATATGTAGCCAACTCATTTGGCTCAAATTCCTGTCCTCTCCCTCCCTCCCTGGAAATGCCTGCCTCTGGCCTTGGCTGTAGGCCACACTTCCCAGCCTGTCATAATGGCCACCTTGCAGACTGCAAACCTTTATAAGAAATAAAGCTCTCTTTTCTAAATTTATAAAATTGTGTGATTTTTCAGTTGATGCTCTCTTTCTACACACACACACACACACACACACGCAATTTATACAGAAGGAAATCTGGAGAATATATGTGGGAATGGATATTGTGTGGCACCATGGTGAAAGTAACATAAAGTTGGATTAGGCTAAATTTATTAATGTTGGCCCACTAAACAGAGATTCTGGACTCAGAGTTGTAGGTCAAAGCTTTAGAAAGGGCTCCAAGGGTTGGTTTGATCGGTTACTTGGTTGGTTGCTTGCTTGGTTGGTGGTGCTTGCTTCCTTGCTTGGTTGTTTGGTTGGTTTGTTGCTTGCTTGCTTGTTGGTTGATTGGTTGGCTGTTTGTTTGGTGACTTGGTTGGTTGGCTGAAACAGAATCAGAGTTTACCTAAGGTACATAAAGTTGAGATGCCACAACTTCCTTGGTTTATGTGTACAGAAAGGTATGCAAAAACTCAGGGAGACTGGATTTATTATGTCAGACCTGCTCACTCACACTGAAGGGTCTACAGAACATACTCCTCACAACGATCATGAGAAAGAATATTGTGAGAGGAGCCCAGTATCCTGGAAGAGCTTTGAGCTTGTGCTCTCAGTAGGCAAAATGTTACAGCAGGAACTGCAGCCACTGGACTGGGATCTTTAAGTAAAATGAGGATAATTGAATCCTGGGGTGGCAGGGAACATGGGCTGTCCTTAATCACCAAAGATGAGGTGGGTGTGGTCACCACAGTGGAAAGCAGTGTCAAAGCAGCAGTCAGAATGATTTGACTCACAGACACCCATGGCATTGTGTAGTCCATGGTATCCACAGGGAGAGCTAATGGGCTGTACCAAAGTCTTAGTTGTTGTTTAAAAAATGAATAATTCTAGGTCAACTGAATAAAAGATTAACTCAAATTAATGAAACACAGATCTAAAACCCTCAATCAATTCCCAGACTTGAGCCAGTTCACAGGCCTACAACCCCTTAAGTGAAGGGGAGGCTGGGTGATCTTGGGGAAGTACGCTGCTACATTGCCAAAAATTTACATTGTTAATCTTTTCCCCAGTCTTCCCCAAAGGGACCTACAGCCTTCTGCCAGGATGACTGTGACTTAAAGAAAAGAAAATTCTCAGATATTTGGGGAATTACTGGACACTGGCTCTCATTTGACACTATTATCACTATGTTGCCTAGGATGGATTCATGCTTCTGGGTTCGAGCAGTCCTCCTACCTCAGCCTCCCAAAGTGCTGGGATTACAGACATGAGCCACTGTGGCCAGCAGAGCTTTGAAACTAGAACATGGAGGTCTAGTGGTAAATATTTGACAAGTCTGGGAAGAGATTGGGCCAAGGCAATGTTGATGATTCCTTTTTTTTTTTTTTTGCAACAGAGTCTCGCTCTGTTGTCTAGGCTGGAGTGCAATGGTGCAATCTCGGCTCACTGCAACCTCTGCCTCTGGGGTGCAAGCAATTCTCCTGCCTCAGCCTCCTGAGTAGCTGGGATTACAGGTGCCCACCGCCACACCAGGCTAATTTTTTATTTTTTTAATTTTTTTTGAGACAGAGTCTCACTCTATATCGCCCAGGCTGGAGTGCAGTGGCGCAATCTGGGCTCACTGCAAACCCCACCTCTCAGGTTCACACCATTCTCCTGCCTCAGCCTCACGAGTAGCTGGGACTACAGGTGCCTGCCACCGTGCCTGGCTAATTTTTTGTATTTTTAGTAGAGACAGGGTTTCACCGTGTTAGCCAGGATGGTCTTGATCTCCTGACCTCATGATCCACCCGCCTCAGCCTCCCACATTGCTGGGATTACAGGGATGAGCCACCATGCCCAGCCACACCAAGCTAATTTTTGTATTTTTTTTTAGTTGAGACAGGGTTTCACCATGTTGGCCAGGCTGGTCCCTGACCTTGTGATCCGCCCGCCTCGGCTTCCCAAAGTGCTGAGATGACAGGCGTGAGCCACCGTGCCTGGCCAATGTTGGTGATTCTAAACAGCAGCCGCTAATGTGAAAACCATCCAACTGGAAGACCTGGCCTTTCCCAGAGGACACAGTCTGGGTGGTGGGCAGAGACTTCAGCTGCCTTCCAAGGCAAGCAGCTCCTTGCTGCCTGCTTGCTGGGGATTTTACTTACAGGGCAGAAGCTGGCAAGTGATTTGGGGGCAGGAATTGCTTCCTGGATGGTATAGGATGAACCACACTCCCCAGGAAGACACTCATCCTGGTGGCCTAACAGAAGTAGCCCTCACCCCAAAAGGCAATGCTGCTCCACTAGTTTTATGGGGTGACTCCTTCCTGTAGGTTCCTTCCAGCTTTACCAGAAACACAGAACATCTTTCCTGACAGGGCATTGGTTTTGTTTTTGAACAGAGAGATCCTTCTTTTAAAAAGTTAGTTTTTTCTTTTTTTTTGTAATGGAATCAACCTAGGTCCTAAGCCTAGCAGGTTATTATTATTATTTTTATGATTATTTTTTGAGATGGAGTCCCACTCTGTGGCCCAGGCTGGAGGGCAGTGGCACGATCTCGGCTCACTGCAATGTCTGCCTCCTGGGTTCAAGAGATTCTCCTGCCTCAACCTACAGAAGAGCCGGGATTACAGGCGTGCACCACCATGCCCGGCTAATTTTTGTACTTTTAGTAGAGATAGGGTTTTGCCATGTTGGCCAGGCTGATCTCAAACTCCTGACCTCAGGTGATCCACCCACCTCAGCCTCCCAAACTGCTGAGAATACAGGTGTGAGCTGCCACACCCAGCCACAGGTTATTTTTGCTGATCTTCTCCCTCCTCCCACCCTCTACCCTCAAAGAAAATGTGGTACATCTACACCATGGAATACTACGCAACCCTGAAAAGGAACAAAATCATTTTTTTGTTTTTTTTGTTTGTTTGTTTTTGCAGCAACATGGATGTAGCTGGAGGCCATTATCTTTTTTAATTATTTTTATTATTTTTTATTTTTTCTATTCTACTTTAAGTTCTGGGGTATATGTGCAGAATGTGCAGGATTGTTACATAGATATACATGTGCCATAGCGGTTTGCTGCACCCATCAACCTGTCATCTACATTAGATATTTCTCATAATGCTGTCCCTTCCCCAGTCCCCCACCCCTGCAACAGGTCCCAGTGTGTGATGTTCCCCTCTCTGGGTCGATGTGTTCTCATTGTTCACTTCCCACTTATGAGTGAGAACATGCACTGTTTGGTTTTCTGTTCCTGTTTCACTTTGCTGAACATGAGGGTTTCCAGCTTCATCCATGTCCCTGCAAAGGACATGAACTCATCCTTTTTCATGGCTGCATAGTATTCCACAGTGTCTATGTGCTACATTTTGTTTATCCAGTCTATCACTGATGAGCATTTGGGTTGGTTCCACATCTTTGCTATTGTGAACAGTGTGGAGGCCATTATCTTAAGTAAATTAACAGAATGCTGCGTGTTCTCACTTATAAGTGGGAGCTAAATGTTGTGTATAGGTAGACACAGAGAAGGGAACAGATACTGGGTTCTAGTTAGGGGGAGAGAGGAAGGTAGAAGGACAAGAGTTGAAAAAACCAACTGTGGGGTATTATGCTCACTATCTGGGTGATGGGATCACTCATACCCCAGACCTCAGCATCACACATCATCCGCATGTAAGAAACCTGTACATGTACCTCCTGAATCCAAACTGCTCCACCATTTGCACCAGCAATTCCAAGACTGGGCATCTACCCAAAGGAAAAGAAGTCATTCTACCAAAAAGACACATGCATGGTAAAGTTCCTTTTTGTTTGTTTGTTTGTTTTTTGAGATGGAGTCTCGCTCTATTGCCCATGCTGGAGTGCAGTAGCAATCTCGGCTCACTGCAACCTCTGCCTCCTGGGTTAAAGTGATTATCCTGCCTCAGCCTCCTGAGCAGCTGGGATTACAGGCATGCGCCACCATGCCTGGCTAGTTTTTGTATTTTTAGTAGAGATAGGGTTTCACCATGTTGACCAGGCTGGTCTCGAACTCCTGACCTCAGGTGATCTGCCCACCTTGGCCCTCCAGAGTGCTGGGATTATAGTGCCCGGCCCTGTAAGGTTCGTCACAGCATGACTTACAATAGGAAAGTCATGGAATCAACCCAGTTGCCCATCAGTAGGGTACCGGATAAAGCAAAAGTGGTTCTTCTACAGCATCAAATACTACACAGCCATGAAAAAGAATAAAGTCACATCCTTTGCAGCCACATGGATGTAGCTGGAGGGCATTATGCTTAATGAATTAAGAACAGAAAATCAAATACCACATGTTCTTGACTGGATAAAGCAATTGTGGCCCTTCTACACCATAGAATACTGCACAACCATGAAAAAGAATAAAATCATGTCTTTGCAGCCACATGGATGCAGCTGAAGGGAATTATGCTTAGTGAATTAACACCAGGAAAAGAAAATCGAATACCACATGTTCTCCACTAGATAAAGCAAATGTGGTCTTTCTGCATCATGGAATACTACGCAGCCATGAAAAAGAATAATATCATGTCCTTTGCAGCCACATGGATGCAGCTGAAGGACATTATGCTTAGTGAATTAATGCCAGGAACAGAAAATGAAATACTACATGTCCTCAACTGGATAAAGCAAATGTGGCCCTTCTACACCACGGAATACTACACAGTGATGAAAAAAATAAAATCATGTCTTTGCAGCCACATGGATGCAGCCGGAGGGCATTATGCTTAGTGAATCAATACGAGGAACAGAAAATCAAATACCACATGTTGTGCACTAGATAAAGCAAATGTGGTCCTTCCGCATCATGGAATACTACACAGCCATAAACAAGAATAAAATCATGCCCTTTGCAGCAACATGGATGAAGCTGAAGGGCATTATGCTTAGTGAATTAATGCCAGACACAGAAAATCAAATACCACATGTTCTCAATTAGATAAAGCAAATGTGGTCCTTCCGCATCATGGAATACTACACAGCCATGAACAAGAATAAAATCATGCCCTTTGTAGTCACGTGGATGAAGTTGAAGGGCACTATGCTTAGTGAATTAACGCCAGGAACAGAAAATCAAATACCACATGTTCTCGCTTATAGGCGGGAGCTAAACATTGCCTGCACCTGGACACAATGAAGGGGCACCACAGACCCTCAGTACTAATAGAGCAGGAAGCAGGGGCGGGGGTACAAGGGTTGAAAAACTACCCTGAGATTCTTTGAATTTCCGGCAGAAAGCAGCAACTGGAGAGAGCTTTGGGTCACGGATTTTTCTGTTGCATTTTCTTGCTTGTTTGTTTTCTCTCTCGCTCTCTTTTTTTTTTTTTTTTTTTTTGAGATGGAGTCTCGCTCTGTGACCCAGGCTGGAGTGCAGTGGTGCAATCTCGGCTCCCTGCAACTTCTGCCTCCTGGATTCAAGCAATTCTTCTACCTCAGCCTCCCAAGTAGCTGGGACTACAGGCACCCACCACCACACCTGGCTAATTTTTGTATTTTTAGCAGAGACGGGGTTTCACCATGTTGGCCAGGCTGGTCTCGAACTCCTGACCTTAGGAGATCCACCTGCCTCGGCCTCCCAAAGTGCTGGGATTACAGGCATGAGCCACTGCGCCTGGCCTCTCTTCTTACATATTTCTAGAACTCCTCTAGAATTTGGGGTTTGTTTTTCTTAATTACAAGGAATCAAGTTGAATCATTAGTGCATATATAAATATACATTTTATTTTTAGTACACATTATATACCTCAGGAATGTACAATGCTCAGTGCCTGGGTGACGGGATGATTCATACCCCAAACCTCAGCAACGTACAATATCCTCAGGTCACAAAGCTGCCCGTGGATCCCCTGAATCTATAATAATAATAATAATAATAATAATAATAATAAAAATAAATAAAAAGTGACTTTGTCATTCGCAGGGAAATGCGAATGACATTCACTCTGCCTCTCAGGCCCTTGGATTCCCAAAGTTTGTTTTCATCACGCCCAGGGGACACTCAGAATCTCGTTTTCAGAACACGGGTTGTTTTTCTTAGAAACGCTTTGCAAAACAAAATAGGAAGCAAAATCTTTCTCACTCCTTCTGCTCCATAATAGACTAAATAAAATGAGGGGGCAGGAATCCAGAGACTTTGACCGCAGTTGGCAGATTTATTGTGGTACAGACATGAAGGCAAGCAGTGTTCTCTCTGATTCTACGAACCGTACAGCCCAGGCCGGCTGCCTTCTGCTTTCTGGATGGTGCAGGCGTGAGCTCCAAGCCCAAATTTCACCGGAGCTCCAGGAATCGAGCCTGGCCCAGGCACTCACTGCACGGGGGCCAAGCGTGAAACCAGTGATCGCTCCAGCAAGGTAACAGGACAGCTTGGTGATCCTTCTTGCCGGCCACAAAATGTTATAGCCAGAATTCCACCGAATGTGGTCTTTCTGTGTATCTCCCCAGACAGCGAAGATGGACAAACATGGGGGTGGTGGGTGGGGGGTGCTGACCTCAGTGGGGTGTCCTGGAGACGCAGGAACCAGGGTTTACAGGGTGCAGATCCTACTGAAGCAAATGGAAGTGGCATCCATGGGCAGAGCTGGCTGTAGCATCCCCCATCTGCCTGTGGTGTCACCAAATGTATCCAGAGACCGCTTGTAAACCTGGAGGGTGTGCTAACGTCAGTGGGGTGTCCTGGAGAGGCAGGAACCTGGGTTTCCAAGGTGCAGATCCTACTGAAGCAAATGGACGTCGCAACCGCGGGCAGAGCTGGCTGTGGTGTCCCCCCTTCTGCCTGGGGTGTCACCAGATTTCACCGAGAGACCCCTTCTAAACCTGGGGAGTGTGCTGACCTCAGTGGGGTGTCCTGGAGAGGCAGGAACCAGGGTTTACAGGATGCAGATCCTACTGAAGCAAATGGACGTGGCATCCTTGGGCAGAGCTGGCTGTGGCTGGCCTTCCGGCCTAGACGTCTCCCCCACTGCCTGGGGTGTCACCAGATGTACCCAGAGACCTCTCATCTGAAAGCTCATGCATGGGAAGCCTCCAGGTCTCCTCGGCAGGCAGCATCACGTCTGATTCAACTGCGTTATCAGGTAATGCAGGCCTGTTCTGCCTGTGTGCGTGAGTGCGTGGGTGCCATGTGGGATTGTGTGTGTTGATGTGGGTGTGGGTGTGTGCTTGCGTGGCTGTGTGTGCCTCTTTATGTGATGATGACTGTGTCTGTGAGTCTGTAAGACGTGTGTTTCCATGTGTGTTTCTGTGTGAGCGTGCATTCCTGTGTTTTATGGAAGTGTGTTTTTGTGATGGTGTTTGTGTGTGCCCCTGCATTTATTGTATTTGTGTGTTTGTGAATATGAGTGTATGTGTGTGAATCTGTATGCCAATGTATAAATTCTTTTTTGTTTTTTTGAGACAGAGTCTTGCTCTGTCACCCATACTGGAGTACGAAACATGATGAAACCCCATCTCTACTAAAAGTACAAAAATCAGCCGGGTGTTGTGGCTCAGGCCTGTAATCCCAGCTACTCGGGAGGCTGAGGCAGGAGAATTGCTTGAACCTGGGAGGCAGAGGTTGCAGTGAGCCAAGATCATACCGTTGCATTGCAGCCTGGGAGAGCCAGCCAGCCGGCCAAGCCAGCCAGCCAGCCAAGCCAGCGAAGCCAGCCAAGACGGCCAAGCCAGCCAGCAAGCCAAGCCACCCAGCCAGCCAGACAGCCAACCCAGCCAAGCCATCCAAGCCAGGCAAGGAAGCCAGCGAGCCAAGCCAGCCAAGCCAGCGAGGCAGTCACCAAGCCGGCCACGCCAGCCTGTCACCCAAGCCGGCCAAGCCAGCCAGCCATCTAAGCCAGACAAGCCACCCAGCCAGCCAACCAGCCAAGCCAGCCAGCCAGCCAAGCCACCCAGCCAGCCAAGCCAGCCAAGCCAGCCAGCCAGCCAAGTCAGCCAGGCCACCCAGCCAGTCAGGCCGGCCAAGCCACCCAGCCAGCCAGAAAGCCAACCCAGTCAAGCCAGCCAAGCCAGCCAATCCAGCCAAGGAAGCCAGCGAGCCAAGCCAGCCAAGACAGCTAGCCAGTCACCCAGCCAGCCAAGCCAGCCAAGCCAGCCAGCCAGAAAAGCCAACCAAGCAACCCCGCCAGCGAAGCCAGCCAAGCCACCCAGCAAGCCAAGCCAGCCAAGCCAGCCAAGCCAGCCAGCCAGCCAAGCCAGCCAAGCCAGCCAGCCAGCAAAGCCAGCCAAGCCAGCCAGGCCACCCAGCCAGCCAGCCAGCCAAGGCAGCCAAGCCAGCCAGCTAGGCCAGCCAGCCAGCCGGCCAAGCCAGCCAAGCCAGCCAGCCAGCCAAGCCAGGCAAGCCAGCCAAGCCAGCCAGCCAGCCAAGCCAGCCGGCCTACCAGCCAGCCAAGTGGCCAGAGAGCCAAGGCAGCCAAGTCAGCCAGCCACCCAAGCTAGGCAAGACACCCAGCCAGCCAAGCCAGCCAAGCCACCCAGCCAGCCAACAGCCAAGCCAGCCAGCCAGCCAAGCCACCCAAGACAGCCAGCCAGCCAAGCCAGCCAAGCCACCCAGCCGTCCAAGCCAGCCAAGCCACCCAGCCAGCCAACGAGCTAAGCCAGCCAGCCAAGCCAGCCAGCCAGCCAAGCCCGCCAAGCCACCCAGCCAGCCAAGCCAGCCAGCCAGCGAAGCCAGTCAAGCCAGCCGGCCTCCCAATCCAGCCAAGCCAGCAAGCCACCCAAGCCAGCCAAGCCAGCCAGCCACCTAAGCCAGCCAAGCCAGCCAGCCAGACAAGTAAGCCAGACAGCCATCCAGCCAAGCCTGTCAAGCCAGGCAGCCAGGCAAGGCAGCCAAGCCAGCCAGCCAGCCAAGCCAGCCAAGCCACCCAGCCACCCAAGGCAGCCAAGCTGCCCAAACAGCCAAGCCAGCAAAGCCACCCAGCCAACCAAGCCAGCCAGCCACCCAGCCAGCCAGGCCAGCCAGCCAGCCAGCCAGCCAGCCAAGCCAGCCAAGCCAGCCAGGCCACCCAGCCAGCCAGACAGCCAAGCCAGCCAAGCCAGCCAGCCAGTGAAGCCAGCCAAGCCAGCCAAGCCAGCCAGCCAGCCAAGACAGCCAAGCCAGCCAAGCCAGCCAAGCCAGCCAGCCAGCCAAGCCAGCCAAGCCAGCCAAGACAGCCAGCCAGCCAAGACAGCCAGCCAGCCAAGCCAGCCAAGCCAGCCAAGACAGCCAGCCAGCCAAGCCAGCCAGCCAGCCAAGCCAGCCAAGACAGCCAGCCAGCCAAGCCAGCCAGCCGGCCAAGCCAGCCAGCCAGCCAGCCAGCCAACCCAGCCTGTCAAGCCAGCCAGCCAAGCCAGCCAAGCCAGCCAGACAGCCAAGCCAGCCAAGCCAGGCAGCCAGCCACGTGAGCCAGCCAGCCAAGCCAGCCAGCTGGCCAAGACAGCCAAGCCACTCAGCCAGCCAAGCCAGCCCAGCCAGCCCAGCCACCCAGCCAGCCAAGCCACTCAGCCAGCCAAGCCAGCCCAGCCACCCAGCCAGCCAAGCCACCCTTCCAGCCAAGCCAGCCAAGAAAGCCTGCCAGCCAAGCCAGCCAAGCCAGCCAGCAAGCCAAGCCAGCCAAGCCAGCAAGCCAGCCAAGCCAACCGGCCAGCCAGCCAGCCAAGCCAGACAAGCCAGCCAGACAGCCAAGCCAGCCAAGCCAGGCAGCCAGCCAAGTGAGCCAGCCAGCCAAGCCAGCCAAGCCAGCCAAGCCACCCAGCCGGGCAAGCCAGCCAAGCCACACAGCCAGCCAAGCCAACCACGCCAGCCAGCAAGCCAAGCCAGCCAAGCCAGCCAGCCAACCAAGCCAGCCAAGCAAGCCACCCAGCCAAGCCAGCCAACCCAGAGAGCCAGCCAATCCAGCCTAGACAGCCAAGCAAGCCAGCCAGTCATGCCAGCCAAGCCAGCCAAGTCAGCCAGCCAGCCAAGCCAGCCAAGCCAGCCAGCCAGCCAGCCAGCCAATCCAGCCAGCCACCCAAGCCAGCCAAGCCACCCAGCCAGCCAGCCAGCCAAGCCAGCCAAGCCACTCAGCCAGGCAAGCCAGCCAAGCCACCCAGACAGCCAAGCCAGCCAAGCCAGCCAAAGAAGCCAGCGAGTCAAGCCAGCCAAGCCAGCCAGTCACCCAAGCCAGCCAAGCTAGCCAGTCACCAAAGCCAGCCAAGTCACCCAGCCAGGCAAGCCAGCCAAGCCACCCAGACAGCCAAGCCAGCCAAGCCAGCCAAAGAAGCCAGCGAGTCAAGCCAGCCAAGTCAGCCAGCCACCTAAGCCAGCCAAGCCAGCCAGCCACTCAAGCCAGCCAAGCCAGCCAGCCAGCCAAGCCAGCCAAGCCAGCCAGCCACTCAAGCCAGCCAAGCCAGCCAGCCAGACAAGCCAGCCAAGCCAGCCAACCAGCCAAGCCAGCCAAGCCAGCAAGCCAGCCAAGCCAGCCAAGCCAGCCAGACAGCCAAGCCAACCAAGCCAGCCAGGCCACCCAGCCAGCCAGCCAGCGAAGCCAGCCAAACCAGCCAGCAAGCCAAGCCAGCCAAGTCACCCAGCCAGCCAGACAAGCCAGCCAAGCCACCCAGCCAGCCAGCCAGCCAAGCCAGCCAAGCCACCCAGCCAGCCAAGCCAGCCAAGCCAGCCAGCCACTGAAGCCAGCCAAGCCACCCAGCCAGCCAAGCCAGCCAAGCCAGCCAACCAGCCAAGCGAGCCAAGCCAGCCAAGCCAGCCAGCCAACCAAGCCAGCCAAGTCAGCCAAGCCAGCCAAGCCAGCTAAGCCAGCCCGCCAATGAAGCCAGCCAAGCCAGCCAAGCCACCCGGCGAGCCAAGCCAGCCAAGCCACCCGGCAAGCCAAGCCAGCCCAGCCAGCCAAGCCAGCCAGCCAGCCAAGCCAGCCAAACCAGCCAAACCAGCCAGCCAGCCAAAGGCAACCAAGCCAGCCACCAAGCCAAGCCAGCCAGCCAGCCAGCCAACCAAGCCACCCAAGCCAGCCAGCCAGCCAAGCCACCCAAGCCAGCCAGCCAGCCAGCCAAGCCACCCAAGCCAGCCAGCCAGCCAAGCCACCCAAGCCAGCCAGCCAGCCAAGCCACACAAGCCAGCCAGCCAGCCAAGCCAGCCAAGCCACCCAGCCAGCCAAGCCACCCAGCCAGCCAAGCCAGCCAAGCCACCCAGCCAGCCAAGCTAGCCAAGCCACGCAGCCAGCCAAGGCAGCCAGCCACCCAGCTAGCCAAGCCAGCCAAGCCAGCCAGCCGACCAAGCCAGCCATTTGGCTAAACCACAGAAGCCAGCCAGCCAGCCAAGCCAGCCAAGCCAGCCAAGCCACCCAGGGAGCCAACCAGCCAAGCCAGCCAGCCAGCCAAGCCAGCCAAGCCACCCAGCCAGCCAGCCAGCCAAGCCCACCAAGCCACCCAGCCAGCCAAGCCAGCCAAGCCACCCAGTCAGCCAGCCAGCCAAGCCAGCCAAGCCAGCCAGCCAGATCCAGAGGCGTCCTTGGCCTGGGGACCGGGTGGATTTGACGCTTGCACAGGGAGAGATTGCCCCATGCAGATGAGCCATGTAGGGGGCTCGGGCCCTAGGGACCCAGCCTCTGGGCCAGGGGTTGGCCTGCCCAGGCCTGCTGGTGTCTCAGCTGGTGGCCGAGAGCCATAAGGCAGGCATTGTCCTCCACAAGGTCAGCTTTGCCGCTAACTTCCTGTTCTCGTTAATAACCTGATGCAAGGAATTCTATTGCAATTGTTTATGTGTCTCTCCGAGAAGGCTGTGAGCAACACAGTATCCCGAGCTCCTGGTCTGATGCCTGACACACAGTAGGTGTTTAATAAATGATTCTTCAGTGCATAAGTGAAAGAAAACATGGGTGAAGTTAGCATGGTCAGGACCATTGCAACTGCCTTCTGACTGGTCTCCTTGCTTCTCCTTAGTCTCCAGGCAGCAGTTGGAGTGATACAGTAATGGGAATCACCACACTCTTCCTTCTCTGGCCAGGTGCAGCCCCAGATTGGTGCTTCCAGGGAGCCCTTGATGCCTTGGTGAGGGGTGTGGGCTTGGAAGCTGGGCACTTACAGCTGTGGGTTGTTGCCACTGTTGGAGTAGCGGAGGCATCGAGCCCCCTCCCGATTTTCCAGCATGACTAGTGGTGACAATATTGGGTCTCAATGGGTCTCTCCTGCCTCCAGTCCAGTGCCCTTTTTTGGGGACCATTATTGGCTTTTGGGGACCCTGAAGGAGGAATGGCCTGATTATGCAATTTGGCTGGAGTGGAACGTCCCCATGACGACATGGCAATGAGTCTTCCCCAGCAGGCAGATGCCAGATGCAGTGGTGACCACACCTGCCATCTGGGAGGATTCCAGGTGAGTCCCTGGTGTGGGGACTGGGGTGGGCTCTCCATCCTCCTATCCCTGGGACAAGTGTGTGGGGGACAGCAGGGGCCACCAGGAGCCACGCTAGATGGGCCCAGCCTCACCAGGTCTACTCTGGGACCGGCTGGGCCCCAGGGGGGCTGTGATCTTTCACGGCCATGATGTTAGGAGAGAGACAAGGACCAAGGATGGTGATTCCTTCCCAAAGGGCCACAGCCATCCAGTAAGGCCGAGCAGGGAGGAGCTGAGAAAGGCAGCCTCCCTCCTTTCTGCCTCTCTCCACCATCAGCATCAGCTCTGTTGCCCAAGGTGGTCGCCCTCTGCAGGGGCTGGGGCTTGTAAGGCAACCCCCCCCACCCCCACCTGGCGGTGCTTGCTCTCCGATTCCTGGGACCTGCCTGACCTTGACTGCAGCAGGGTTTTATGAGTGGCCTCACCACTTTACCAATTGCTGTTGCCTTTTATTACTTCTCAGGGGCTTTATCTCAGCGGCCGCCTTACCTCCTGGCTAAATGAGGATTAATTTTTTAACAGGATTATGTGCTGTGGGTTAGCTGTACTCTCTGGGGACGGCCAGGCGCTCCGCTCCCTCTTAGCCCCTCCCTCTCCCCAGGCCCCCCTTGCTGGTTTGCTGGGAGCAGGGGCTACATGTGGGGGCCCCAGGAGCTGGGGGCTGCATCATTCCAGACTCTGGGATGGGGGTGGGGTGGCGAGGGCCAGACCTGGACTCTGGGTGGTGATGTCCTTGGGCAGGGCCTGCCCTGCAGGGTGAAGTTCCTTTAGAGGTTTCAGCCACTTCTTGAAGGACACCAGACTTGGCCACTGAGCAGCTGGGAGTGGGGAGAGATGGAGCAGGAGCAGGAGCAGGAGCAGGATCAGGGGGACATGGGGAGAGAGAGGATGGGGGCCACCTTGCCAAGCCCACCTGCCCCGGTATCTCAGAGCAGCACAGCCTGAACATGGCCAGCATCAGACTTTCTTGGTCCTTCTGGAACACAATTTCAATTTTCCACCAAAGTTTGATAAAGGTGAGCCTGTTCTCACCCCTCCTGTGTCTATCGCCTGGAGGACAAAACCCAGGATCCCACCTCCAGCTCTCCATGCCACCATCTCCTTCACAAACCAGAGGGAGGCCTCCTTCTTTGCCCATCAGGAAAGCCTCTGTGTCAGTCCAGGGTGGGCCTCCAGACACCAGTCTAGGGGGCTTCTCCCTGTTGCCCCAGGCAGAGCTGAGGCCCTTGTGGCTTCTCTTGTGATTCTTCTGTTGGGCCTCCTGTCCCCTCTGGAGTTATGAATTTGTGGGTGTGCTTACCTGCCTGCTGTGGGCCCCTGAAAGGGACATATTGATACTGCATTCATATCTAGGCGCGTGGGAGGTGCCAAGCCTGTTTATGGAAGGAGTGATGAATGGATGGCTGAATGAACAAATGAAGGGATGAATGCATGAGGGAGGAAGGGAGGAGGTCATTGGCTCCCTGAAGGGGCCCAGGGCTGACTTGTTCACAGCTCCCTCTTCCCTTGGCTGAGCCCAGGGCAGGCTGGCAGCTGTAGGCCTGGGATGTTGGCCCAGCAGCCTCGTGGGCAGCTGGGTTGATGGGGTGAGGTCCTGGCCAGAGGGGAAACTGTCCCTTTTCGGGTCTGGCTTCTCCTCCAGAGTTCCTGCTCTGCAGGTATGTGCAGACCTGGCTTAGCTGATGTAATGAATGACCACAAACTGAGTGGCTTCAAGCAGCAGTCATGCATTCTGGTGGCCTGGGCATCCTTGGCTTGTGGCTGCATCCCTCCTGCTCAGCCACCATTCTCAAGAGGCCTTCTCTGTGTCTGTCCCTATGACTCCTATAAGGACACCAGCCCTTGGATGTAGGGCCTGCCTGAATAACCCAGAATGACCTCATCTCCTCATCCTTCACTTAATTCCATCTGCAAAGGCCCTCCATCCAAAAAAGGCCGTATTCACACATTCTGGGAATTAGGACAGGGTCATATCTTTTGGGGGGACCACGCTTCAACCCATAAAATACCCATATGCTTGACGACCCACCTTCCTCCTCTCTAGGAGCCTCTGTGCTCACACCTAGAAATTCCGGGTGTGAGTCTATGCCCCTCTGTGACCATCCTGTGTCCTGGTTGTTTGTTTTTGTTTCTTGAGATGGAGTCTCACTCAGTCGCCCAGGCTAGAGTGCAGTGGCATGATCTTGGCTCACTGCCAGCTCCACCTCCCGGGTTCACACCATTCTCCTGCCTCAGCCTCCTGAGCAGCTGGCACTATAGATGCCTGCCACCACACTCGGCTAATTTTTTGTATTTTTAGTAGAGATGGGGCTTCACCGTGTTAGCCGATGGTCACAATCTCCTGATCTCATGATCCACCCGCCTCGGCCTCCCAAATTGCTGGGATTACAGGCATGAGCCACCGTGCCCGGCCTGTCCTGTGTTTTTTTTACATTTATTTTTTGAGACAGGATCTCACTCTGTCACCCAGGCTGGAGTACAGTGGTGAGATCGTGGCTCACTGTGTAGCCTCGACCTCCTGGGCTCAAGCCATCCTCCCATCTCAGCCTCCTGAGTAGCTGAGACCACAGGTGTGTACCACCACGCCCAGCTAATTTTTAAAATGTATTCGTAGAGACAGGGTCTCCCTATGTTGCTCAGGCTGGTCTTGTACTCCTAGGTTCAAGGGATCCTCCTGCCTCAGCCTCTCAAAATGTTGGGATTACAGGCATGCCTGGCGTGTCCCTTGTTTATTTGTTCATGTATACCACTCCTGGGTATACGCCCAAGAGAACTGGAAGCAGGGTCTCAAAGAGATACTTGCACACAGGTGTTCATAGCAGCTTATTCACAAAAGCAAAAATGTGGCAACAGGCCAGGCGTGGTGGCTCATGCCTGTAATCCCAGCATTTTGGGAGGCTGAGGAGGGTGGATCACCTGAGGCCAGGAGTTCGAGACCAGCCTGACCAATATGGTGAAACCCTGTCTCTACTAAAAATACAAAAATTAGCTGGGCATGATGGCAGGCGCCTGTAGTCCCAGCTACTCGTGAGGCTGAGGCAGAAGAATCACTTGAACCCAGGAGGCGGAGGTTGCAGTGAGCCGAGATGGCACCACTGCACTCCAGCCTGGGCAACATAGTGAGACTGTATCACAAAAAAAAAAAAAAAAAAAAAAAGGCATTTAGTATGCCTAACCGCCTGCCAGCTCAGCCCAGCTGACCTCAGATGTGCTCAAGACACTCCCATTAGCCTCTAGGTAGGCAAAATCAGCTCACACAAAGCTTTTTTTTTTTTTTTTTTTTTTTTTTCAGGCAGACTCTCACTCTGCTGCCCAGGCTAGAGTGCAGTGGTGTGATTATAGCTCACTGCAGCTTCAAACCCCTGGGCTTAAATGATCCTCCTACCTCAGCAACCCAAGAAGCTGGGACAACAGGTATGTGCCACCACGCCTGGCTAATTTAAAAAAAGGTTTGTTATGTTTTGTAGAAATGGGGTCTCGCCATGTTGCCAAGGCTGGTCTTGAACTCCTGGGCTCAAGCCATCCTCCTGCTTTGGTCTCCTAAAATGCTGGGATTACAGGCGTGAACCACTGTCCCCAGCTCATGAAGCTAGTTTTCTAATCAGGTGTTGATTTTCTTGTGCAATTTGTCGAATACTGTACTGAAAGTGAACATGGTTGTGTGGGACTTAAGTGCCGTTGCTACTGAGTTCTGGCCACATTCTTACCATCGTGGAGTCGGGGCCCGTCGGTGGAGCCATCCTAATAAGGCAGGGCCATCTGTGTAGGAATCTGCTGTTTGCAGAGATTTTTGTTGGTGATCACCAGGCTTGGACTCTGAGAACCTTGGAGGAACCCAGTGGGTAGCACACAATGCGGAGTGGGACGTTCACTGGACCAGGGAGGTCGGGCCGTGGTTAGGAACCTGGGGGAGGAAGAGCTGAGGGGGTTGGGGATCTGAGCTTTTCTCAGTGGCTCAGCCACGACCCTGGGCTACCCCTGCCCCAGGCCTCCCTCCTGTGCCTGTGAGCTGGGGATGATCATTAGTGTCCCCTCCCCCAGCATGTAGGGCTGTGCCAGGCACAAGGAGGAGGCTTGCGGCATTCCCACTGAGGACAGACTACCCGGGAAAGCACTCGGACAGCCTCAGGGAAGATGAGGGTGGGTCCAGGAGATGCCAAGGGCAGGCCCTTGGGCAGGTTTTTCAACAGTGCCTCTGCCCCACCACCCCTGTGCCCTTGCCTGTCACCACAGGGTCTCGGAGAGGAGAGCCATGTGGCTCAGCATGGCCAGGGGCAGGCTAGACTGTCCTGCTGCAGAGGACCCACTGGGGCCCAGTGGGACAGCCCTCCCCCTCCCCCTGGGACTCCATGGCCTGTGCTGTCCTCCTGCCCAAGAAGCTTCCCTCTGAGGCATCTCGGGTCCGGGTCCGTCCTGCTCACCCAGGGCCAGGAGCCCCCAGGAGGCCCACGGTAAGAAGGAGCGCAAGACATAAACAATTTCCCCCTCCTCTGCCGAAGGCTCTGGTGTCAGCGTGCTTTGCCTGCAGTGGCCTTTCCCCGGGGCAGCGAGGGCCTGAGTGGGCGCCTCCCCCAACGCCTCCTGGGTGTCAGCCCCAGACTGCCCCACGGCTCCACCCCTGTTCAGAGCCACTCAGCCCCTGGGAAAGGTGGCTGGGTCATGAGTTGGGGATATGAGGGGGATCAGTGCCTGCTAGTTGGTGCCAGAAAACCACCTTTGCTGGACTTGGCATTGAGGGTTGGCAAGGGGGCCTCGGAGACACTCTCCTCCCTCCTACCTGTACCCCCAGGGTACCCGTGGTCACTCAGTTCCTGACTGCCTGCTTTGGGTTGGGATCCCAGGACCCACCCTCTCCTGGCTTCTGCTGAGCCATGCCCTCCGCGGTGGGGGGGTCCCCTGCCTGATGCCACGGCCTTGCGAGTGTCACTCAGAGCCCCTGCTGCACGGAGCCGTGCTGTGGGTTTCTTTTCCTGTGTGGACCTGCAGAGAAGCTGCCTTGTCACTGTCCCCTCATTGCTGGGGTATAAATCCTCATTGTCACTATCTTCTTGGCCCTCTGCCACCAGCTGTGGACTCTGGGGACACTCAGGACTCAGGCCTGGAATTTTCCCCAAGGTTTTTCCTAGGTGCATTGGTGTAAACAGGGTCCCCTCTTGCCCCAGAGGCTGAGCTCCCATGGGCAGGGGGAGAGTGGGAGCAGTTGTCTGAGGGCCAGGCTGCGGGAACAGGGTCTGGGGTTTCCTGTGGAAATGCTGAAGAGTGCCCGCCCCTGCCCTGGCTCCGGCCAGCATCTGGTCACCCTGGCGGGCAGGGAGTGGCAGCTGCAGAACGCATGAAAGTGGTGGGTGGGGTGGGAGTGGCTGGTGCTGACTTTGTCCAAAGGCCAGAGGTGCGGTGGGGCCCCTGACACCATGTGGCTAAGGGCTTCTCCATTCACCAGGACTGTTCTCACAGAGTCTTTCCAGAGAGGCTGCAAAGGGCCTCTTATCTCCAAAAACGTCTATTTTATAGGCACCTGGATGTCTACTGTGTCCTGATACAGAGGAGAGGACATGCAATGGGAGATAACGTGGCTACCTTTGGCCATGTCGGGTGGATAAGAGATGGCCAACAGGTCACTGCAGGGCCTGCTCCCCCTTACTTACCCCATCAGGGGACAGGATCTCGTGTGTGTGTGTGTGTGTGTGTGTGTGTGTGTGTGTGTGTGTGTGTGTGTGTGTCAAGGAGGGGTATCCCTCTGGTGCAGTCCTTGATGGTTTCCTCACCTTGATGTTGGTCCCATGGCCATCGGTGTTGGCCTCACCATCACCACTTTCAGTCTCTGAACAGCAACAGGCTCCACTGAGCAGGTGCCCAGTGACACCTGGTGCGTTGGAGGGTGGGGCTGAGCCCTGGTGAGCCAGGACCTGCTGAAAGATCAGGGGGAAGAGAATAGACCCCCCTCCACCAGCCCTGGGGACCCACAAAGGAACATTCAGGCCGCCCCAGTTTGAGCCATGAGTTGTGTCCACGGCAGCCTCGCTTCCTTTGCTGGGCCTTGGCAGCGATAACGCCTGAATCTGTGCAGGTCTCAGGTGAGCCTTCTCCAGCTCAGCCTCTGTCGCCTCACAGGACGCCTCGGTTCCCGGGCATTGATTCAGCACCTGCTGTGTGAAGGGAAACCAGAGAGGCCAGTCCTTGCTCCTGAGGACTCAAGGGTCTGGATGTGGGGGGAAACCCACACCCCACAATGCTCCCAGACGATGGACGCAGCGCAAGGTCTAGGCTCACTCCAGGAATGTGGGGCACAGGGCCCAGAGCCCATTTGGATGAGGAGGCGCCGTGCCCTCCGTGGGCTGGAGGGACAGGGGGCCTTTGGTGGCCGGTGAAAGCGTTTTGCCAGCTGAGAATATTCTTTTTGCTGGCCGCGTCTAATCTGGTTTCTGGGGAAGATAGGAGGAGGCTACATCAGCAGATGCCTGTCACCATGGACTAAGAGCTGGCTCAGGGAATCCAATTCCAGCTCAGAACCCGGGGCCCAAGGAGCCGCTTGAGGCTGTGGCTCTGTCTCTTTTTGGACTCGAGGGACTCTGACCATGGTTGTGGACTCTCCCTAGAAAACATGCACACATAGCAATTTGCTGACCTGTCCTGGGAGCTCAAGGGAGGCCCAAGGCAGTGGGGCTGGGGGGCAGGGAGCAGAGGGGCAGGGTCGGGGCCAGGGGAAAGAGAGAGCATGGGGGGGGCGGTCCTGTCCCCTTGAGGCTGCCATGCAGGGGCTGGCTGCATTCCAAAGCTGGAGGAACAGCTCTGCCTTGCAGGGAATTAGCACAGTCTGCCTGTCCGGCTGCTTCACCATGGGTTGCCCCCGTGCCATTGAGGATGGTGATGGGGGAGGAAGGGTGGTGATGAGGGAGGGAGGGTCTTGATGTACCACCTGCCCCCAGATGGCCAAGGTGACCCTCCCCAGCGTCCCCAAGCTTCGCAGGCATGTAGGGGAGCCTCGGAGGGCACATCTGTTTGCTGTTCCTGCTGTTACACGTGACCACAAACTTAGTGGTCTAAAACAATGCAAATGTATTTATTTTTTCCTCTTTTTTCCCCCATGTAGGACAGGTAATGTGCCACTGTTCTAAAGAGGTTGCACGTCCCACGCAAGAGTGTGAAAACCCCCTCATCACACATATCAGCCACAGAAGGATCAAAACAATGCCAATTTATTATTTTAGAGTTCTGGGGGTCAGAAGTCCCACGGGGCCGCACTGGGCTAAAGCCACGGTGTCAGCAGGGCTGGCTCCTTCTGGAGGCTGGGGGCAGATGCATCTCCTGGCCTTTCCCGGCTTCTGAAGGCCACCACGTTCTGGGCCTCAGTCCCAGGCTGGGGCATCACCACACCCACTGCTTTTGCACCAGGTCTGCTCTCACCCCCGCCTCTCGCTCACAGGGGCCCTTGTCATGCCACTGGGTTCACCTGCATGATGCCGGGGAGCCTCCCATCGCAGGACCCTCGGTCACACTGGCAATGTCCCTTTTGCCATGAAAAGTAGCCCATTCACAGTCCCGGGATTAGGATGTGGGCCTTTTGGGGGGCACCATTCTGCCCACTGTGGAGGGTGTGCAGGAGTGACCAGACCTCAGGGAGGCTCTCAAATTGACCTCATCCCCAGCACAAAGTCCAGGAGGGATGGCATGAGGTGTCCAGGATGCTGGAGCTTGGTGGGGGCTGGACAGGGACTCTGCTCAGGCACCCAGCCCCAGTGTGAGGGGCCCATGGCTGCGGGCGCAGGAGCCACAAGGGAGAAATGATGGCCCCATAGACTTTCCTTCCCCAAACTCGGATCCCCTGAAACAGAGAGGTGAGGCTTAGGGGTGAAGGGCGAGCAACTTCTGCAATAAGATTTCCATGATGCCTGACCATGTCTGTAAGAGAAAGGCTATGTCTTTCTTTATTTTTGTTTATTTATTTTTTGAGACAGAGTCTTGCTCTGTCACCCGGGCTGGAGTGCAGTGGGTTGATCATAGCCCACTGCAGCCTCAACGTTCCAGCCTCAAGCAATCCTCTCTCCTAGGCCTCCCAAGTAGCTGGGACTACAGGCATGTGTCTTGGGAGGCAATTTTTTTTTTTTTTTTAAGAGACGAGGGTCTCACCATGTTGCCCAGGCTGGTCTCGAACTCCTGGCCTCAGGCAATCCTCCTGCCTTGATATCCCAAAGTTCTGGGATTACAGGCATGAGCCAGCATGCCTAGTCTCTTTTCAAAAAAAAAATTTTTTTTTTTGAGTCACAGTTTCACTCTTTTTGCCCAGGCTGGAGTACAATGGTGCCGTCTTGACTCACTGAAACCTCCGCCTTCCAGGTTCAAGCAATTCTCCTGCTTCAGCCTCCTGAGTAGCTGGGATTATGGCGCCTGCCACCACATCCGGCTTATTTTGCACTTATTTTTATTTTTAGTAGAGATGTGGTTTTACGACGTTGGCCAGGCAGATCTTGAACTCCTGACCTCAGGTGATCTGCTCGCCTCGGCCTCCCAAAGTGCTGGGATTACAGGCGTGAGTCACCGTGCCTAGCCTCAAAATTTTTTAATGTAACTTTTCAAATAAACTCACACATGTGATCAGTGATCACCACACATGCTTTATCGATAATTGCCACACTTGTTTCATGCATTGCTGTTGTCTTTCTCTTTCCTTTTCCCCTTTGGCTGAAGCATCTTCCATCCTGTAGCAAATGTTCTGAAATTTTGTTCCTATGAACTTCAGGTTGCAAGGCGCCAAGTATGGGAAACTCTGGAACACACTTGCGGCTCCCTTAGGGCAATGTTCAAATTAACAGTCATTCCTTGGCACCTGCTCAGGCCCCATCCGGAATCACATTCCCCTGATTGTTTGCTTACATCCATCAGATGGAACACATAGGTTCCTAACAAGGCCCACAGTTTCAGTTTTGTGGTGGCGCCTCTTGAACCTCTCTTACTCTAGATCAGGCGCCGCCCCTGACCCCCACTGCTCCTCCCACCACTTGTGATTTGTTGCAGAAACCAGATCAGCTGTCCTGCAAATGTGTCGCCTATCACGCAGCTGTTTGCCTCTCTGTGGTGTCGCCTCGCCCCATGTCTCCTGCAAATGGAAGCTGTGCTGCAGAAATGCCCTTAGATTCAGGCTCATCTTTCTTTGCCAGAAGCCTTCGTGGGCAGAGCTGTGAGAGCCACATGGAAGCACCTGTGATGCTAAGTGTGCCCCGTGGGTCCAGGTGGCCAGAGCCCGAACCCACCCTGTGATGCAAAGTGTGCCCAGTGGGTCCAGGTGGCCATAGCCCTGACCTACCCTGTAATGCTAAGTGTGCCCCGTGGGTCCAAGTGGCCACAGCCCGAACCCACCCTGTGATGCTAAGTGTGGCCAGTAGGTCCAGGTGGTCATAGCCTGAACCCACCCTGTGATGCCCTTGTTTTGTCATTACTGATCTCATCCATGACCCTTGCGAGAAATAATTATGTCATGAGAGGTGGCAAAATTGTGGTTTCTCTCATGATCTCATCTCTTCACAATGAGTAGCTGAAATTCTTCTATCAAAAACAACAACAACAAAAATGGCTGGGCACAGTGGCTCACACTTGTAATCCCAGAGCTTTTGTGGGCCAAGGTGAGAGAGGCCAGGAGCTTGAATCCAGCCTGGGCAACAAGACCCCATCTCTACAAAAACATAAAACATTAGCCAGGTATGGTGGTGCGTGCCTGTAGTCTTAGCTACTCAGGGGCTAAGGCAGAAGGATCCTTTGAGCCCAAGAAGTTAAGGCTGCAGCGGGCTGTGATTACACCACTGCACTTCAGCCTGGGTGATGCAGCGAGACCCTGTCTCTTAAATAAAACAAACAGGCTGGGTGTGGTGGCTTACACCTGTAATCCCACCACTTTGAGAGGCCGAGGTGGGTGGATCACCTGAGGTCAGGAGTTTGAGACCAGCCTGGCCAACATGGTGAAACCCCATCTCTACTAAAAATACAAAAAATTAGCAGGGCCTGGTTGTGGGCGCCTGTAATCTCAGCTACTCAGGAGTCTGAGGCAGGAGAATCACTTGAACCCACGAGGCAGAGGCTGCAGTGAGCCGAGGTTGTGCCATTGCACTCCAGCCTGGGCAACAGAGCAAGACTCCGTCTCAAAAAAAAAGAAACCAACCAAACAAAACCCAAAAAAACTTGCTGTTGTCCACTAGAGTTATTGAGTTACCCTGAAATATAGTTTAAAAGGGAAATTCTTAATTCTTTTCTTTTAATTGACAATGTTCCGAATAGAGAGTTGGAGCCTTGTTTTTCCAGTGGACTACCGATGGGTTTTGGTTTGGTTTCTCTCTTTAAATCTATTTATAGCTTTTGTGTATTCATTGTGTATTCAGCAATTACACACAATGAATACACAAAAAATTACACAACCAATACACAAAAGGTATAGGCAGATTTAAAAAGCAAGATACCAAGGCTTGATTTTAGGCTCGATTTGTCCCCTCTTTAGCCAGGGATTTCTAATTTTTTTCACCTCAAAAGTGGTAGGCCAGGGTGCTGTCCCATCAGTGGTGGGAGGAAAGGTTGGTTGCCCCGGACAGTGGGTGAATGCCGGGGTGCCAGTGTCAGGGAGGGGAGGGGCTGGTGGGTGAATGCCAGAATGCCAGTGTCAGGGATGGAGGGGCTGGTGGGTGAATGCCAGGGTGCCAGTGTCAGGGACAGAGGGGCTGCTGGGTGAATGCCTTGGTGCCAGTGTCAGGGACGGAGGGGCTTGTTGAAGAGAAACTCTTTCTTCAGGGCCATTGATTTCCCTGCCTTGTTTGAAGTGCCTGGATTGGGCTCTCTGAAAACCAACACCATCTTATTAGAAGACAAGGGCTTCTTCTCTTTTCTTTCTTTCTTTCTTTTTTTTTTGAGACAGAGTTTCACTCTTGTTGCCCAGGCTGGAGTGCAATGGCGTGATCTCGGCTCACTGCAACTTCTGCCTCCCCGGTTCAAGCGGTTCTCCTGCCTCAGCCTCCTAAGTACCTGGGATTACAGGCGCCCGCCACCACACCTGGCTAACTTTTGTATTTTTTAGTAGAGACGGGGTTTCTCCATGTTGGTCAGGCTGGTCTGGAACTCCCGACCTCAGGTAATCCGCCTGCCTCAGCCTCCCAAAGTGTCAGGATTACAGGCGTGAGCTACTGTGCCCGGCCTTTTCTTCTCTTTCTTTAGAGACAGGGTCTCTCTCTGTCACCCTAACTGGAGTGCGGTGGCATGATCACGACTCACTGCAGCCTCGACCTCCTGGGTTCAAGCGATCCTCCCATCTCAGCGTCCTGAATATCTGGGACGACCGCACCTCACTAATATGTGTGTGTGTGTGTGTGTGTGTGTGTGTGTGTGTGTGTGTGTGTGTGTGTGTTTTGCAGAGATGAGGTCTCCCCATGTTGCACAGGCCTGGCAGGTGTTTCTGATAGTCACAAAGCCCCTGCTACTGGGGAAAGGGAAAGGAAGCCCCAGCTAAGACCCAATTAAGAAAATCCCAGAACCAAGAACGAATCGACTGTTCGGCTTTGGTAATCTCCAATGTGTCCACCAGGTGGTGCTGTCCAGCCACAAATCTCCCAGGTTTGATCTCGGGCTTCTGCCGAGGGCACCTCCAGGGCTGGGGTCTCATCGTGTTGTCCCCACTTTATTCCAACGTCCACCCCAGGCCTGGGGGAGCCCAGGGAGGACCGAGTTTCCTGGGCCCCGCAGGGTGCACAGAGGTGAGTTTGGTAGTGCGGTCCCGACCTCGACAAGCATCCCAGCGAAGCAGGCTGAGCGCCCGGCTGGCTCCCTCAGGACCCCTCCTCCGGGCCTTCGCCCTGTTGATTTGGGTGTTTTAATGCAAGAAAGTAGGACACTGGTTGTCACCTGCCTGCTCCTACAAGGAAAATGCATGTTTGTGTGGTTATCCGTGGCCACCCCCACCAGGGCCTGCGGGGGGTCCAGTGCAGTGGAGGTGGGGAGGCGACTCATGGGCTCCAGGATCCGTGGAGAGTGAGTGTCAGCGGGAGGGTGTCCCCTGACCTCGGTCAATGGAAGCTGCTCTTCCTGGGGGTCCCACGGGAGGCCCGTGATGGGGGTGGGGGAGGAGGGGTAAACGCCAGGCCCTGATTGGCCGCCTGTCCTTGGGTCTTGGCTGGTCCTAAGAGGGAACGGGGAGCACAGCTGGGGTCACAGCCTCAGCCGGGACTCCTGCCCTCCAGCCCCTCAGCATCCTCCCTGCGTGTGCTCTCCTGGGGGCTGCTCAGGGCAGGTGGCGAGTAGGGGAGCTGTGGGACCAGAGAGAGGGGGTGGACGTGCCCAGGGCCTGCCCTCTTGGCCTGCCGTGGAGACCCACCCAGGCATACCTGGGGGCTGACCCTCCCCTGCAGAGAGCAGGGTGAACCCCAGCCCTGCCCTCGCCTAAGAGCCAGGTTCGAGGGGAGTGTAATTTATAATGAACCCCACTCCTCCCCCCAACACCCACCACAGGGAGGAGCCAGCCTCTCTCCTGGCACCAAAGTCACGCTCCTGACCCTGCAGGCCACAGGATGAGGAGGACCCAGAGAGGCAGCGGGGTTGGGGCATTTCATAAGCCGGCGAGAGCTGCCCGTGTGCATCCTCAGGCCTCACAGTGGAGTGAGGGGCGGGGGCCGCCTGCGTCCTCCACAGGAGCTCCTGTCATTCCACCTCTGGGGGTGCACTTGCCGACTTGCCCCAGACCTGGACTCAGGCTGCGCTGCTGTCTGCCCAGGGCCTGGCGATTGCTGCGCCCATGGTGGGTCCCACAGGCAGGCCCTGCCCTCCCATCGCTGGCTTCTGAGCAGGGGCTTTGGGGCTGCTGGACCTTGGAGGCAGATCGGGGGCTTCTGGTGTCCCTATGTCTTGGGGGCCTGGTGTCCTGAGGGCCAGCGCCCCCCGGCCTGCACTGGGACCCTCCATGGAAGCAACTCCTCTTTCATCTCAGGCACTGGGTGTCCCAGGGCCAGGGAAGGGGCTGCGCAGCACCTCAGGAGCCCAGAAGAGCTGCCAGCCAAGGAGGAGGAGCTGGGGGGAGCAGAGGCCTGGACCAGCTGGGATGTTCCCATCCGCGTGTCCCTCCCGCCCAGGCCACATGGGCAGGGGAGGAAGAGGGGAGGAGGAGGGGAGGGGCCCTTGTCCTCCCAGAGCCTCTCCCTTCCTCTCCCTTCCTCTCCTCCCTCTCCCTCTGCTCATCTCATCATGAGACAGCTGGCGAGGCCCTTCGGCTGCCCTGGAGTGCCCCTGCCCTGGCCAAGCTCTTGCTGCCCCCTTCTCCTGGAGGTGCCAGATGGGGCGGGCCCAAAGCAGCAGAGGTCTGGGCCCTGGCTCCAGCTCTGTCCCCTCCCGAGGGCCCTGGAGGAGCTAGGAGGAGGGCCTAGCAGGGCCGGGCAGATCGTGGGCCGGGAGAAGGGGTTGCCTGGGGAGACGGACCGACTAGCAGGACAGATGGTGGGCCAGGCAGGGGTCCGGAGCCCGCCCCATCTGCTCCAGTCCCTGGTGGGACTTTTCTTGTCCACCTCGGGCTGAACTGGGATGGGCTGCGTGGGTGGCTGTGGCCCAGGCCGGATTCTGTCACACTGGGTCCTCTGTCCCTGGGGCACGGCCAGCCGGGTGCTCATCTGGGGTCTTGAAGCCCCCTCCTGGCAGCTGGCACGTGGCTGGAGGTCATCATGTTTCGGGGGCTCCTGAGGGTCTGCGGGCCATGCCTGAGCAGAGCCTGGGGCGCGTCCCGGGAACGAAGCCGCCGCTGCAGATGAGGGGCTTTGTAGGTGGGTGGGCGACTGAAGCCCCCTGGAGGGGCTTCCTGGGGTCCAACGCCGAGAGGGTCCGGGACAAGAAGATGCTCAGTCACGTGTTTGTGCTGCAGGTGCACCCCCAGCCCAGGCGACATCAACGGCCAGCCCCATACGCGTGAGGATTGCGGCACCAGGGGCGCTCAGGATTGGGCCGGGCTGCTTCTCAGAAGAGGGGACATTGAGCCCAAGCAGGCTGCACTCCTGCTTGGACGGAAGGTGCATGGGTGGGGAGGGTAATCACACCAATAGAGACATGGATGGACTTGTGCAGAACATAAATACTCTCTTTGCTTATGTCTATGTTACTCAAAGGAACCATGGAAATAACAAATTCCCAATTACAATGCAGTAAACTTTAAGAGGAGCAGAGTGAGCTTCGCTCTTTTATGGTTGGTGTATTTCCAAAAAACACTTTCTTCTTCTTTCCCAATTCTTTTTCTAGTTTCTCCTAAATTGGTGTTTCTTTAGATGGAAGCCGTGTCTCAGACCATAAAACACTAAACCTATTTGAAGCACTTACGTTAATTATTCTATTCATAAAATCTAGGTTGATCCATCTCATAGCAAAATCCGTTAGTATAATTTTACCTTCTTCTTTTTAAAAAGCCAACAAACTATAAGTGGTGCTTCTATGTAGAAATATATAAGTAGAACTGAGTTTTTACTTATAGAACTTATATCAAATGATGATAAGCAAAGTATTTTTATTCTATAACCTGGATTTAAAAATATATAATCTCTGCAATATATATTAAAGAAACTATAATTAATTTTAAGAAGTCAAATGGGGAAAAAAACAAAACAAAATGTTCCATCCTTAGACAGATGACCTATAATTTATTTTATTTGATTCAAGCTATATCTTTAAATAGTAGTATCAGGATCACAAGTCATTTTGAAATGTCATAAAAATGTTCCAAGTTTGTGTTTTAAAGGACCTTAGAGGGACTATTTGTGGTTTTGTACTTTCTTTGTTCAGTGATCCACTTGCAGGTTATTCTGAACCTCCTTGGGAAAAGATGAAAGTAGGATGGCATTTTGGAAATGATTCTTCATTCTGAAACCTCCTTGAGTGATAGACTAGATGAAGTATAGTTATATATTTGGCAGTAGAAAGCAATCTCTCCTGTCAAATTTCCCATTCATTTTTATTTCTGGATTTATTCTTTCTACTTTTGCTCAAATACCAACACATAAAGAGTGTCCACAGATATAGGCTCTAATAATGCACTGTGGGAATTTAACACATTTTAAAAGACTGAAGGATAGTAAGAAGAGAGTTTTTAACAGATTCCTTATGGAGGGAAAAGAATATTGCTAGATGAAACAAAAATGGAAAAAAATCTTTTATTGATAGATATAGCTTATATTTTCTTCCTTTACTCCTAATTGAATTGTGAATGTTTTATTATCAAAATTCACAAAATTTTGATAGAATGTGCCAAATATTTCCTGAGTTACAATTTCTCATTTAGAAACATTTGCTTTAAATTCTCATACATATCCAAAACTGTTCTGTTCATTTTCCTGTTGACTACTTTTTCTACCTTGACTTGAGATACTCCAGAAGAGATATCCTTGTTGTTAACAAGAAAATAAGCTAATATAAAAGGGATAAATTAAAGTTAGATTATAGGCCATATACTAAGAACTAAAAAATTGAGTTTGGTGGAAACATAAAGATTATGTAGTTAAATGCTCACAATTTTCCCTTATATCACTAAATAAACAAAATAAAAATATTACAAAGGGTTAAAAAAACAGAAAAGATGCCTGCAACATTTTTAGTCAGATACATATTCGCATAGATATTTCCATATATTCATAGAAATATTTAGCACCATTTCTTTGAAAATAAGAAAGTATAAAGGAAGAAATTGATTTTGACATTATCCTAGAGAGTTTAAATGGATCCTAACCAAATACAGACACAAGTCAAACAACACTGACCATCCAAGCATTTTACACTGATCAAGATAATGCAAAAAGGTTGAACTTATGACAAATACAGAAATAAGAAATTTGTGTTATTTTTTAAAGAAATAAACTGTCTGTGATTAACCTTTTTCCCATTTATGAAACTTAAATGACATATCATTTGTTTGTAAACTGCAGGCAGGGTGTTTAATTATATAAAAATGAAACACATTCTGTCTTTATGGAGTTTATGGAAAAAAGGTAATACAGATTAATTTAGGGTAAAGTTTTAAAAATTAATCATTAATATTGGAGAAACAAGGATCAAAAACATCTAAGTAAGCTGTAGCTCAAATAAGAAGGCATAGACCCATTTCTTCCTGCTCCCTCTCACTAGGCACAACCTTAAGCACTGCAAATGGTACAAAAAGCAAATAAAGGAGAACTCTGCAGGTGGTAAAAATAGAAGAGCTGGTGTGGGGACCCAGGATTTGAGCAACAACACAACATCAAGATGCCTTGTGTCCTCCCACCTGAGAGGAAGGCCATCCATATCCAGTACTTCTTTCCCCCATGACATAGTAGCAGAAGGCAGCCCAGATAGGCCCATTGTTTCTCCAGATCAAACAGTAGCCCCCAGCATAGCACCAGCTGAACTTAAGACATGAGAGTGCATCTCCTCACCCACCTGTCCTGAGACTTCTTTTTTCTACCAAGAGATACTTAGGCTACAAGACAAAGAGCCTGCAGGAGAGACTGAACAATACCAGGCAACTTAGTAGGTCATGGAAGCCTCTTTGTCCTCATAGGACTGAGATTCTCCATTCTTGATCAGATGTATTAGACCATTTCATGCTGCTATAATAGAATACCACTGACTGTAATGTATAATGAACAGAAATTTATTTGCAGCAGGAGCCAATCCTTCTCATCAAATTTCACATTCATTTTTATTTCTAGATTTATTCTTTCAACTTTTGCTTAAATGTCCACATTTAAAGAGTGTCCACAGATACAATATAGGCTCTAGTGATGCATTGTGGAAATTTAATACGTAGTGAAACACTCAAGGATAGTACAAAGAAAGCTCTCTTATTTTTACTACCTTCAGGGTTCTCCTCTATATTTGTCTTTTCACTACTTCTAATGCTTAAGGTTGTGTCTCGTGAGAGACAGCAAGAAGAAATGGGTCTATGCCTTCTTGTCCGAACCACGTTTCATTTAGATGTTTTTGATCCTTGTGTCTTTTATACTAATGATGATAAAAGAATCAATCAACTAGACATAAAAATTCTAAATATGTACCGACCACGAGAGCGTATTCGCAAAATAACATGAAACAAAAACTGATAAAGAGTTGAAAGCAGAGATTCACTACTGTAATTGCAGACTCCAACACTGATAATAATGATAGAATTATTAGAAAATCAGCAATGACCTGCAATATCTAGAATATATGCACATTCAGCTAAGAAGATCTAACTGCCACATAAAAACACTCCGCTCAATTACAGCAGAACACACAATTTTTTTCAGACCTTCATGGAATACTCATCAAGATAGATCATAGACATAAGTAGACATTAATCAAGCCTCAACAAACTTAAAAAAATAGTTTAAATTGTGTTATGTATTTTTTGTGATACCAAACTAGAAATAAATAACAAAACAAGAGGAATCTGAGAACATGTGGGAAATAACGTATTTTTAAATGATCCATGGGTCAAAAAGGAAGTCTCAAATAATTTAAAAACAAATACATAGATGTGAATGATTTAAAAGATACAAAATATTATGTCAGATAGAACTAAAGAAGCGATTAGAGAAAAACTGATAGCAGTGCAGGCTTACATTAAAAATGAGAGGTCTCAAGTTGATAATCTACATTTCTATTAACAAAAGTAGAAACAGAAGAGCAAAATAAGCTCAAAACAAAAAGAAAAAATAATAAAAAATCAAAGCAGAAATCAATAAAATTGAGAACAGAAAAGCAATAAAGAAAATTAATATAACCAAATATCTTTCAAATATGTTTATCAATAAAATTAATAAAACTCCAAAAATACTAAACAAAAGTAACAAAAAGACAGCTATTGCTCATGTCAAAATTAAAGTAAGAAATAACGCTCTTGATTCTGTAGCTTTTAAAAAGATAAAGAGAATAATACGAACAACTTCATGCTTATAGTTTCATCAACTTAAACGGACTAATTTTTTGAAAACACAAACTATCAAAAATTACCAAGATAAAATTAACAATCTAAAATAGCTCTATTTCAATCAAATCAATTATTAATTAAAAGGTCCTGAAAAATAAAATTCCTGGCTGAAATAGTTTCACCGGAGAATAGTAATAAACATTTAAGAAGTAATTATTACTAAATTTATACAAGCTTTACCAGAAAATAGAAATGAATTGAAAATTTCCTAACTATTCTTATGAAGTATTACACCAATACCCAAGCCAGTGTACAAAAAAGAAAATAATTGATTAGTATTCCTCGCAAATATAGATATAAAAATCATTAACAAAATATTATGAAATAAAACTCAATAATATATAAAAATAACTACACACATGACCAAGTGTGTTTATTCCAGCAATACAAGGATGGTTCAACATTACAAAATCAGTCATTGCAATGAACAATATCAACAGGCTAAAGAAGAAAAATCAGATGATCATATCAATTGATGCATAAAATTAATTCAGCAAAAAATAAATATATATAATAAAAAACTCTTAGAAAATTAGGAATAGAGGAAGACCTTCTCCAAATTTTAAAGAACAGGTAAAAACCCTACAGCTAAGATTATACTTGATGATGAAAAACATCCTAAAATCCTTCCTAAAATCAGGAATAAGGTGCTATAGTTTGGATATATGTCCCTGCCAAATCTCATGTTGAAATGTAATCCCCAGTGTTGGAGGTGGGGCCTGGTGAGAGGTATCGGGGTCATGGGAGCAGATCCCTGATGTCTTGGTGCTGTCCTCAGGTTAGTAGGTGAGTTCTCATGAGATCTGGTTGTTTTAAAGTTTGTGGCACCTCCTTCCACTCTCTCTTTGGCCACATGACCATGGCCATGTGATTCTGCTTTGGCCATGTGACATACCTCCTCCCGCTTCTCAGGGAGTAAAATCTCCCTGAGAGACCCCCAAAGCTGAGCAGTTGCCAGTGCCGTGTTTCCTGTACAGCCTGAAGAACCGTGAGCCAATTAAACCTCTTTTCTTTATAAATTACTCATTCTCGAGTATTTCTTTGTAGCAACATAAGAACAGCTTAGCACACAAGGTAAAGATGACTACTCTTACTTCTCTTCTCAACATAGTTCTGGAAGTCCTCAACTAGCACAATAATGAAAAGAAAGGAAACAAAAGGTATACAGACAAGAAAGGAAAAAGTAAAATTTTTTTCTATTTGCTGATAACATGATTGTCTGTGTTGAAAATCCTAAAGGATCTATCAAAAAACAGAGCTAATATAAATGATGCCAACAAGGTCACAAGATACAAGATAAGCATAACACAATCAATTTTTCATTCTAGATACCAGAATGTGCCCATGAACACTGAAATTAAAAACACAATGCCATTCACAACACTCAAAAATGAATTATTTAACTATAAATCTAACAAAACTGTGCAAGACTTTTATGCTGAAAAATATACAACAATGATGAAATAAATTAAAAATCCTAAATAAGTGGAAAGACATTGTGTTCATGGATTGGAAGAAACAGTATAGTAATGATGCTAATTTTTTCTAAATCAATGCACAGGTTCAATGTAATTCTTATCCAAAATAGCCCACTTTTGTATAAATATAGAATTATCACTGTAAAATTTACATGCAATGCCCAGGGAACTAAACTAGCTAAAACAATTTCAAAAAGGAAAAATAAAAAGGAATGAATTATTGTATCTGATTTCAAGACTTATTATCTACATACATTAATTAATATTATGTGGTACTGACACATAAGCCAATGGAACAAGGTAGAGGGCCTGGAAACAGACCCATAAAATATACCTAACACACTTTTGAGCAAGATGCAAGAACTAAACTGAAAAATGTTCTTTTCAGGAAATGGTCCTGCGGCAATTGTATATGCATAGACCAAAAGGAAAAAAAAAACAAAAGAAAAATAATCTCAGCCTACATTTCATATAACATACAAAAATTAAGTCAAAATAAATTATATCCTTAAATGTAAATATATAGCTAAAAAACATGTTTAAACTAAAAGAAAACAAATCTTCAGGATCTACAGGAAAGCTACAATTTCTCAGACTTGACATCAAAAGCACAATACATAAAATAAAAAAATTATAAACTATAAACTTTCTCTTAGTGAAAACCGGTGTGCAAAGGATAAACAGACCAAGGTACGTATTTGGAGAAAACATTTAAAATTATATATCTGAGGAAGGACTAGTATTTAGAACATAAAAAAGACCTCTCTAACCTCAACAAAACAAAACTATACAGATTGCAAAAGGTCTTGTAAAAATGAACTCGAAAAACCAATTAGAATATGGGCAAAAGACATAAAGAGACATTTCAGTGAATAGGATATGCAGATGGAAAACAAGCATCATATCAACATCATTCATCACCAGAAAATTGCAAATTAAAACCACAGTGATATATTATTACCTAATACTACAAATCTATTACAATGGCAAAAATTAACAAAAAAGTGACAGCAGCAAATATTGCCATTTCTGTAGAAAAACTAAATCACTCATATATTTCCTGTGAAAATGTAAAATGATACAGCCGCTATAGAAAACAGCTTGGAGCTTGGTAATAAAAAAGGTATACAACTATTATTCAACCTAGCAAATTGTACTCTTGTGAATTTCTCCAAGAGTGGGGAGAAAGCTCTGTTCACAAAAGCCTATTCAACAAATATTTATAGCAGATGTATTCATAATAGCCAAAACCTTTGCTCAATCAAGATGTACTTCAGTAGGTGAATGGTCAAACAAATGGCAGTACATATGCACCATGGAATACTACTTAACAATTAAAAGGAATAGATCATTTATGTACATATCAACTTAGGCAAGTCTCCAGAGAATCACACAAAGTAAAAAAATACTAACCCCAAAGTTTATATTCTGTATTGTTCTATTCATGATGAAATTTTAGAAATAGAGGATAAGTTTAGTGGCAACATTTAAAATGAGTGGGAGAAATGGTGGGAGGTGTGTATGGTTATCAAAGAATAGAAAGGATCCTGACGTTGTTAGTGTTTAGCATTTTTACTCCTATTTGTGGATAAACACACCTACTCATCTTAAAATTGTATCAGATTTAATACACACATATATGTGTGTAAGTAAAACTGGGTAAGTCTGAATTAGATCAATGGATTTTATTGATATTAATATCCTGGTTATGCTATTATGCTATGGTTACGCAAAATGTCACCATTAGGGGAAACTGGATGAAGTATACAAGGGATCTCTCTGTATCGTTCCTTCTATCACGTGTGAATCTACAATAATCTCAATTAACAAATATGCTGCTCATAAGTGAGAGAGGTTCATATGCCAAATATTTCCAGAAAAAAAAGTACTAAATTCATGATACTATAAGGTTTAAACAACGAAATAATTTATAATTACATAGGAAAGAGGATTTTTTAAATTTAAAACTCATCAGGATCTGGCATTTTCACAAGGAAAAAGGAGTAAAATTAGCTGTACTAAGTATGAAGTCAGATGTGAACTATGATTATGACACAAACATCATGTTTTATTTTCAAGGTCAATCCTGGGTGAGTATTTGTCTGTGGCCTAGTATCAGAGACCCACGCATCAGGTACAGGTAGATGGATTAAGTAGAGGATTGAACAGAATAAACTAAAATAAAAAGATATGAAATAAATACATGCCTCAGGCAGTGAGAAATCTCAAATATTCTGGAGTAACACAATGTTTCTTATGGTGATGATATAAAAATATATCACTAAGATTATAATATACTGAGACGCTGCATCACCATTATCCCAGAGCTACAGTATGAGTGGCTGATGAAGAGTAATGAAATTTTAATTAGCATTTTGGTAGCAGAAGATCAGTTCAATAGTCATTTTCATTTAATTGATAGCCTTTTGGAAGCTGGGATGCTTGTTTCATGCATGGACCGTCGCTTACCACCTGCAGGGTTTATTTGTATGGCTAGCTATTAAATCTCACCTAAAACCATCATGAAGCTAAATGCATATCACTTCTGTTTTAAAGTGCATTTCAAGGAAAAAATTCAAACATTTAAAGGGTCATGCTCTGTAATGGAAAAGAAGAAAACAATAGCTTTTTCTATTCAATATGAACCTTCATGGAGAAAATTTAGAAACTATTCTAATTTTATGCTGGTTTAATGTTTAAATAAGCACATAAGTACATTTCTTAGAGTCCAATACTAGTACTTGAGGTAGAAATGATATTTTTAAAAAAATATTCTACGGATATGCTTTCAGGCATACAGTGGATATTGTTAACTGCCAATCCAGTATCATTCTTGTTTTTCTCCTTCCAAACAGAATCCCTTTCTCTTTTCAAACAGAAAGGTCTTTGAATATTCACCATTTTCACAAGTCTGTGCATCTTATTCAGCAGCTACTGAGTCTAATCTCGGCTCCAGAGAATAGTTGGAGAAAATTAGAATGATTATATCTTCCCTTTCTGTATTTGAATCAAGAATGGCATGTCATCTAACCCAGAACAATAAAACAATATAAATAGTTGATTACAGCTTCTGTGGAAATCCTCTCTGGTATTTTCAAGGGGGAGGGTCTCAGTTTCTACACAGAATCTGCAAAAGGGCCATCCTACCTTCTAAATCTCTTCAGCAGTTTCTTAATCTAGTGAAGACATTTCATGTAGGTACATGTACTCAGTCCTGTAAAATGCCATTTATATATCAAACAATACTTGGATTGATAATCAACCATTCAATTTAAATATATGAAGATCACTGAGGACCTTGATAACATTAATTTCCTTGAGGTATTGGAAACAAAAGCTTTATGTAAAGCATTCAAAAAGATTCAGAGTGTTGGTGGCAGGGAGTGGGGGTAGAGAGATCATTAGAAAAAATAGGTAATGCATGCTGGGCTTAATACATAGGCCATGGGTTGATAGGTCCAGCAAACCACTATGGCACATGTTTACCTATGTAACAAATCTGCACATCCTGCACACGTACCCCAGAACTTAAAATAAAAATAAAACAGAAATAATTGGAGACAACCAATATCCATCAACAGATGAATGGATACACTAAATGTGTTAAATAGACATAAAGTAATATGATTCAATCCCAAAAAAGTTCTGATATATGCTACAATATGGCTCAACCTTGGATAAATTATACTAACTAAAAGAAATGAGACACATAAGAATAAATGATGTAACATTCCATTTACTTGAAATATTTACAATAAGAAAATTCAGAGAGAAGTTCCCAGGGGCTGGGGGAGAGGGAAACAGAAGTTATTACTTAATGGGTGCAGAGTTTCTGTTGGAAGTGATAAAAAAGTTTTAGAATAGATAGTGATGATGGTTGCACAGCAATATGAATATAAAATGCCACTGAGCTGAATATTTTAAAATGATTAAAATGACAAATTTTATGTTTTATATATATATATTTCACCATGATAAAACCATTTAGACTATTAATGTAGATAATTCTCTGAAATAATTTTCTTTAAAATGAATAAAAATATTTAGTGCTAGTTGAATAAGTTCAACAAAAGACTTGAAACTATAAAAGTAAAAAGATATTTAATTCCTATAAAGACACTTAAAGACAGCGATAAATCATGAATAATGGCATTTTGAAAATGTGACAGAAGAGAAAATTCAAAGAAAAACTGAAAGAAAAGTGGAAAAAAAAGTCCCAAGAATAGGTTTTCCCTTGAAAAAAAATATCAGAAAGAGCTATTATTTTTTAGACCGGACAAAGTTGGCTCTTTGGAAGTAATGAAGAGGTGGGTCTGACTGTATTACATACATATCAATGTGAAGAACAAGAGGTGTGTGTGGCATGTTAAATCATCCTGTGGACTCTATTGATAAGTGTTTTTATGTGGAGTGAATATATTATGAGGCTTGAAGTTACTAGACTAAAAATGCTATGAAAGGTTATTCTAATTAAAACCCTTCTAGAAGTGTGAAAGAAGTCACTGGTGAAGCACTTGCTCAAATGATCAATTTAATTCAGATTAATGAAATCTACAAAGCCACAAATAAAACAGAAGATATAAAATATTAGAAGATACCACACTTACATGCTAGATAACCAAAAACAAACTTCTTAGACATAAAATGCCAATAAATATATTCATTTACTCTTAACAAATTAAAACATTTTTTAAAAATATTTTTAAAAATTAATCAATTTTAATTTATTTTATTTTTAATAAGAGAAACATTTATGCTTTTTTGGGTAGAATCAACAATTGTTTAACAGATTCTTTTTTTCCTGCCATCTCATGTTGCTCTGACTCAAATTAGGGCTGAAGATATTTGAATATTTGATTGCACCACAATATAAAAAGGGCTAATATAGATATAAACCCAGAAGAGAAAAACAAATCAGAAAATGAGGCTCTCTGGGGTGGGTTATATTTGTTTCACGTCTCAAAGTATGAATACACAACAACTTAAATTTAGCAAACATTAAAGAAGAATCTATGTAGTTAGTCTTAATCCCTAGGAGTAACAAAAATTACAAATACATCATTTATGAGTGGTAAGTGCCATTTGATACTTGTGGAATAATTAACATTACAGTACAAAAAACAGATCAAATCTACATAATATTATTCCTCACACCTTCTCCTTTTAAATTATAAAATCACACTTGCTTATGTGACAAGATTTTGAGAGACTTAAATGAGATAATGTATGTAAGTGAAACTGTTATTCACTCTTAATGGCCGCACTGGATCTTGCATTGGTTATTCATTAAAGAACCACTCAGTAAGCACCTACGTACAAGGCCCTGTTTTAAGAACTGATGACACAGTGCATAAAAGCACTTTATGCATAAAAGTACTTCTCTGCATAGTACCTTTTTATGCCCAAAAGCACTTCTCTGCATAGTTTATATCTTTCCTTCTGTCTTCGTTTAGTCCCAATGTTTCATCATGAGATTGCAATAAAAATTCTCAATTTCCCCCTTTATTATTTGTGAAAATTATGGACATATTTGTAGCCATGATCACCTATCACTTTTCTACTAACAACAGAGCTAGACTATGAAATGGCTTCAACTGTATATGTATTAGCAATTATATGTAACTATAAATTACATATAAAATAATTGTATATGTACATTTTATGCTATGCATTAATCACTTTTTCCTTTCTCAAAAATTTTATACATAGCTTATGACTGTAATTTATAATAAAATATATACACAGTACCCTAAACTCACATTATCTTTGCAGCAGGGGAAATCAAAGAGAACAAAATCAAGATTCTTCTCTTTCCCAGAATTTTATATATATATACACACATATATATTCCTGTATAAAACAAACAATATCTGATAAACCATGATAGATAAAATCCCAGGTTATTTTTTGATTGACTCTTTCTAAATGTTGAATTGAGTTCTCATAAGAAGGCATTAATATAAATTTTTATTATTACTACAACTTATACATTACCACTACAACATTGAACAAATATTACTAGCATCAATATCACTTAATATTTTTAATGTTTATTTGACCAGTTAACTTTGTTTACATGAATTGAAGTACTCATCATTCAACATTTAGCAGATTTTTTAATGAAAAATAAAGACAATAAATAACATATTCAATACAACTTTCATTTATCACCATTATCGAAGACCTACTGTGGACTTCACACTGGGTTTAACATATTTTATTTATTCCTTGATAAATTAATTACATTTTAGCTAATATTGTTAATGAAAATGTTGAACAGTTTCGCAGTGCTTTAAAATAATCTACGTAGCATATTACATTTACAATGACATGAAAACTTCTAGAAACTTTTAACCAATAGTTCTATTTGTCATCTCAACTTTTTGAGTAGGACAGTAAAATTCAAAGGGATACAATGATTTGCGTAATTCCACACAGCTAGTGTATGGTGATGAAGATTTGAATCTAGCTGCTCTCAATTGTAACACTGCTCTCCTCTCATTATACCTTACTGACATTTACTAAGAGCACTGAATCTTTCTGTACAAAGCCTTCCACTATTCTTATGCCTCCCCTATTTACCTAATTAATGTTTATAAAATATAGACAGTTTTAAGTGTATTTTTAGTTATTTTTATTTTTTTAAGTATAAGAAACTAGCCAAGTTAAAAAAAAAGCATTACGATTGAAGTGTTTACAACCTTTGGTAATCTGAATATTTTCCACATCCATTCCAAAGATTATGTAGGTGAAAGGTATTTTAATGTTAATTTTCAACTGGTAATATGGGGTAGTCATGTAGCTATCATCACTGAAAGAGGCATATTTTTTTTTAAATAGAGACTTTCTAAAAGAATTCTATTTTCATCAATATAAATTGAAGTGATTGCCATTTTCAACTATAAATCATTTACACTGTGTTTTAGGAAGCAGTACTTGTTCCTGTCATGATTCCAGTCCTTGACATTGCCGCTGATCATTAAACCCTGTATCTCCTTGTATTCATATAATTCAGACAGCTACCTTGGCAATGCAGGATGTCACATTTTCACAGTATTCATGAACATGGAATGGGAGCCTCCAATTTCTGTAATCAAGATATTTGAGAGTTGATGTGCCCAAGGTCCTCTCTTTAATCAGCTGTGGTACTTCCCGCCCTGAACTCAAATTATCCCTGCAACAGGAGTAATCAAGGCAGAATAAAATCCAGGTTATTCTCTTTGGCCCAGTTTATCTCTCTACAGCCACGGGGAAGGCTGATGCATCAATCAAGTCTCCAAATAAAAAGGTAATTATTTCTTGATTTCTCTGGAGCAGATGCAATGAGAGCAAGGTTGCTTCTACTGGGAGTCCCTACTGTGTTGCCAAACAGCAGCAGTTATCTTAGAAGACAGAAGCAATTACTTGCAAGATGTTCTTGTCTTTTTAGGTAAGGCTGAGTGCTAGTCATTAAAATTCATCTGGCATTTGAGTAACCACTACAGGCCAGGCATAATGCTAGATATTTTTATATATATGTACATATTTTATATACATATATAAGTTAAATTTCTTTTAAATTTCAGACATTTATGAATGCACTCACATATGCACAAAAATATTAACACTGTAAGGTTTGAATCATCTTCAAGTAAGAGTGAGGAAAAGCTCAGTGAGTGAGTGAAATGACCAAGGTCACTGAGCTAGTCAGCAGCTCAGTAGTACTTCAAACTTGTGTTTCTATCATCTTTCCACTACGTTTTTATTATGAGCATGTGGTAGTTTGCAAAGCCTTTTTCTAATGCATAACACACGCACTGATATATACACTACAACAGCTTGCCGTTGTCATCTTAAACGCTTAGGACAGCAGTTCTAATCTTCTCTTTGTCCTAAAGGGTCCTTGGTGACAGGGGGATCACCCTGGATGTTAGCCTAAATTATTCTTTCAAACTTTATTTAACTCCCAATCTCCCATGTCCAAATGGTATAAAATATGTGAAATTTACCAATTAGCTAAATTTAGCATTCCATTTCTTCTTGATATCACTTGAGGGAAAATATACATTATATACTTAGTCTAATCATTGAATTAATATAATTGGATTACTGACTACCCAGATGGAAAGAAGGATGCCATCACTGCTGATGTATAGTACAGGCAGCCCCTGACACAAGTAACAGTGTAATTCTTGAACTAGGGGAGGGTGCTACTGACATCTAGTGAGTAGAGGCCAGGGATGCTTGTAAACATCTGCAATGCATTAGACAGCACAACAGAGAACTGTGCTGCACAATTTTGCCCTGAGAGGGCAAAGTGATGTTGGATGAGGTAATTGTCTTCATCTCATGAATTCCTAAGAGACAGCATGTACATGAATAACTGATTCATGCAGGTTTATGAAGACTCAGGTCCTTTCTGTGGCCCCTTATAGATCTGAGGGGCCCTCCAGATACAGACACCATCAGCTGAGAAAAGAATTCATTAAGAATGAAAACTGCTCCCTTGGCCCAATCTTGTTTTCTTTTCTTCCCTTTCCTTGTCTTTTACAGGAAGGACAGGAAGCAAGATTGGGCAGAGGAAGCAGTTTTCATTTATTAGGGGATTATTCTCAAAAATAGTCTCCCAATAAATCTTTTGCATGCTAATTCCCATATCAGGCCCTTCTTCTTCTGGAACCTGACCAAAAAGGGCTGGTATCTGAACTGGTCTCAGAAAGCAGATGCTAAAATGAGATTTTGCAGTTGGATTATCCACTGCCCTGTTGAAAATGAGGACACTGGCTGGGCGCAGTGGCTCACGCCTGTAATCCCAGGACTTTGGGAGGCCGAGCAGGGCGGATCACAAGGTCAGGAGATCAAGACCATCCTGGCTAACACGGTGAAACCCCGTCTCTACTAAATACAAATACAAATACTAAATACAAAAAATCAGCCTGGCGTGGTGGTGGGCGCCTGTAGTCCCAGCTAATCGGGAGGCTGAGGCAGGAGAATGGCGTGAACCCAGGAGGTGGAGCTTGCAGTGAGCCGACATCACACCACTGCACTCCAGCCTGGATGACAGAGCGAAAAAAAAAAAAAAAAAGGAAACAAGGACACCATCAATGGTGATAAATAAGTAAAGGCAGCCCCTGGCACAAGGGAACAGTGCCATTTTTAAAATCTTCATTGGCGGAGGGATGGTATGCACTCAGTAGAAGAGAATGGTATGCACTCAGTAGAAGAGAATGGTATACACTCAGTAGAAGAGAATGCACTAGATGATGTGGTGTGATGTGTTAAATATTTGAGAAATATTGGAGACGTAGTAGTTATAAGGAGAGTGGAATTGAGTAGCTTTGCTAAACTTGAAGTATGCCTTGAAGAAAAAGATAAAAATATGATTCATTAATCTGAAATTAAAAGCTAAGCGTGAATGCCAGTGCATGAAAGCAAGTAGCATGTAAAGAGGATCTCATTTACTGCAGCTAGAGGCAAAGAATGTTGAGGACCAAACCAAAGTCTCAATCATAAGAGTAGAAGAGAGCTGTAAAAAAACTTAAACTCTCAAACTAAGCAGGTCTGCTATAACCACATTAAAAACTCAGGCCAGGAAAGAATGAAACTCTCATGGAGTAAGAGCATCTGGATTATTACATCTAAAAATATTGTAAACTCATATCCCTTATATTTCAACATCGTCCGCAGATATGACCAACACATTCCTGTTAAGGGGTGCCTCCTTTGCATCAAGATGACTTAGAGACCTCCCCTTCATACTACAAAGTATTCCACCCTCACAATGTGTTTCCACATTCCTAGGTATTCCATTCTCTTGGAAGCAATTGTGAATGGGAGGTTCACTCATGATTTGGCTCTCTGTTTGTCTGTTATTGGTGTATAGGAATGCTTGTGATTTTTGCACATTGATTTTGTATCCTGAGAGTTTGCTAAAGTTGCTTATCAGCTTAAGGAGATTTTGGGCTGGGACCATGGGGTTTTCTAAATATACAATCACGTCGTCTGCAAACAGGGACAATTTGACTTCCTCTTTTCCTAATTGAATACCCTTTATTTCTTTCTCCTGCCTAATTGCCCTGGCCATAAATTCCAACACTATGTTGCATAGGAGTGGTGACAGAGGGCATCCCTGTCTTGTGCCAGTTTTCAAAGGGAATGCTTCCAGTTTTGCCCATTCAGTATGATACTGGCTGTGGGTTTGTCATAAATAGCTCTTATGATTTTGAGATATGTCCCATCAATACCTAGTTTATTGAGAGTTTTTAGCATGAAGGGCTGTTGAATTTTGTCAAAGGCCTTTTCTGCATCTATTGAGATAATCAGGTGGTTTTTGTCTTTGGTTCTATTTATATGATGGATTATGATTACTGATTTGCGTATGCTGAACCAGCCTTGCATCCCAGGGATGAAGCCCACTTGATCGTGGTGGATAAGGTTTTGGACGTTCTGCTGGATTCGGTTTACCAGTATTTTATCGAGAATTTTTGCATCAATGTTCATCAGGGATATTGGCCTGAAATTGTCTTTTTTTTTGTTGTGTCTCTGCCAGGCTTTGGTATCAGGTTGAATGGCCATACTGCCCAAGGTGATTTACAGATTCAATGTCATCCCCATCAAACTACCAATGACTTTCTTCACAGATTTGGAAAAAACTACTTTAAAGTTCATATGGAACCAAAAAAGAGCCCGCATTGCCAAGACAATCTGAAGGCAAAAGAACAAAGCTGGAGGCATCACACTACCTGACTTCAAACTGTACTACAAGGCTACAGTAACCAAAACAGCGTGGTACTAGTACCAAAACAGAGATATAGACCAATGGAACAAAACCGAGCCTTCAGAAATAATACCACATATCT